>NC_000019.10:26864847-27190874 GCF_000001405.40 Homo sapiens
AGTCTGTTTGTAAATTCTGTAAGTGGATATTCAGACCTCTTTGAGGCCTTCGTTGGCAACGGGATTTCTCCATACTGTGCTAGACAGAAGAATTCTCAGTAACTTCCTTGTGTTGTGTGTATTCAACTCACAGAGTTGAACGATCCTTTACACAGAGCAGAGTTGAAACACTCTTTTTGTGGAATTTGCAAGTGGAGATTTCAGCCGCTTTGAGGTCAATGGTAGAATAGGAAATATCTTCATACAGAAACTAGACAGAATGATTCTCAGAAACTTCTTTGTGATGTGTGCGTTCAACTCACAGAGTTTAACCTTTCTTTTCATAGAGCAGTTAGGAAACACTCTGTTTGTAAACTCTGCAAGTGGATACTCAGACCTCTTTGAGGCCTTCGTTGGAAACGGGATTTCTCCATACTGTGATAGACAGAAGAAATCCCATTAACTTCCTTGTGTTGTGTGTGTTCAACTCACAGAGTTGAACTTTCATTTACACAGAGCAGATTTGAAACACTCTTTTTGTGGAATTTGCAAGTGGAGATTTCAAGCGCTTTGAGGCCAAAGGCAGAAAAGGAAATATCTTCGTTTCAAAACTAGACAGAATCATTCTCAGAAACTGCTCTGCGATGTGTGCGTTCAACTCTCAGAGTTTAACTTTGCTTTTCATTCAGCAGTTTGGAAACACTCTGTTTGTAAAGTCTGCACGTGGATAATTTGACCACTTAGAGGCCTTCGTTGGAAACGGGTTTTTTTCATATAAGGCTAGACAGAAGAATTCCCAGTAACTTCCTTGTGTTGTGTACATTCAACTCACAGAGTTGAACGTTCCCTTAGACAGAGCAGATTTGAAACACTCTTTTTGTGCAATTGGCAAATGGAGATTTCAAGCGCTTTAAGGTCAATGGCAGAAAAGGAAATATCTTCGTTTCAAAACTAGACAGGATCATTCCCACAAACTGCGTTGTGATGTGTTCGTTCAACTCACAGAGTTTAACCTTTCTTTTCATAGAGCAGTTAGGAAACAGTCTGTTTGTCAATTCTGTAAGTGGATATTCTGACATCTTGTGGCCTTAGTTGGAAACGGGATTTCTTCATATTCTGCTAGACAGAAGAATTCTCAGTAACTTCTTGGTGTTGTGTGTATTCAACTCACAGAGTTGAACGATGCTTTACACAGAGCAGACTTGAAACACTCGTTTTGTGGAATTTGCAAGTTGAGATTTCAGCCGCTTTGAGGTCAATGGTAGAAAAGGAAATATCTTCGTATAAAAACTAGACAGAATGATTCTCAGAAACTCCTTTGTGATGTGTGTGTTCAACTCACAGAGTTAAACCTTTCTTTTCATAGAGCAGTTAGGAAACACTCTGTTTGTAAAGTCTGCAAGTGGATATTCAGACCTCTTTGAGGCCTTCGTTGGAAACGGGTTTTTTTCATATAAGGCTAGACAGAAGAATTCCCAGTAACTTCCTTGTGTTGTGTGTGTTCAACTCACAGAGTTGAACTTTCATTTACACAGAGCAGATTTGAAACACTCTTTTTGTGGGATTTGCAGGTGGAGATTTCAAGCGCTTTGAGGCCAAAGGCAGAAAAGGAAATATCTTCGTATAAAAACTAGACAGACTCATTCTCAGAAACTGCTCTGCGATGTGTGCGTTCAACTCTCAGAGTTTAACTTTTCTTTTCATTCAGCAGTTTGGAAACACTCTGTTTGTAAAGTCTGCACGTGGATATTTTGACCACTTAGAGGCCTTCGTTGGAAACGGTTTTCTTTCCTGTAAGGCTAGACAGAAGAATTCCCAGTAACTTCCTTGTGTTGTGTACATTCAACTCACAGAGTTGAACGTTCCCTTAGACAGAGCAGATTTGAAACACTCTTTTTGTGCAATTGGCAAGTGGAGATTTCAAGCGCTTTAAGGTCAATGGCAGAAAAGGAAATATCTTCGTTTCAAAACTAGACAGAATCATTCCCACAAACTGCGTTGTGATGTGTTCGTTCAACTCACAGAGTTTAACCTTTCTTTTCATAGAGCAGTTAGGAAACACTCTGTTTGTAAAGTCTACAAGTGGATATTCAGACCTCTTTGAGGCCTTCGTTGGAAACGGGTTTTTTTCATATAAGGCTAGACAGAAGAATTCTCAGTAACTTCCTTGTGTTGTGTGTATTCAACTCACAGAGTTGAACGATCCTTTACACAGAGCAGACTTGAAACACTTTTTTTGTGGAATTTGCAAGTGGAGATTTCAGCCGCTTTGAGGTCAATAGTAGAAAAGGAAATAGCTTCGTAGAAAAACTAGACAGAATTGTTCTCAGAAACTCCTTTGTGATGTGTGCGTTCAACTCACAGAGTTTAACCTTTCTTTTCATAGAGCAGTTAGGAAACACTCTGTTTGTAAAGTCTGGAAGTGGATATTCAGACCTCCTTGAGGCCTTCGTTGGAAACGGGATTTCTTCATATTATGCTTGACAGAAGAATTCTCAGTAACTTCCTTGTGTTGTGTGTATTCAACTGACAGAGTTGAACTTTCATTTAGAGAGAGCAGATTTGAAGCACTGTTTTTGTGGAATTTGCAAGTGGAGACTTCAAGCGCTTTGGGCCAAAGGCAGAAAAGGAAATACCTTCGTATAAAAACTAGACAGAATCATTCTCAGAAACTGCTGCGTGATGTGTGCTTTCAACTCTCAGAGTTTAACTTTTCTTTTCATTCAGCGGTTTGGAAACACTCTGTTTGTAAAGTCTGCACGTGGAAATTTTGACCACTTAGAGGCCTTCGTTGGAAACGGGTTTTTTTCATGTAAGGCCAGACAGAAGAATTCTCAGTAACTTCCCTTGTGTTGTGTGTATTCAACTGACAGAGTTGAACTTTCATTTAGAGAGAGCAGATTTGAAACACTGTTTTTGTGGAATTTGCAAGTGGAGATTTCAAGCGTTTTGGGGCCAAAGGCAGAAAAGGAAATATCTTCGTATAAAAACTAGGCAGAATCATTCTCAGAAACTGCTCTGCGATGTGTGTGTTCAACTCTCAGAGTTTAACTTTTCTTTTCATTCAGCAGTTTGGAAACACTCTGTTTGTAAAGTCTGCACGTGGATAATTGGACCACTTAGAGGCCTTCGTTGGAAACGGGTTTTTTTCATGTAAGGCTATACAGAAGAATTCTCAGTAACTTCCTTGTGTTGTGTGTATTCAACTCACAGAGTTGAACGATCCTTTACACAGAGCAGACTTGTAACACTCTTTTTGTGGAATTTGCAAGTGGAGATTTCAGCCGCTTTGAAGTCAAAGGTAGAAAAGGAAATATCTTCTTATAAAAACTAGACAGAATGATTCTCAGAAACTCCTTTGTGATGTGAGCGTTCAACTCACAGAGTTTAACCTTTCTTTTCATAGAGCAGTTAGGAAACACTCTGCTTGTAAAGTCTGCAAGTGGATATTCAGCCCTCTTTGAGGCCTTCGTTGGAAACGGGTTTTTTTCATATAGGGCTAGACAGAAGAATTCTCAGTAACTTCCTTGTGTTGTGTGTATTCAACTGACAGAGTTGAACTTTCATTTAGAGAGAGCAGATTTGCAACACTGTTTTTGTGGAATTTGCAAGTGGAGATTTCAAGCGCTTTGGGGCCAAAGGCAGAAAAGGAAATATCTTCGGATAAAAACTAGACAGAATCATTCTCAGAAACTGCTCTGCGATGTGTGCGTTCAACTCTAAGAGTTTAACTTTTCTTTTCATTCAGCAGTTTGGAAACACTCTGTTTGTAAAGTCTGTACGTGGATAATTTGACCACTTAGAGGCCTTCGTTGGAAACGGGTTTTTTTCATGTAAGGATAGACAGAAGAATTCCCAGTAACTTCCTTGTGTTGTGTGCATTCAACTCACAGAGTTGAACGTTCCCTTAGACAGAGCAGATTTGAAACACTCTATTTGTGCAATTTGCAAGTGTAGTTTTCAAGCTCTTTAAGGTCAACGGCAGAAAAGGAAATATCTTGGTTTCAAAACTAGACAGAATGATTCTCATAAACTCCTTTGTGATGTGTGCGTTCAACTCACAGAGTTTAACCTTTCTTTTCATAGAGCAGTTAGGAAACACTCTGTTTGTAAAGTCTGTAAGTGGATATTCTGACATCTTGTGGCCTTCGTTGGAAACGGGATTTCTTCATATTCTGCTAGACAGAAGAATTCTCAGTAACTTTCTTGTGTTGTGTGTATTCAACTCACAGAGTTGAACGATCCTTTACAGAGAGCAGACTTGAAACACTCTTTTTGTGGAATTTGCAAGTGGAGATTTCAGCCGCTTTGAGGTCTATGGTAGAAAAGGAAATGTCTTCGTATAAAGACTAGACAGAATGATTCTCAGAAACTCCTTTGTGATGTGTGTGTTCAACTCACAGAGTTTAACCTTTCTTTTCATAGAGCAGTTAGGAAACACTCTGTTTGTAAAGTCTGCAAGTGGATATTCAGACCTCTTTGAGGCCTTCATTGGAAACGGGTTTTTTTCATAGAAGGCTAGACAGAAGAATTCCCAGTAACTTCCTTGTGTTGTGTGTGTTCAACTCACAGAGTTGAACTTTCATTTACACAGAGCAGATTTGAAACACTCTTTTTCTGGAATTTGCAAGTGGAGATTTCAAGCGCTTTGAGGCCAAAGGCAGAAAAGGAAATATCTTCGTATAAAAACTAGACAGAATCATTCTCAGAAACTGCTCTGCGATGTGTGCGTTCAACTCTCAGAGTTTAACTTTGCTTTTCATTCAGCAGTTTGGAAACACTCTGTTTGTAAAGTCTGCACGTGGATAATTTGACCACTTAGAGGCCTTCGTTGGAAACGGGTTTTTTTCATGTAAGGCTAGACAGAAGAATTCTCAGTAACTTCCTTGTGTTGTGTGTATTCAACTCACACAGTTGACCGATCCTTTACACAGAGCAGACTTGTAACACTCTTTTTGTGGAATTTGCAAGTGGAGATTTCTGCCGCTTTGAAGTCAAAGGTAGAAAAGGGAATATCTTCCTATAAAAACTAGACAGAATGATTCTCAGAAACTCCTTTGTGATGTGTGCGTTCAACTCACAGAGTTTAACCTTTCTGTTCATAGAGCTGTTAGGAAACACTCTGTTTGTAAAGTCTGCAAGTGGATATTCAGACCTCCTTGAGGACTTCGTTGGAAACGGGATTTCTTCATATTCTGCTAGACAGAAGAATTCTCAATAACTTCCTTGTGTTGTGTGCATTCAACTCACAGAGTTGAATGATCCTTTACACAGAGCAGATTAGAAACACTCTTTTTGTGGAATTTGCAAGTGGACATTTCAGCCGCTTTGAGGTCAATGGTAGAAAAGGAAATATCTTCGTATAAAAACTAGACAGAATGATTCTCAGAAACTCCTTTGTGATGTGTGCGTTCAACTCACAGAGTTTAACCTTTCTTTTCATAGAGCAGTTAGGAAACACTCTGTTTGTAAACTCTGCAAGTGGATATTCAGACCTCTTTGAGGCCTTCGTTGGAAACGGGTTTTTTTCATATAAGGCTAGACAGAAGAATTCTCAGTAACTTCCTTGTGTTGTGTGTATTCAACTGACAGAGTTGAACTTTCATTTAGAGAGAGCAGATTTGAAACACTGTTTTTGTGGAATTTGCAAGTGGAGATTTCAAGCGCTTTGGGGCCAAAGGCAGAAAAGGAAATATCTTCTGTATAAAAACTAGACAGAATCATTCTCAGAAACTGCTCTGCGATGTGTGCGTTCAACTCTCAGAGTTTAACTTTTCTTTTCATTCAGCAGTTTGGAAACACTCTGTTTGTAAAGTCTGCACGTGGATATTTTGACCACTTAGAGGCCTTCGTTGGAAACGGGTTTTTTTCCTGTAAGGCTAGACAGTAGAATTCCCAGTAACCTCCTTGTGTTGTGTGCATTCAACTCACAGAGTTGAACGTTTCCTTAGACAGAGCAGATTTGAAACACTCTATTTGTGCAATTTGCAAGTGTAGATTTCAAGCGCTTTAAGGTCAATGGCAGAAAAGGAAATATCTTCGTTTCAAAACTAGACAGAATGATTCTCATAAACTCCTTTGTGATGTGTGCGTTCAACTCACAGAGTTTAACCTTTCTTTTCATAGAGCAGTTAGGAAACACTGTGTTTGTAAAGTCTGCATGTGGATATTCAGACCTCCTTGAGGCCTTCGTTGGAAACGGGAATTCCTCATATTCTGCTAGACAGAAGAATTCTCAGTAACTTCCTTGTGTTGTGTTTATTCAACTCACAGAGTTGAATGATCCTTTACACAGAGCAGACTTGAAACACTCTTTTTGTGGAATTTGCAAGTGGAGATTTCAGCCGCTTTGAGGTCAATGGTAGAAAAGGAAACTATCTTCATATAAAGACTAGACAGAATGATTCTCAGAAACTCCTTTGTGATGTGTGCGTTCAACTCACAGCAGTTTAACCTTTCTTTTCATAGAGCAGTTAGGAAACACTCTGTTTGTAAAGTCTGCAAGTGGATATTCAGACCTCCTTGAGGCCTTCGTTGGAAACGGGTTTTTTTCATATAAGGCTAGACAGAAGAATTCTCAGTAACTTCCTTGTGTTGTGTGTATTCAACTGACAGAGTTGAACTTTCATTTAGACAGAGTAGATTTGAAACACTCTTTTTGTGGAATTTGCAAGTGGAGATTTCAAGCGCTTTGAGGCCAAAGGCAGAAAAGGAAATATCTTCGTATAAAAACTAGACAGAATCATTCTCAGAAACTGCTGCGTGATGTGTGCGTTCAACTCTCAGAGTTTAACTTTTCTTTTCATTCAGCGGTTTGGAAACACTCTGTGAAGTCTGCACGTGGATATTTTGACCACTTAGAGGCCTTCGTTGGAAACGGGTTTTTTTCAAGTAAGGCTAGACAGAAGAATTCCCAGTAACTTCCTTGTGTTGTGTGCATTCAACTCACAGAGTTGAACGTTCCCTTAGACAGAGCAGATTTGAAACACTCTATTTGTGCAATTTGCAAGTGTAGATTTCAAGCGCTTTAAGGTCAATGGCAGAAAAGGAAATATCTTTGTTTCAAAACTAGACAGAATCATTCCCACAAACTGCGTTATGATGTGTTCGTTCAACTCACAGAGTTTAACCTTTCTGTTCATAGAGCAGTGAGGAAACACTCTGTTTGTAAAGTCTGTAAGTGGATATTCTGACATCTTGTGGCCTTCGTTGGAAAAGGGATTTCTTCCTATTCTGCTAGACAGAAGAATTCTCAGTAACTTCCTTGTGTTGTGTGTATTCAACTCACAGAATTGAACGATCCTTTACACAGAGCAGACTTGAAACACTCTTTTTGTGGAATTTGCAAGTGGAGATTTCAGCCGCGTTGAGGTCAATGGTAGAAAAGGAAATATCTTCGTATAAAAACTAGACAGAATGATTCTCAGAAACTCCTTTGTGATGTGTGCGTTCAACTCACAGAGTTCAACCTTTCTTTTCATAGAGCAGTTAGGAAACACTCTGTTTGTAAAGTCTGCAAGTGGATATTCAGACTTCTTTGAGGCCTTCGTTGGAAGCGGGTTTTCTTCATATTCTGCTAGAAAGAAGAATTCTCACTAACTTCCTTGTGTTGTGTTTATTCAACTCACAGAGTTGAATGATCCTTTACACAGAGCAGACTTGAAACACTCTTTTTGTGGAATTTGCAAGTGGAGATTTCAGCCGCTTTGAGGTCAATGGTAGAAAAGTAAATATCTTCGTATAAAGACTAGACAGAATGATTCTCAGAAACTCCTTTGTGATGTGTGCGTTCAACTCACAGAGTTTAACCTTTCTGTTCATAGAGCAGTTAGGAAACACTCTGTTTCTAAAGTCTGCAAGTGGATATTCAGACCTCCTTGAGGCCTTCGTTGGAAACGGGATTTCTTCATATTCTGCTAGACAGAAGAATTCCCAGTAACTTCCTTGTGTTGTGTGCATTCAACTCACAGAGTTGAACGTTCCCTTAGACAGAGCAGATTTGAAACACTCTATTTGTGCAATTTGCAAGTGTAGATTTCAAGCGCTTTAAGGTCAACGGCAGAAAAGGAAATATCTTCGTTTCAAAACTATACAGAATGATTCTCAGAAAATCTTTTGTGATGTGTGCGTTCAACTCACAGAGTTTAACTTTTCTTCTCATAGACCAGTTAGGAAACACTCTGTTTGTAAAGTGTGCAAGTGGATATTCAGACCTCTTTGAGGCCTTCGTTGGAAACGGGATTTCTTCATATTCTGCTAGACAGAAGAATTCTCAGTAACTTCCTTGTGTTGTGTGTATTCAACTCACAGAGTTGAAGGATCCTTTACAGAGAGCAGGCTTCAAACACTCTTTTTGTCGAATTTGCAAGTGGAGATTTCAGCCGCTTTGAGGTCAATGGTAGAATAGGAAATATCTTCTTATAGAAACTAGACAGAATGATTCTCAGAAACTTCTTTGTGATGTGTGCGTTCAACTCACAGGGTTTAACCTTTCTTTTCATAGAGCAGTTAGGAAACACTCTGTTTGTAAACTCTGCAAGTGGATATTCAGACCTCTTTGAGGCCTTCGTTGGAAACGGGATTTCTTCATACTGTGCTAGACAGAAGAATTCCCAGTAACTTCCTTGTGTTGTGTGTGTTCAACTCACAGAGTTGAACTTTCATTTACACAGAGCAGATTTGAAACACTCTTTTTGTGGAATTTGCAAGTGGAGATTTCAAGCGCTTTGAGGCCAAAGGCAGAAAAGGAAATATCTTCCTATAAAAACTAGACAGAATCATTCTCAGAAACTGCTGCGTGATGTGTGCGTTCAACTCTCAGAGTTTAACTTTTCTTTTCATTCAGCGGTTTGGAAACACTCTGTTTGTAAAGTCTGCACGTGGATATTATGACCATTTAGAGGCCTTCGTTGGAAACGGGTTTTCTTCATGTAAGGCTAGACAGAAGAATTCCCAGTAACTTCCTTGTGTTGTGTGCATTCAACTCACAGAGTTGAACGTTCCCTTAGACAGAGCAGATTTGAAACACTCTATTTGTCCAATTTGCAAGTGTAGATTTCAAGCGCTTTAAGGTCAACGGCAGAAAAGGAAATATCTTCGTTTCAAAACTAGACAGAATGATTCTCAGAAACTCCTTTGTGATGTGTGCTTTCAACTCACAGAGTTTAACCTTTCTTTTCATAGAGCAGTTAGGAAACACTCTGTGTATAAAGTCTGCAAGTGGATATTCAGGCCTCTTTGAGGCCTTCGTTGGAAACGGGATTTCTTCATATGATGCTGGACAGAAGAAATCTCAGTAACTTCCTTGTGTTGTGTGTATTCAACTCACAGAGTTGAACGGTCCTTTACACAGAGCAGATTTGAAACAATGTTTTTGTGGAATTTGCAAGTGGAGATTTCAGCCGCTTTGAGGTCAATCGCAGAAAAGGAAATATCTTCTTATAGAAACTAGACAGAATGATTCTCAGAAACTCCTTTGTGATGTGTGCGTTCAACTCACAGAGTTCAACCTTTCTTTTCATAGAGCAGTTAGGAAACACTCTGTTTATAAACTCTGCAAGTGGATATTCAGACCTCTTTGAGGCCTTCGTTGGAAACGGGATTTCTTCATATTCTGCTAGACAGAAGAATTCCCAGTAACTTCCTTGTGTTGTGTGTGTTCAACTCACAGAGTTGAACTTTCATTTACACAGAGCAGATTTGAAACACTCTTTTTGTTGAATTTGCAAGTGGAGATTTCAAGCGCTTTGAGGCCAAAGGCAGAAAAGGAAATATCTTCGTTTCAAAACTAGACAGAATCATTCTCAGGAAACTGCTCTGCGATGTGTGCATTCAACTCTCAGAGTTTAACTTTTCTTTTCATTCAGCAGTTTGGAAACACTCTGTTTGTAAAGTCTGCACGTGGATATTTTGACCACTTACAGGCCTTCGTTGGAAACGGGTTTTTTTCCTGTAAGGCTAGACAGAAGAATTCCCAGTAACTTCCTTGTGTTGTGTGCATTCAACTCACAGAATTGAACGTTCCCTTAGACAGAGCAGATTTGAAACACTCTATTTGTGCAATTTGCAAGTGTAGATTTCAAGCGCTTTAAGGTCAACGGCAGAAAAGGAAATATCTTCGTTTCAAAACTAGACAGAATGATTCTCAGAAACTCCTTTGTGATGTGTGCCGTTCAACTCACAGAGTTTAACCTTTCTTTTCATAGAGCAGTTAGGAAACACTCTGTTTGTAAAGTCTGCAAGTGGATATTCAGACCTCCTTGAGGCCTTCGTTGGAAACGGGTTTTCTTCATATTATGCTAGACAGAAGAATTCTCAGTAACTTCCTTGTGTTGTGTGTATTCAACTCACAGTGTTGAACGATCCTTTACACAGAGCATACTTGAAACACTCTTGTTGTGGAATTTGCAAGTGGAGATTTCAGCCGCTTTGAGGTCAATGGTAGAATAGGAAATATCTTCCTATAGAAACTAGACAGAATGATTCTCAGAAACTCCTTTGTGATGTGTGCGTTCAACTCACAGAGTTCAACCTTTCTTTTCATAGAGCAGTTGGGAAACACTCTGTTTGTAAAGTCTGCAAGTGGATATTCAGACTTATTTGAGGCCTTAGTTGGAAGCGGGATTTCTTCATGTTCTGCTAGACAGAAGAATTCCCAGTAACTTCCTTGTGTTGTGTGTGTTCAACTCACAGAGTTGAACTTTCATTTACCCAGAGCAGATTTGAAACACTCTTTTTGTGGAATTTGCAAGTGGAGATTTCAAGCGCTTTGAGGCCAAAGGCAGAAAAGGAAATATCTTCGTATAAAAACTAGACAGAATCATTCTCAGAAACTGCTCTGCGATGTGTGCGTTCAACTCTCAGAGTTTAACTTTTCTTTTCGTTCAGCAGTTTGGAAACACTCTGTTTGTAAAGTCTGCACGTGGATAATTTGACCACTTAGAGGCCTTCGTTGGAAACGGGTTTTTTTCATGTAAGGCTAGACAGAATAATTCCCAGTAACTTCCTTGTGTTGTGTACATTCAACTCACAGAGTTGAACGTTCCCTTAAACAGAGCAGATTTGAAACACTCTTTTTGTGCAATTGGCAAGTGGAGATTTCAAGCGCTTTGAGGTCAATGGCAGAAAAGGAAATATCTTCGTTTCAAAACTAGACAGAATCATTCCCAAAAACTGCGTTGTGATGTGTTCGTTCATCTCACAGAGTTTAACCTTTCTTTTCATAGAGCAGTTAGGAAACACTCTGTTTGTAAATTCTGTAAGTGGATATTCTGACATCTTGTGGCCTTCGTTGGAAACGGGATTTCTTCATATTCTGCTAGACAGAAGAATTCTCAGAAACTTCCTTGTGTTGTGTGTATTCAACTCACAGAGTTGAACGATCGTTTACACAGAGCAGACTTGAAACACTCTTTTTGTGGAATTTGTAAGTGGAGATCTCAGCCGCTTTGAGGTCAATGGTAGAAAAGGAAATATCTTCATATAAAAACTAGACAGAATGATTCTCAGAAACTCCTTTGTGATGTGTGCGTTCAACTAACAGAGTTTAACCTTTCTTTTCATAGAGCAGTTAGGAAACACTCTGTTTGTAAAGTCTGCAAGTGGATATTCAGACCTCTTTGAGGCCTTCGTTGGAAACGGGTTTTTTCATATAAGGCTAGACAGAAGAATTCTCAGTAACGTCCTTGTGTTGTGTGTATTCAACTGACAGAGTTGAACTTTCATTTAGAGAGAGCAGATTTGAAACACTGTTTTTGTGGAATTTGCAAGTGGAGATTTCAAGCGCTTTGGGGCCAAAGGCAGAAAAGGAAATATCTTCGTATAAAAACTAGACAGAATCATTCTCAGAAACTGCTCTGCGATGGGTGCGTTCAACTCTCAGAGTTTAACTTTTCTTTTCATTCAGCAGTTTGGAAACACTCTGTTTGTAAAGTCTGCACGTGGATATTTTGACCACTTAGAGGCCTTCGTTGGAAACGGGTTTTTTTCCTGTAAGGCTAGACAGAAGAATTCCCAGTAACTTCCTTGTGTTGTGTACATTCAACTCACAGAGTTGAACGTTCCCTTAGACAGAGCAGATTTGAAACACTCTTTTTGTGCAATTGGCAAATGGAGATTTCAAGCGCTTTAAGGTCAATGGCAGAAAAGGAAATATCTTCGTTTCAAAACTAGACAGAATGATTCTCAGAAACTCCTTTGTGATGTGTGCGTTCAACTCACAGAGTTTAACCTTTCTTTTCATAGAGCAGTTAGGAAACACTGTTTGTAAAGTCTGCAAGTGGATATTCAGACCTCTCTGAGGCCTTCGTTGGAAACGGGATTTCTTCATACTGTGCTAGACAGAAGAATTCTCAGTAACTTCCTTGTGTTGTGTGTATTCAACTCACAGAGTTGAACGATCCTTTACACAGAGCGGACTTGAAACACACTTTTTGTGGAATTTGCAAGTGGAGATTTCAGCCGCATTGAGGTCAATGGTAGAAAAGGAAATATCTTCATATAAAAAATAGACAGAATGATTCTCAGAAACTCCTTTGTGATGTGTGTTTTCAACTCACAGAGTTTAACCTTTCTTTTCATAGAGCAGTTAGTAAACACTCTGTTTATAAAGTCTGCAAGTGGATATTCAGACCCCTTTGAGGCCTTCGTTGGAAACGGGATTTCTTCATATTATGCTAGACAGAAGAATTCTCAGTAACTTCCTTGTGTTGTGTGTATTCAACTGACAGAGTTGAACTTGCATTTAGAGAGAGCAGATTTGAAACACTCTTTTTGTGGAATTTGCAAGTGGAGATTTCAAGCGCTTTGGGGCCAAAGGCAGAAAAGGAAATATCTTCGTATAAAAACTAGACAGAATCATTCTCAGAAACTGCTGCGTTATGTGTGCGTTCAACTCTCAGAGTTTAACTTTTCTTTTCATTCAGCGGTTTGGAAACACTCTGTTTGTAAAGTCTGCACGTGGATATTTTGACCACTTAGAGGCCTTCGTTGGAAACGGGTTTTTTTCATGTAAGGCTAGACAGAAGAATTCCCAGTAACTTCCTTGTGTTGTGTACATTCAACTCACAGAGTTGAACGTTCCCTTAGACAGAGCAGATTTGAAACACTCTTTTTGTGCAATTGGCAAATGGAGATTTCAAGCGCTTTAAGGTCAATGGCAGAAAAGGAAATATCTTCGTTTCAAAACTAGACAGAATCATTCCCACAAACTGCGTTGTGATGTGTTCGTTCAACTCACAGAGTTTAACCTTTCTGTTCATAGAGCAGTTAGGAAACACTCTGTTTGTAAAGTCTGCAAGTGGATATTCAGACCTCCTTGAGGCCTTCGTTGGAAACGGGATTTCTTCATATTCTGCTAGACAGAAGAATTCTCAGTAACTTCCTTGTGTTGTGTTTATTCAACTCACAGAGTTGAATGATCCTTTACACAGAGCAGACTTGAAACACTCTTTTTGTGGAATTTGCAAGTGGAGATTTCAGCCGCTTTGAGGTCAATGGTAGAAAAGTAAATATTTTCGTATAAAGACTAGACAGAATGATTCTCAGAAACTCCTTTGTGATGTGTACGTTCAACTCACAGAGTTTAACCTTTCTTTTCATAGAGAAGTTAGGAAACACTCTGTTTGTAAAGTCTGCAAGTGGATATTCAGACCTCTTTGAGGCCTTCGTTGGAAACGTGTTTTTTACATATAAGTCTAGACAGAAGAATTCCCAGTAACTTCCTTGTGTTGTGTGTGTTCAACTCACAGAGTTGAACTTTGATTTACACAGAGCAGATTTGAAACACTCTTTTTGTGGAATTTGCAGGTGGAGATTTCAAGCGCTTTGAGGCCAAAGGCAGAAAAGGAAATATTCTTCGTATAAAAACTAGACAGAATCATTCTCAGAAACTGCTGCGTGATGTGTGCGTTCAACTCTCAGAGTTTAAATTTTCTTTTCATTCAGCGGTTTGGAAACACTCTGTTTGTAAAGTCTGCACGTGGATATTTTGACCACTTAGAGGCCTTCGTTGGAAACGGGTTTTTTGCATGTAAGGCTAGACAGAAGAATTCCCAGTAACTTCCTTGTGTTGTGTGCATTGAACTCACAGAGTTGAACGTTCCCTTAGAGAGGGCAGATTTGAAACACTCTATTTGTGCAATTTGCAAGTGTAGATTTCAAGCGCTTTAAGGTCAACGGCAGAAAAGGAAATATCTTCGTTTCAAAACTAGACAGAATCATTCCCACAAACTGTGCTGTGATGTGTTCGTTCAACTCACAGAGTTTAACCTTTCTGTTCATAGAGCAGTTAGGAAACACTCTGTTTGTAAAGTCTGCAAGTGGATATTCAGACCTCCTTGAGGCCTTCGTTGGAAACGGGATTTCTTCATATTCTGCTAGACAGAAGAATTCTCAGTAACTTCCCTTGTGTTGTGTGTATTCAACTCACAGAGTTGAACGATCCTTTACACAGAGCAGACTTGTAACACTCTTTTTGTGGAATTTGCAAGTGGAGATTTCAGCCGCTTTGAAGTCAAAGGTAGAAAAGGAAATATCTTCCTATAAAAACTAGACAGAATGATTCTCATAAACTCCTTTGTGATGTGTGCATTCAACTCACAGAGTTTAACCTTTCTTTTCATAGAGCAGTTAGGAAACACTCTGTTTGTAAAGTCTGCAAGTGGATATTCAGACCTCCTTGAGGCCTTCGTTGGAAAAGGGATTTCTTCATATTCTGCTAGACAGAAGAATTCGCAGTAACTTCCTTGTGTTGTGTGTGTTCAACTCACAGAGTTGAACTTTCATTTACACAGAGCAGATTTGAAACACTCTTTTTGTGGAATTTGCAGGTGGAGATTTCAAGCGCTTTGAGGCCAAAGGCAGAAAAGGAAATATCTTCGTATAAAAACTAGACAGAATCATTCTCAGAAACTGCTCTGCGATGTGTGCGTTCAACTCTCAGAGTTTAACTTTTCTTTTCATTCAGCAGTTTGGAAAAACTCTGTTTGTAACGTCTGCACGTGCATAATTTGACCACTTAGAGGCCTTCGTTGGAAACGGGTTTTTTTCCTGTAAGGCTAGACAGAAGATTTCTCAGTAACTTCCTTGTGTTGTGTGTATTCAACTCACAGAGTTGAAAGATCCTTTACACAGAGCAGACTGGTAACACTCTTTTTGTGGAATTTGCAAGTGGAGATTTCAGCCGCTTTGAAGTCAAAGGTAGAAAAGGAAATAACTTCCTATAAAAACTAGACAGAATCATTCCCACAAACTGCGTTGTGATGTGTTCGTTCAACTCACAGAGTTTAACCTTTCTGTTCATAGAGCAGTTAGGAAACACTCTGTTTGTAAAGTCTGCCAGTGGATATTCAGACCTCCATGAGGCCTTCGTTGGAAACGGGATTTCTTCATATTCTGCTAGACAGAAGAATTCTCAGAATCTTCCTTGTGTTGTGTGTATTCAACTCACAGAGTTGAACCATCCTTTACACAGAGCAGACTTGAAACACTCTTTTTGTGGAATTTGCAAGTGGAGATTTCAGCCGCTTTGAGGTCCATGGTAGAAAAGGAAATATCTTCGTATAAAAACTAGACAGAATGATTCTCAGAAACTTCTTTGTGATGTGTGCGTTCAAGTCACAGAGTTTAACCTTTCTTTTCATAGAGCAGTTAGGAAACACTCTGTTTGTAAACTCTGCAAGTGGATGTTCAGACCTGTTTGAGGCCTTCGTTGGAAACGGGATTTCTTCATACTATGCTAGACAGAAGAATTCCCAGTAACTTCCTTGTGTTGTGTGAGTTCAACTCACAGAGTTGAACTTTCATTTACACAGAGCAGATTTGAAACACTCTTTTTGTGGAATTTGCAAGTGGAGATTTCAAGCGCTTTGACGCCAAAGGCAGAAAAGGAAATATCTTCGTATAAAAATTAGACAGAATCATTCTCAGAAACTGCTCTGTGATGTCTGCGTTCAACTCTCAGAGTTTAACTTTTCTTTTCATTCAGCAGTTTGGAAACACTCTGTTTGTAAAGTCTGCACGTGGATATTTTGACCACTTAGAGGTCTTCGTTGGAAACGGGTTTTTTTCATGTAAGGCTAGACAGAAGAATTCCCAGTAACTTCCTTGTGTTGTGTACATTCAACTCACAGAGTTGAACGTTCCCTTAGACAGAGTAGATTTGAAACACTCTTTTTGTGCAATTGGCAAGTGGAGATTTCAAGCGCTTTAAGGTCAATGGCAGAAAAGGAAATATCTTCGTTTCAAAACTAGACAGAATCATTCCCACAAACTGCGTTGTGATGTGTTCGTTCAACTCACAGAGTTTAACCTTTCTTTTCATAGAGCAGTTAGGAAACAGTCTGTTTGTAAATTCTGTAAGTGGATATTCTGACATCTTGTGGCCTTTGTTGGAAACGGGATTTCTTCATATTCTGCTAGACAGAAGAATTCTCAGAATCTTCCTTGTGTTGTGTGTATTCAACTCACAGAGTTGAACGATCCTTTACACAGAGCAGACTTGAAACACTCTTTTTGTGGAATTTGCAAGTGGAGATTTCAAGCGCTTTGAGGCCAAAGGCAGAAAAGGAAATATCTTCGTATAAAAACTAGACAGAATGATTCTCAGAATCTTCTTTGTGATGTGTGCGTTCAACTCACAGAGTTTAACCTTTCTTTTCATAGAGCAGTTAGGAAACACTCTGTTTGTAAACTCTGCAAGTGGATATTCAGACCTCATTGAGGCCTTCGTTGGAAACGGGATTTCTTCATACTATGCTAGACAGAAGAATTCTCAGTAACTTCCTTGTGTTGTGTGTATTCAACTCACAGAGTTGAACGACCCTTTACACAGAGCGGACTTGAAACACTCTTTTTGTGGAATTTGCAAGTGGAGATTTCAGCCGCGTTGAGGTCAATGGTAGAAAAGGAAATATCTTCGTATAGAAACTAGACAGAATCATTCTCAGAAACTGCTCTGCGATGTGTGCGTTCAACTCTCAGAGTTTAACTTTTCTTTTCATTCAGCAGTTTGGAAACACTCTGTTTCTAAAGTCTGCACGTGGATATTTTGACCACTTAGAGGCCTTCGTTGGAAACGGGTTTTTTTCCTGTAAGGCTAGACAGAAGAATTCCCAGTAACTTCCTTGTGTTGTGTACATTCAACTCACAGAGTTGAACGTTCCCTTAGACAGAGCAGATTTGAAACACTCTTTTTGTGCAATTGGCAAATGGAGATTTCAAGGGCTTTAAGGTCAATGGCAGAAAAGGAAATATCTTCGTTTCAAAACTAGACAGAATCATTCCCACAAACTGCGTTGTGATGTGTTCGTTCAACTCACAGAGTTTAACCTTTCTGTTCATAGAGCAGTTAGGAAACACTCTGTTTGTAAAGTCTGTAAGTGGATATTCTGACATCTTGTGGCCTTCGTTGGGAACGGGATTTCTTCATATTCTGCTAGACAGAAGAATTCTCAGTAACTTCCCTTGTGTTGTGTGTATTCAACTCACAGAGTTGAACGATCCTTTACACAGAGCAGACTTGAAACATTCTTTTTGTGGAATTTGCAAGTGGAGATTTCAGCCGCTTTGAGGTCAATGGTAGAATAGGAAATATCTTCATATAGAAACTAGACAGAATGATTCTCAGAAACTCCTTTGTGATGTGTGCGTTCAACTCACAGAGTTTAACCTTTCTGTTCATAGAGCTGTTAGGAAACACTCTGTTTGTAAAGTCTGCAAGTGGATATTCAGACCTCCTTGAGGCCTTCGTTGGAAACGGGATTTCTTCATATTCTGCTAGACAGAAGAATTCTCAGTAACTTCCTTGTGTTGTGTGTATTCAACTCACAGAGTTGAACGATCCTTTACAGAGAGCAGACTTGAAACACTCTTTTTGTGGAATTTGCAAGTGGATATTTCAGCCGCTTTGAGGTCAATGGTAGAAAAGGAAATATCTTCGTATAAAGACTAGACAGAATCATTCTCAGAAACTGCTCTGCGATGTGTGCGTTCAACTCTCAGAGTTTAACTTTTCTTTTCATTCAGCAGTTTGGAAACACTCTGTTTGTAAAGTCTGCACGTGAATAATTTGACCACTTAGAGGCCTTCGTTGGAAACGGGTTTTTTTCATGTAAGGCTAGACAGAAGAATTCCCAGTAACTTCCTTGTGTTGTGTACATTCAACTCACAGAGTTGAACGTTCCCTTAGACAGAGCAGATTTGAAACACTCTTTTTGTGCAATTGGCAAGTGGAGATTTCAAGCGATTTGAGGTCAATGGCAGAAAAGGAAATATCTTCGTTTCAAAACTAGACAGAATCATTCCCACAAAATGCGTTGTGATGTGTTCGTTCATCTCACAGAGTTTAACCTTTCTTTTCGTAGAGCAGTTAGGAAACAGTCTGTTTGTAAATTCTGTAAGTGGATATTCTGACATCCTGTGGCCTTCGTTGGAAACGGGATTTCTTCATATTCTGCTAGACAGAAGAATTCTCAGTAACTTCCTTGTGTTGTGTGTATTCAACTCACAGAGTTGAACGATCCTTTACACAGAGCAGACTTGAAACACTCTTTTTGTGAAATTTGCAAGTGGAGATTTCAGCCGCTGTGAGTTCAATGGTAGAATAGGAAATATCTTCCTATAGAAACTAGACAGAATGATTCTCAGAAACTCCTTTGTGATGTGTGCGTTCAACTCACAGAGTTTAACCTTTCTGTTCATAGAGCTGGTAGGAAACACTCTGTTTGTAAAGTCTGCAAGTGGATATTCAGACCTCCTTGCGGCCTTCGTTGGAAACGGGATTTCTTCATATTCTGCTAGACAGAAGAATTCTCAGTAACTTCTTTGTGTTGTGTGTATTCAACTCACAGAGTTGAACGATCCTTTACACAGAGCAGACTTGAAACACTCTTTTTGTGGAATTTGCAAGTGGAGATTTCAGCCGCTTTGAGGTCAATGGTAGAAAAGGAAATATCTTCGTATAAAGACTAGACAGAATCATTCTCAGAAACTGCTCTGCGATGTGTGCGTTCAACTCTCAGAGTTTAACTTTTCTTTTCTTTCAGCAGTTTGGAAACACTCTGTTTGTAAAGTCTGCACGTGGATATTTTGACCACTTAGAGGCCTTCGTTGGAAACGGGTTTTTTTCCTGTAAGGCTAGACAGAAGAATTCCCAGTAACTTCCTTGTGTTGTGTACATTCAACTCACAGAGTTGAACGTTCCCTTAGACAGAGCAGATTTGAAACACTCTTTTTGTGCAATTGGCAAGTGGAGATTTCAAGCGCTTTGAGGTCAATGGCAGAAAAGGAAATATCTTCGTTTCAAAACTAGACAGAATGATTCTCATAAACTCCTTTGTGATGTGTGCGTTCAACTCACAGAGTTTAACCTTTCTTTTCATAGAGCAGTTAGGAAACACTCTGTTTGTAAAGTATGCAAGTGGATATTCAGACCTCTTTCAGGCCTTCGTTGGAAACGGGATTTCTTCATATTATGCTAGACAGAATAATTCTCAGTAACTTCCTTGTGTTGTGTGTATTCAACTCACAGAGTTGAACGATCCTTTACAGAGAGCAGACTTGTAACACTCTTTTTGTGGAATTTGCAAGTGGAGATTTCAGCCGCTTTGAGGTCAATGGTAGAATAGGAAATATCTTCCTATAGAAAGTAGACAGAATGATTCTCATAAACTCCTTTGTGATGTGTGCATTCAACTCACAGAGTTTCACCTTTCTTTTCATAGAGCAGTTAGGAAACACTCTGTTTGTAAAGTCTGCAAGTGGATATTCAGACCACCTTGAGGCCTTCGTTGGAAACGGGATTTCTTCATATTCTGCTAGACAGAAGAAATCCCAGTAACTTCCATGTGTTGTGTGTGTTCAACTCACAGAGTTGAACTTTCATTTACACAGAGCAGATTTGAAACACTCTTTTTGTGGAATTTGCAAATGGAGATTTCAAACTCTTTGAGGCCAAAGGCAGAAAAGGAAATATCTTCGTATAAAAACTAGACAGAATCATTCTCAGAAACTGCTGCGTGATGTGTGCGTTCAACTCTCAGAGTTTAACTTTTGTTTTCATTCAGCGGTTTGGAAACACACTGTTTGTAAAGTCTGCACGAGGATATATTGACCACTTAGAGGCCTTCGTTGGAAACGGGTTTTTTTCATGTAAAGCTAGACAGAAGAATTCCCAGTAACTTTCCTTGTGTTGTGTGCATTCAACTCACAGAGTTGAACGTTCCCTTAGACAGAGCAGATTTGAAACACACTATTTGTGCAATTTGCAAGTGTAGATTTCAAGCGCTTTAAGGTCAATGGCAGAAAAGGAAATATCTTCGTTTCAAAACTAGACAGAATCATTCCCACAAACTGCGTTGTGATGTGTTCGTTCAACTCACAGAGTTTAACCTTTCTTTTCATAGAGCAGTTAGGAAACAGTCTGTTTGAAAATTCTGTAAGTGGATATTCTGACATCTTGTGGCCTTCGTTGGAAACGGGATTTCTTCATATTCTGCTAGACAGAAGAATTCTCAGTAACTTCCTTGTGTTGTGTGTATTCAACTCACAGAGTTGAACGATCCTTTACACAGAGCAGACTTGAAACATTCTTTTTGTGGAATTTGCAAGTGGAGATTTCAGACGCTTTGAGGTCAATGGTAGAATAGGAAATATCTTCCTATAGAAACTAGACAGAACGATTCTCAGAAACTCCTTTGTGATGTGTGCGTTCAACTCACAGAGTTTAACCTTTCTTTTCATAGAGCAGTTAAGAAACACTCTGTTTGTAAAGTCTGCAAGTGGATATTCAGACCTCTTTGAGGCCTTCGTTGGAAACGGGATTTCTTCATATTCTGCTAGACAGAAGAATTCTCAGTAACTTCCTTGTGTTGTGTGTATTCAAGTGACAGAGTTGAACTTTCATTTAGAGAGAGCAGATTTGAAACACTGTTTTTGTGGAATTTGCAATTGGAGATTTCAAGCGCTTTGGGGCCAAAGGCAGAAAAGGAAATATCTTCGTATAAAAACTAGACAGAATCATTCTCAGAAACTGCTGCGTGATGTGTGCGTTCAACTCTCAGAGTTTAACTTTTCTTTTCATTCAGCGGTTTGGAAACACTCTCTTTGTAAAGTCTGCACGTGGATATTTTGACCTCTTAGAGGCCTTCGTTGGAAACGGGTTTTTTTTCATGTAAGGCTAGACAGAAGAATTCCCAGTAACTTCCTTGTGTTGTGTGCATTCAACTCACAGAGTTGAATGTTCCCTTAGACAGAGCAGATTTGAAACACTCTATTTGTGCAATTTGCAAGTGTAGATTTCAAGCGCTTTAAGGTCAATGGCAGAAAAGGAAATATCTTCGTCTCAAAACTAGACAGAATCATTCCCAGAAACTGCGTTGTCATGTGTTCGTTCAACTCACAGAGTTTAACCTTTCTGTTCATAGAGCAGTTAGGAAACACTCTGTTTGTAAAGTCTGTAAGTGGATATTCTGACATCTTGTGGCCTTCGTTGGAAACGGGATTTCTTCATATTCTGCTAGACAGAAGAATTCTCAGTAACTTCCTTGTGTTGTGTGTATTCAACTCACAGAGTTGAACGATCCTTTACACAGAGCAGACTTGAAACACTCTTTTTGTGGAATTTGCAAGTGGAGATTTCAGCCGCTTTGAGATCAATGGTAGAAAAGGAAATATCTTCGTATAAAGACTAGACAGAATGATTCTCAGAAACTCCTTTTGGATGTGTGCGTTCAACTCACAGAGTTTAACCTTTCTTTTCATAGAGCAGTTAGGAAACACTCTGTTTGTAAAGTCTGCAAGTGGATATTCAGACCTCTTTGAGGCCTTCGTTGGAAAAGGGATTTCTTCATTTTATGCTAGACAGAAGAATTCTCAGTAACTTCCTTGTGTTGTGTGTATTCAACTGACAGAGTTGAACTTTCATTTGGAGAGAGCAGATTTGAAACACTGTTTTTGTGGAATTTGCAAGTGGAGATTTCAAGCGCTTTGGGACCAAAGGCAGAAAAGGAAATATCTTCGTATAAAAACTAGACAGAATAATTCTCAGAAACTGCTGCGTGATGTGTGCGTTCAACTCTCAGAGTTTAACTTTTCTTTTCATTCAGCGGTTTCGAAACACTCTGTAAAGTCTGCACGTGGATATTTTGACCACTTAGAGGCCTTCGTTGGAAACGGGTTTTTTTCATGTAAGGCTAGACAGAAGAATTCCCAGTAACTTCCTTGTGTTGTGTGCATTCAACTCACAGAGTTGAACGTTCCCTTAGACAGAGCAGATTTGAAACACTCTATTTGTCCAATTTGCAAGTGTAGATTTCAAGCGCTTTAAGGTCAACGGCAGAAAAGGAAATATCTTCGTTTCAAAACTAGACAGAATCATTCCCACAAACTGCGTTGTGATGTGTTCGTTCAACTCACAGACTTTAACCTTTCTGTTCATAGAGCAGTTAGGAAACACTCTGTTTGTAAAGTCTGCAAGTGGATATTCAGACCTCCTTGAGGCCTTCGTTGGAAACGGGATTTCTTCATATTCTGCTAGACAGAAGAATTCTCAGAAACTTCCTTGTGTTGTGTAATTTCAACTCACAGAGTTGAACGATGCTTTACACAGAGTAGACTTGAAACACTCTTTTTGTGGAATTTGCAAGTGGAGATTTCAGCCGCTTTGAGGTCAATTTTTGAAAAGGAAATATCTTCGTATAAAAACTAGACAGAATGATTCTCAGAAACTCCTTTGTGATGTGTGTGTTCAACTCACAGACTTTAACCTTTCTTTTCATAGAGCAGTTAGGAAACACTCTGTTTGTACAGTCTGCAAGTGGATATTCAGACATCCTTGAGGCTTTCGTTGAAAACGGGATTTCTTCATATTCTGCTAGAAAGAAGAAATTCCCAGTAACTTCCTTGTGTTGTGTGTGTTCAACTCACAGCAGTTGAACTTTCATTTACACAGAGCAGATTGGAAACACTCTTTTTGTGGAATTTGCAAGGGGAGATTTCAAGCGCTTTGAGGCCAAAGGCAGAAAAGGAAATATCTTCGTATAAAAACTAGACAGAATCATTCTCAGAAACTGCTCTGCGATGTGTGCGTTCAACTCTCAGAGTTTAACTTTTCTTTTCATTCAGCAGTTTGGAAACACTCTGTTTGTAAAGTCTGCACGTGGATATTTTGACCACTTAGAGGCCTTCGTTGGAAACGGTTTTTTTCCTGTAAGGCTAGACAGAAGAATTCCCAGTAACTTCCTTGTGTTGTGTACATTCAACTCACAGAGTTGAACGTTCCCTTAGACAGAGCAGATTTGAAACACTCTTTTTGTGCAATTGGCAAGTGGTGATTTCAGCCTCTTTGAGGTCAATGGTAGAAAAGGAAATATCTTCGTATAAAAACTAGACAGAACGATTCTCAGAAACTCCTTTGTGATGTGTGTGTTCAACTCACAGAGTTTAACCTTTCTTTTCATAGAGCAGTTAGGAAACACTCTGTTTGTAAACTCTGCAAGTGGATATTCAGACCTCTTTGAGGCCTTCGTTGGAAACGGGATTTCTTCCTATTCTGCTAGACAGAAGAATTCTCAGTAACTTCCTTGTGTTGTGTGTATTCAACTCACCGAGTTGAACGATCCTTTACACAGAGCAGACTTGAAACACTCCTTTTGTGGAATTTGCAAGTGGAGATTTCAGCTGCTTTCAGGTCAATAGTAGAAAAGGAAATATCTTCGTAGAAAAACTAGACAGAATGATTCTCAGAAACTCCTTTGTGATGTGTACGTTCAACTCACAGAGTTTAACCTTTGTTTTCATAGAGCAGTTAGGAAACACTCTGTTTGTAAAGTCTGCAAGTGGATATTCAGACCTCTTTGAGGCCTTCGTTGGAAACGGGTTTTTTTCATATAAGGCTAGACTGAAGAATTCTCAGTAACTTCCTTGTGTTGTGTGTATTCAACTGACAGAGCTGAACTTTCATTTAGAGAGAGCAGATTTGAAACACTGTTTTTGTGGAATTTGCAAGTGGAGATTTCAAGCGCTTTGGGGCCAAAGGCAGAAAAGGAAATATCCTTCGTATAAAAACTAGACAGAATCATTCTCAGAAACTGCTCTGCGATGTGTGCGTTCAACTCTCAGAGTTTAACTTTTATTTTCATTCAGCAGTTTGGAAACACTCTGTTTGTAAAGTCTGCACGTGGATATTTTGACCACTTAGAGGCCTTCGTTGGAAACGGGTTTTTTTCCTGTAAGGCTAGACAGAAGAATTCCCAGTAACTTCCTTGTGTTGTGTACATTCAACTCACAGAGTTGAACGTTCCCTTAGACAGAGCAGATTTGAAACACTCTTTTTGTGCAATTGGCAAATGGAGATTTCAAGCGCTTTAAGGTCAATGGCAGAAAAGGAAATATCTTCGTTTCAAAACTAGACAGAATCATTCCCACAAACTGCGTTGTGAAGTGTTCGTTCAACTCACAGAGTTTAACCTTTCTTTTCATAGAGCAGTTAGGAAACAGTCTGTTTGTCAATTCTGTAAGTGGATATTCTGACATCTTGTGGCCTTCGTTGGAAACGGGATTTCTTCATATTCTGCTAGACAGAATAATTCTCAGTAACTTCTTTGTGTTGTGTGTATTCAACTCACAGAGTTGAAGGATCCTTTACAGAGAGCAGGCTTGAAACACTCTTTTTGTCGAATTTGCAAGTGGAGATTTCAGCCGCTTTGAGGTCAATGGTTGAATAGGAAATATCTTCTTATAGAAACTAGACAGAATGATTCTGAGAAACTCCTTTGTGATGTGTGCGTTCAACTCACAGAGTTTAACCTTTCTTTTCATAGAGCAGTTAGGAAACACTCTGTTTGTAAAGTCTGCAAGTGGATATTCAGATCTCCTTGAGGCCTTCGTTGGAAACGGGATTTCTTCATATTATGCTAGACAGAAGAATTCCCAGTAACTTCGTTGTGTTGTGTGTGTTCAACTCACAGAGTTGAACTTTGATTTACACAGAGCAGATTTGAAACACTCTTTTTGTGGAATTTGCAAGTGGAGATTTCAAGCGATTTGAGGCCAAAGGCAGAAAAGGAAATATCTTCGTATAAAAACTAGACAGAATCATTCTCAGAAACTGCTCTGCGATGTGTGCGTTTAACTCTCAGAGTTTAAATTTTCTTTTCATTCAGCAGTGTGGAAACACTCTGTTTGTAAAGTCTGCACGTGGATATTTTGACCACTTAGAGGCCTTCGTTGGAAACGGGTTTTTTTCCTGTAAGGCTAGACAGAAGCATTCCCAGTAACTTCCTTGTGTTGTGTGCATTCAACTCACAGAGATGAACGTTCCCTTAGACAGAGCAGATTTGAAACGCTCTATTTGTGCAATTTGCAAGTGTAGATTTCAAGCGCTTTAAGGTCAATGGCAGAAAAGGAAATATCTTCGTTTCAAAACTAGACAGAATCATTCCCACAAACTGCGTTGTGATGTGTTCGTTCAACTCACAGAGTTTAACCTTTCTGTTCATAGAGCAGTTAGGAAACACTCTGTTTGTAAAGTCTGTAAGTGGATATTCTGACATCTTGTGGCCTTCGTTGGAAACGGGGTTTCTTCATATTATGCTAGACAGAAGAATTCTCAGAAACTTCTTTGTGTTGTGTGTATTTAACTCACAGAGTTGAACGATCCTTTACACAGAGCAGACTTGAAACACTCTTTTTGTGGAATTTGCAAGTGGAGATTTCAGCCGCTTTGAGGTCAACGGTAGAATAGGAAATATCTTCCTATAGAAACTAGACAGAATGATTCTCAGAAACTCCTTTGTGATGTGTGTGTTCAACTCACAGAGTTTAACCTTTCTATTCATAGAGTAGTTAGGAAACACTCTGTTTGTAAAGTCTGCAAGTGGATATTCAGACCTACTTTGAGGCCTTCGTTGGAAACAGGATTTCTTCATACTATGCTAGACAGAAGAATTCCCAGTAACTTCCTTGTGTTGTGTGTGTTCAACTCACAGAGTTGAACTTTCATTTACACAGAGCAGATTTGAAACACTCTTTTTGTGGAATTTGCAGGTGGAGATTTCAAGCGCTTTGAGGCCAAAGGCAGAAAAGGAAATATCTTCGTATAAAAACTAGACAGAATCATTCTCAGAAACTGCTCTGCGATGTGTGCGTTCAACTCTCAGAGTTTAACTTTTCTTTTCATTCAGCAGTTTGGAAACACTCTGTTTCTAAAGTCTACACGTGGATAATTTGACCACTTAGAGGCCTTCGTTGGAAACGGGTTTTTTTCATGTAAGGCTAGACAGAAGAATTCCCAGTAACTTCCTTGTGTTGTGTGCATTCAACTCACAGAGTTGAACGTTCCCTTAGACAGAGCAGATTTGAAACACTCTATTTGTGCAATTTGCAAGTGTAGATTTCAAGCGCTTTAAGGTCAATGGCAGAAAAGGAAATATCTTCGTTTCAAAACTAGACAGAATCATTCCCACAAACTGCGTTGTGATGTGTTCGTTCAACTCACAGAGTTTAACCTTTCTGTTCATAGAGCAGTTAGGAAACACTGTGTTAGTAAAGTCTGTAAGTGGATATTCTGACATCTTGTGGCCTTCGTTGGAAACGGGATTTCTTCATATTCTGCTAGACAGAAGAATTCTCAGTAACTTCCTTGTGTTGTGTGTATTCAACTCACAGAGTTGAACGATCCTTTACACAGAGCAGACTTGAAACACTCTTTTTGTGGAATTTGCAAGTGGAGATTTCAGCCGCATTGAGGTCAATGGTAGAAAAGGAAATATCTTCGTATAAAAACTAGACAGAATGATTCTCAGAAACTCCTTTGTGATGTGTGCGTTCAAGTCACAGAGTTTAACCTTTCTTTTCATAGAGCAGTTAGGAAACACTCTGTTTGTAAAGTCTGCAAGTGGATATTCAGACCTCTTTGAGGCCTTCGTTGGAAACGGGATTTCTTCATATTCTGCTAGACAGAAGAATTCTCAGTAACTTCCTTGTGTTGTGTGTATTCAACTGACAGAGTTGAACTATCATTTAGAGAGAGCAGATTTGAAACACTGTTTTTGTGGAATTTGCAAGTGGAGATTTCAAGCGCTTTGGGGCCAAAGGCACAAAAGGAAATATCTTCGTATAAAAACTAGACAGAATCATTCTCAGAAACTGCAGCGCGATGTGTGCGTTCAACTCTCAGAGTTTAACTTTTCTTTTCATTCAGCGGTTTGGAAACACTCTGTTTGTAAAGTCTGCACGTGGAAATTTTGACCACTTAGAGGCCTTCGTTGGAAACGGGTTTTTTTCATGTAAGGCTAGACAGAAGAATTCCCAGTAACTTCCTTGTGTTGTGTGCATTCAACTCACAGAGTTGAACGTTCCCTTAGACAGAGCAGATTTGAAACACTCTATTTGTGCAATTTGCAAGTGTAGTTTTCAAGCTCTTTAAGGTCAACGGCAGAAAAGGAAATATCTTGGTTTCAAAACTAGACAGAATGATTCTCAGAAACTCCTTTGTGATGTGTGCGTTCAACTCACACAGTTTAACCTTTCTTTCCATAGAGCAGTTAGGAAACACTCTGTTTGTAAAGTCTGCAAGTGGATATTCAGACCTCTTTGAGGCCTTCGTTGGAAACGGGATTTCTTCATATTCTGCTAGACAGAAGAATTCTCAGGAACTTCCTTGTGTTGTGTGTATTCAACTCACAGAGTTGAACGATACTTTACACAGAGCAGACTTGAAACACTCTTTTTGTGGAATTCGCAAGTGGAGATTTCAGCCGCTTTGAGGTCAATGGTAGAATAGGAAATATCTTCCTATAGAAACTAGACAGAATGATTCTCAGAAACTCCTTTGTGATGTGTGCCTTCAACTCACAGAGTTTAACCTTTCTTTTCATAGAGCAGTTAGGAAACACTCTGCTTGTAAAGTCTGCAAGTGGATATTCAGCCCTCTTTGAGGCCTTCGTTGGAAACGGGTTTTTTTCATATAAGGCTAGACAGAAGAATTCTCAGTAACTTCCTTGTGTTGTGTGTATTCAACTGACAGAGTTGAACTTTCATTTAGAGAGAGCAGATTTGAAACACTGTTTTTGTGGAATTTCCAATGGAGATTTCAAGCGCTTTGGGGTCAAAGGCAGAAAAGGAAATATCTTCGTATAAAAACTAGACAGAATCATTCTCAGAAACTGCTCTGTGATGTGTGCGTTCAACTCTCAGAGTTTAACTTTTCTTTTCATTCAGCAGTTTGGAAACACTCTGTTTGTAAAGTCTGCACGTGGATAATTTGACCACTTAGAGGCCTTCGTTGGAAAAGGGTTTTTTTCATGTAAGGCTAGACAGAAGAATTCCCAGTAACTTCCTTGTGTTGTGTGCATTCAACTCACAGAGTTGAACGTTCCCTTAGACAGAGCAGATTTGAAACACTCTATTTGTGCAATTTGCAAGTGTAGATTTCAAGCGCTTTAAGGTCAATGGCAGAAAAGGAAATTTCTTCGTTTCAAAACTAGACAGAATCATTCCCACAAACTGCGTTGTGATGTGTTCGTTCAACTCACAGCAGTTTAACCTTTCTGTTCATAGAGCAGTTAGGAAACACTCTGTTTGTAAAGTCTGTAAGTGGATATTCTGACATCTTGTGGCCTTCGTTGGAAACGGGATTTCTTCATATTCTGCTAGACAGAAGAATTCTCAGTAACTTCCTTGTGTTGTGTGTATTCAACTCACAGAGTTGAACGATCCTTTACACAGAGCAGACTTGAAACATTCTTTTTGTGGAATTTGCAATGGAGATTTCAGCCGCTTTGAGGTCAATGGTAGAATAGGAAATATCTTCCTATAGAAACTAGACAGAATGATTCTCATAAACTCCTTTGTGATGTGTGCGTTCAACTCACAGAGTTTAACCTTTCTTTTCATAGAGCAGTTAGGAAACACTCTGTTTGTAAAGTATGCAAGTGGATATTCAGACCTGCTTGAGGCCTTCGTTGGAAACGGGATTTCTTCATATTATGCTAGACAGAAGAATTCCCAGTAACTTCCTTGGGTTGTGTGTGTTCAACTCACAGAGTTGAACTTTCGTTTACACAGAGCAGATTTGAAACACTCTTTTTGTGGAATTTGCAGGTGGAGATTTCAAGCGCTTTGAGGCCAAAGGCAGAAAAGGAAATATCTTCGTATAAAAACTAGACAGAATCATTCTCAGAAACTGCTCTGCGATGTGTGCGTTCAACTCTCAGAGTTTAACTTTTCTTTTCATTCAGCAGTTTAGAAACACTCTGTTTGTAAAGTCTGCACGTGGATAATTTGACCACTTAGAGGCCTTCGTTGGAAACGGGTTTTTTTCATGTAAGGCTAGACAGAAGAGTTCTCAGTAACTTCCTTGTGTTGTGTGTATTCAACTCACACAGTTGAACGATCCTTTACACAGAGCAGACTTGTAACACTCTTTTTGTGGAATTTGCAAGTGGAGATTTCAGCCGCTTTGAAGTCAAAGTAGAAAAGGAAATATCTTCCAATAAAAACTAGACAGAATCATTCCCACAAACTGCGTTGTGATGTGTTCGTTCAACTCACAGAGTTTAACCGTTCTTTTCATAGAGCAGTTAGGAAACAGTCTGTTTGTCAATTCTGTAAGTGGATATTCTGACATCTTGTGGCCTTCGTTGGAAACGGGATTTCTTCATATTCTGCTAGACAGAAGAATTCTCAGAAACTTCGTTGTGTTGTGTGTTTTCAAATCACAGAGTTCAACGATCCTTTACACAGAGTAGACTTGAAACACTCTTTTTGTGGAATTGGCAAGGTGGAGATTTCAGCCGCTTTGAGGTCAATGGTAGAATAGGAAATATCTTCGTATAAAAACTAGACAGAATGATTCTCAGAAACTCCTTTGTGATGTGTGCGTTCAACTCACAGTAGTTTAACCTTTCTTTTCATAGAGCAGTTAGGAAACACTCTGTTTGTAAAGTCTGCAAGTGGATATTCAGACCTCTTTGAGGCCTTCGTTGGAAACGGGTTTTTTTCATATAAGGCTAGACAGAAGAATTCCCAGTAACTTCCATGTGTTGTGTGTGTTCAACTCACAGAGTTGAACTTTCATTTACACAGAGCAGATTTGAAACACTCATTTTGTGGAATTTGCAAATGGAGATTTCAAGCGCTTTGAGGCCAAAGGCAGAAAAGGAAATATCTTCGTATAAAAATTAGACAGAATCATTCTCAGAAACTGCTCTGCGATGTGTGCGTTCAACTCTCAGAGTTTAACTTTTCTTTTCATTCAGCAGTTTGGAAACACTCTGTTTGTAAATTCTGCACGTGGATAATTTGACCACTTAGAGGCCTTCGTTGGAAACGGGTTTTTTTCCTGTAAGGCTAGACAGAGAAGATTCCCAGTAACTTCCTTGTGTTGTGTACATTCAACTCACAGAGTTGAACGTTCCCTTAGACAGAGCAGATTTGAAACACTCTTTTTGTGCAATTGGCAAGTGGAGATTTCAAGCGCTTTAAGGTCAATGGCAGAAAAGGAAATATCTTCGTTTCAAAACTAGACAGATCATTCCCACAAACTGCGTTGTGATGTGTTCGTTCAACTCACAGAGTTTAACCTTTCTTTTCATAGAGCAGTTAGGAAACAGTCTGTTTGAAAATTCTGTAAGTGGATATTCTGACATCTTGTGGCCTTCGTTGGAAACGGGATTTCTTCATATTCTGCTAGACAGAAGAATTCTCAGTAACTTCCTTGTGTTGTGTGTATTCAACTCACAGAGTTGAACGATCCTTTACACAGAGCAGACTTGTAAAACTTTTTTGTGGAATTTGCAAGTGGAGATTTCAGCCGCTTTGAAGTCAAAGGTAGAAAAGGAAATATCTTCCTATAAAAACTAGACAGAATGATTCTCAGAAACTCCTTTGTGATGTGTGTGTCCAACTCACAGAGTTTAACCTTTCTTTTCATAGAGCAGTTAGGAAACACTCTGTTTGTAAAGTCTGCAAGAGGATATTCAGACCTCTTTGAGGCCTTCGTTGGAAACGGGATTTTTTCATATAAGGCTAGACAGAAGAATTCTCAGTAACTTCCTTGTGTTGTGTGTTTTCAACTGACAGAGTTGAACTTTCATTTGGAGAGAGCAGATTTGAAACACTGTTTTTGTGGAATTTGCAAGTGGAGATTTCAAGCGCTTTGGGGCCAAAGGCAGAAAAGGAAATATCTTCGTATAAAAACTAGACAGAATCTTTCTCAGAAACTGCTCTGCGATGTGTGCGTTCAACTCTCAGAGTTTAACTTTTCTTTTCATTCAGCAGTTTGGAAACACTCTGTTTGTAAAGTCTGCACGTGGATATTTTGACCACTTAGAGGCCTTCGTTGGAAACGGGTTTTTTTCCTGTAAGGCTAGACAGAAGAATTCTCAGTAACTTTCCTTGTGTTGTGTGTATTCAACTCACAGAGTTGAACGATCCTTTACACAGAGCAGACTTGAGACACTCTTTTTGTGGAATTTGCAAGTGGAGATTTCAGCCGCTTTGAGGTCAATGGTAGAAAAGGAAATATCTTCGTATAAAAACTAGACAGAATGATTCTCAGAAACTTCATTGTGATGTGTGCGTTCAACTCACAGAGTTTAACCTTTCTTTTCATAGAGCAGTTAGGAAACACTCTGTTTGTAAAGTCTGCAAGTGGATATTCAGACCTCTTTGAGGCCTTCGTTGGAAACGGGATTTCTTCATACTGTGCTAGACAGAAGAATTCTCAGTAACTTCCTTGTGTTGTGTGTATTCAACTCACAGAGTTGAACGATCCTTTAGAGAGAGCGGACTTGAAACACTCTTTTTGTGGAATTTGCAAGTGGAGATTTCAGCCGCGTTGAGGTCAATGATAGAAAAGGAAATATCTTCGTATAAAAACTAGACAGAATGATTCTCAGAAACTCCTTTGTGATGTGTGCGTTCAACTCACAGAGTTTAACCTTTCTTTTCATAGAGCAGTTAGGAAACACTCTGTTTGTAAAGTCTGCAAGTGGATACTCAGACCTCTTTGAGGCCTTCTTTGGAAACGGCATTTCTTCATATTATGCTAGACAGAAGAATTCCCAGTAACTTCCTTGTGTTGTGTGTGTTCAACTCATAGAGTTGAACTTTCATTTACACAGAGCAGATTTGAAACACTCTTTTTGTGGAATTTGCAAATGGAGATTTCAAGCGCTTTGAGGCCAAAGGCAGAAAAGGAAATATCTTCGTATAAAAACTCGACAGAATCATTCTCAGAAACTGCTCTGCGATGTGTGCGTTCAACTCTCAGAGTTTAACTTTTCTTTTCATTCAGCAGTTTGGAAACACTCTGTTTGTAAAGTCTGCATGTGGAAAACTTGACCACTTAGAGGCCTTCGTTGGAAACGGGTTTTTTTCATGTAAGGCTAGACAGAAGAATTCCCAGTAACTTCCTTGTGTTGTGTGCATTCAACTCACAGAGATGAACGTTCCCTTAGACAGAGCAGATTTGAAACACTCTATTTGTGCAATTTGCAAGTGTAGATTTCAAGCGCTTTAAGGTCAATGGCAGAAAAGGAAATATCTTTGTTTCAAAACTAGACAGAATCATTCCCACAAACTGCGTTGTGATGTGTTCGTTCAACTCACAGAGTTTTACCTTTCTGTTCATAGAGCAGTTAGGAAACACTCTGTTTGTAAAGTCTGTAAGTGGATATTCTGACATCTTGTGGCCTTCGTTGGAAAAGGGATTTCTTCATATTCTGCTAGACAGAAGAATTCTCAGAAACTTCCTTGTGTTGTGTGTTTTCAACTCACAGAGTTGAACGACGCTTTACACAGAGTAGACTTGAAACACTCTTTTTGTGTAATTTGCAAGTGGAGATTTCAGCCGCTTTGAGGTCAATGGTAGAAAAGGAAATATCTTCGTATAAAAACTAGACAGAATGATTCTCAGAAACTCCTTTGTGATGTGTGCGTTCAACTCACAGAGTTTAACCTTTCTTTTCATAGAGCAGTTAGGAAACACTCTGTTTGTAAAGTCTGTAAGTGGATATTCAGACCTCTTTGAGGCCTTCGTTGGAAACGGGATTTCTTCGTATTCTGCTAGACAGAAGAATTCCCAGTAACTTCCTTGTGTTGTGTACATTCAACTCACAGAGTTGAACTTTGATTTACACAGAGCAGATTTGAAACACTCTTTTTGTGGAATTTGCAAGTGGAGATTTCAAGCGCTTTGAGGCCAAAGGCAGAAAAGGAAATATCTTCGTATAAAAACTAGACAGAATCATTCTCAGAAACTGCTCTGCGATGTGTGCGTTCAACTCTCAGAGTTTAACTTTTCTTTTCATTCAGCAGTTTGGAAACACTCTGTTTGTAAAGTCTGCACGTCGATATTTTGACCACTTAGAGGCCTTCGTTGGAAACGGGTTTTTTTCCTGTAAGGCTAGACAGAAGAATTCCCAGTAACTTCCTTGTGTTGTGTGCATTCAACTCACAGAGTTGAACGTTCCATTAGACAGAGCAGATTTGAAACACTCTATTTGTGCAATTTGCAAGTGTAGATTTCAAGCGCTTTAAGGTCAATGGCAGAAAAGGAAATATCTTCGTTTCAAAACTAGACAGAATCATTCCCACAAACTGCGTTGTGATGTGTTCGTTCAACTCACAGCAGTTTAACCTTTCTGTTCACAGAGCAGTGAGGAAACACTCTGTTTGTAAACTCTGTAAGTGGATATTCTGACATCTTGTGGCCTTCGTTGGAAAAGGGATTTCTTCATATTCTGCTAGACAGAAGGATTCTCAGTAACTTCCTTGTGTTGTGTGTATTCAACTCACAGAGTTGAACGATCCTTTACACAGAGCAGACTTGAAACACTCTTTTTGTGGAATTTGCAAGTGGAGATTTCAGCCGCTTTGAGGTCAATAGTAGAAAAGGAGATATCTTCGTATAAAAACTAGACAGAATGATTCTCAGAAACTCCTTTGTGATGTGTGCGTTCAACTCACAGAGTTTAACCTTTCTTTTCATAGAGCAGTTAGGAAACACTCTGTTTGTAAAGTCTGCAAGTGGATATTCAGACCTCCTTCAGGCCTTCGTTGGAAACGGGATTTTTTCATATAAGGCTAGACAGAAGAATTCCCAGTAACTTCCTTGTGTTGTGTGTGTTCAACTCACAGAGTTGAACTTTCATTTACACAGAGCAGATTTGAAACACTCTTTTTGTGGAATTTGCAAATGGAGATTTCAAGCGCTTTGAGGCCAAAGGCAGAAAAGGAAATATCTTTCTATAAAAACTAGACAGAATCATTCTCAGAAACTGCTGCGTGATGTGTGCGTTCAACTCTCAGAGTTTAACTTTTCTTTTCATTCAGCGGTTTGGAAACACTCTGTTTGTAAAGTCTGCACGTGGAAATTTTGACCACTTAGAGGCCTTCGTTGGAAACGGGTTTTTTTCATGTAAGGCTAGACAGAAGAATTCCCAGTAACTTCCTTGTGTTGTGTGCATTCAACTCACAGAGTTGAACGTTCCCTTAGACAGAGCAGATTTGAAACACTCTATTTGTGCAATTTGCAAGTGTAGTTTTCAAGCTCTTTAAGATCAACCTGCAGAAAAGGAAATATCTTCGTTTCAAAACTAGACAGAATCATTCCCACAAACTGCGTTGTGATGTGTTCGTTCAACTCACAGAGTTTAACCTTTCTGTTCACAGAGCAGTTAGGAAACACTCTGTTTGTAAAGTCTGTAAGTGGATATTCTGACATCTTGTGGCCTTCGTTGGAAACGGGATTTCTTCATATTCTGCTAGACAGAAGAATTCTCAGTAACTTCCTTGTGTTGTGTGTATTCAACTCACAGAGTTGAACGATCCTTTACACAGAGCAGACTTGAAACACTCTTTTTGTGGAATTTGCAAGTGGAGATTTCAGCCGCGTTGAGGTCAATGTTAGAAAAGGAAATATCTTCGTATAAAAACTAGACAGAATGATTCTCAGAAACTCCTTTGTGATGTGTGCGTTCAACTCACAGAGTTTAACCTTTCTTTTCATAGAGCAGTTAGGAAACACTCTGTTTGTAAAGTATGCAAGTGGATATTCAGACCTGCTTGAGGCCTTCGTTGGAAACGGGATTTCTTCATATTATGCTAGGCAGAAGAATTCTCAGTAACTTCCTTGTGTTGTGTGTATTCAACTGACAGAGTTGAACTTTCATTTAGAGAGAGCAGATTTGAAACACTGTTTTTGTGGAATTTGCAAGTGGAGATTTCAGCCGCTTTGAGGTCAATAGTAGAAAAGGAAATATCTTCGTAGAAAAACTAGACAGAATGATTCTCAGAAACTCCTTTGTGATGTGGGCGTTGAACTCACAGAGTTTAACCTTTCTTTTCATAGAGCAGTTAGGAAACACTCTGTTTGTAAAGTCTGCACATGGATATTTTGACCACTTAGAGGCCTTCGTTGGAAACGGGTTTTTTTCATGTATGGCTAGACAGAAGAATTCCCAGTAACTTCCTTGTGTTGTGTGCATTCAACTCACAGAGTTGAACGTTCCCTTAGACAGAGCAGATTTGAAACACTCTATTTGTGCAATTTCCAAGTGTAGATTTCAAGCGCTTTAAGGTCAACGGCAGAAAAGGAAATATCTTCGTTTCAAAACTAGACAGAATCATTCCCACAAACTGCGTTGTGATGTGTTCGTTCAACTCACAGTGTTTAACCTTTCTGTTCATAGAGCAGTTAGGAAACACTCTGTTTGTAAAGTCTGTAAGTGGATATTCTGACATCTTGTGGCCATCGTTGGAAACGGGATTTCTTCATATTCTGCTAGACAGAAGAATTCCCAGTAACTTCCTTGTGTTGTGTGCATTCAACTCACAGAGTTGAACGATCCTTTACACAGAGCAGACTTGAAACACACTTTTTGTGGAATTTGCAAGTGGAGATTTCAGCCGCTTTGAGGTTAATGGTAGAAAATGAAATATCTTCGTATAGAAACTAGACAGAATGATTCTCAGAAACTCCTTTGTGATGTGTGCGTTCAACTCACAGAGTTTAACCTTTCTTTTCATAGAGCAGTTAGGAAACACTCTGTTTGTAAAGTCTGCAAGTGGATATTCAGACATCCTTGAGGCTTTCGTTTGAAACGGGATTTCTTCATATTCTGCTAGAAAGAAGAATTCCCAGTAACTTCCTTGTGTTGTGTGTGTTCAACTCACAGAGTTGAACTTTCATTTACACAGAGCAGATTTGAAACACTCTTTTTGTGGAATTTGCAAGTGGAGATTTCAAGCGCTTTGGGGCCAAAGGCAGAAAAGGAAATATCTTCGTTTCAAAACTAGACAGAATCATTCTCAGAAACTGCTCTGCGATGTGTGCGTTCAACTCTCAGAGTTTAACTTTTCTTTTCATTCAGCAGTTTGGAAACACTCTGTTTGTAAAGTCTGCACGTGGATATTTTGACCACTTAGAGGCCTTCTTTGGAAACGGGTTTTTTTCCTGTAAGGCTAGACAGAAGAATTCCCAGTAACTTCCTTGTGTTCTGTACATTCAACTCACAGAGTTGAACGTTCCCTTAGACAGAGCAGATTTGAAACACTCTTTTTGTGCAATTGGCAAGTGGAGATTTCAAGCGCTTTAAGGTCAATGGCAGAAAAGGAAATATCTTCGTTTCAAAAGTAGACAGAATCATTCCCACAAACTGCGTTGTGATGTGTTCGTTCAACTCACAGAGTTTAACCTTTCTGTTCATAGAGCAGTTAGGAAACACTCTCTTTGTAAAGTCTGTAAGTGGATATTCTGATATCTTGTGGCCTTCGTTGGAAACGGGATTTCTTCATATTCTGCTAGACAGAAGAATTCTCAGTAACTTCCCTTGTGTTGTGTGTATTCAACTCACAGAGTTGAACGATCCTTTACAGAGAGCAGACTTGAAACACTCTTTTTGTGGAATTTGCAAGTGGAGATTTCAGCCGCTTTGAGGTCAATGGTAGAAAAGGAAATATCTTCGTATAAAGAATAGACAGAATGATTCTCAGAAACTTCTTTGTGATGTGTGCGTTCAACTCACAGAGTTTAACCTTTCTTTTCATAGAGCAGTTAGGAAACACTCTGTTTGTAAAGTCTGCAAGTGGATATTCAGACCTCTTTAAGGCCTTCGTTGGAAACGGGTTTTTTTCATATAAGGCTAGACAGAAGAATTCCCAGTAACTTCCTTGTGTTGTGTGTGTTCAACTCACAGAGTTGAACTTTCATTTTCACAGAGCAGATTTGAAACACTCTTTTTGTGGAATTTGCAAATGGAGATTTCAAGCGCTTTGAGGCCAAAGGCAGAAAAGGAAATATCTTCGTATAAAAACTAGACAGAATCATTCTCAGAAACTGCTGCGTGATGTGTGCGTTCAACTCTCAGAGTTTAACTTTTCTTTTCATTCAGCGGTTTGGAAACACTCTGTTTGTAAAGTCTGCACGTGGAAATTTTGACCACTTAGAGGCCTTCGTTGGAAACGGGATTTTTTCATGTAAGGCTAGGCAGAAGAATTCCCAGTAACTTCCTTGCGTTGTGTACATTCAACTCACAGAGTTGAACGTTCCCTTAGACAGAGCAGATTTGAAACACTCTTTTTGTGCAATTGGCAAGTGGAGATTTCAAGCGCTTTAAGGTCAATGGCAGAAAAGGAAATATCTTCGTTTCAAAACTAGACAGAATCATTCCCACAAACTGCGTTGTGATGTGTTCGTTCAACTCACAGAGTTTAACCTTTCTGTTCATAGAGCAGTTAGGAAACACTCTGTTTGTAAAGTCTGTAAGTGGATATTCTGAAATCTTGTGGCCTTCGTTGGAAACGGGATTTCTTCATATTGTGCTAGACAGAAGAATTCTCAATAACTTCCTTGTGTTGTGTGTATTCAACTCACAGAGTTGAACGATCCTTTACACAGAGCGGACTTGAAACACTCGTTTTGTGGAATTTGCAAGTGGAGATTTCAGCCACGTTGAGGTCAATGGTAGAAAAGGAAATATCTTCGTATAAAAACTAGACAGAATGATTCTCAGAAACTCCTTTGTGATGTGTGCGTTCAACTCACAGAGTTCAACCTTTCTTTTCATAGAGCAGTTGGGAAACACTCTGTTTGTAAAGTCTGCAAGTGGATATTCAGACTTCCTTGAGGCCTTCGTTGGAAGCGGGATTTCTTCATATTCTGCTAGACAGAATAATTCTCAGTAACTTCCTTGTGTTGTGTTTATTCAACTAACAGAGTTGAACTTTCATTTGGAGAGAGCAGATTTGAAACACTGTTTTTGTGGAATTTGCAAGTGGAGATTTCAAGCGCTTTGGGGCCAAAGGCAGAAAAGGAAATATCTTCGTATAAAAACTAGACAGAATCATTCTCAGAAACTGCTCTGCGATGTGTGCGTTCAACTCTCAGAGTTTAACTTTTCTTTTCATTCAGCAGTTTGGAAACACTCTGTTTGTAAAGTCTGCACGTGGATATTTTGACCACTTAGAGGCCTTCGTTGGAAACGGGTTTTTTCCTGTAAGGCTAGACAAAAGAATTCCCAGTAACTTCCTTGTGTTGTGTACATTCAACTCACAGAGTTGAACGTTCCCTTAGACAGAGCAGATTTGAAACACTCTTTTTGTGCAATTGGCAAGTGGAGATTTCAAGCGCTTTAAGGTCAATGGCAGAAAAGGAAATATCTTCGTTTCAAAACTAGACAGAATGATTCTCAGAAACTCCTTTGTGATGTGTGCGTTCAACTCACAGAGTTTAACCTTTCTTTTCATAGAGCAGTTAGGAAACACTCTGTTTGTAAAGTCTGCAAGTGGATATGCAGACTTCTTTGAGGCCTTCGTTGGAAGCGGGATTGCTTCATATTCTGCTATACAGAAGAATTCTCAGTAACTTCCTTGTGTTGTGTGTATTCAACTCACAGAGTTGAACGATCCTTTACACAGAGCAGACTTGAAACACTCTTTTTTTGGAATTTGCAAGTGGAGATTTCACCCGCTTTGAGGTCAATGGTAGACTAGGAAATATCTTCCTATAGAAACTAGACAGAAATGATTCTCAGAAACTCCTTTGTGATGTGTGCGTTCAACTCACAGAGTTTAACCTTTCTTTTCATAGAGCAGTTAGGAAACACTCTGTTTGTAAAGTCTGCAAGTGGATATTCAGACCTCTTTGAGGCCTTCGTTGGAAACGGGATTTCTTCATATTCTGCTAGACAGAAGAATTCTCAGTAACTTCCTTGTGTTGTGTGTATTCAACTGACACAGTTGAACTTTCATTTAGAGAGAGCTGATTTGAAACACTGTTTTTGTGGAATTTGCAAGTGGAGATATCAAGCGCTTTGGGGCCAAAGGCAGAAAAGGAAATATCTTCGTATAAAAACTAGACAGAATCATTCTCAGAAACTGCTGCGTGATGTGTGCGTTCAACTCTCAGAGTTTAACTTTTCTTTTCATTCAGCGGTTTGGAAACACTCTGTTTGTAAAGTCTGCACGTGGATATTTTGACCACTTAGAGGCCTTCGTTGGAAACGGGTTTTTTTCATGTAAGGCTAGACAGAAGAATTCCCAGTAACTTCCTTGTGTTGTGTGCATTCAACTCACAGAGTTGTACGTTCCCTTAGACAGAGCAGATTTGAAACACTCTATTTGTGCAATTTGCAAGTGTAGATTTCAAGCGCTTTAAGGTCAATGGCAGAAAAGGAAATATCTTCGTTTCAAAACTAGACAGAATCATTCCCACAAACTGCGTTGTGATGTGTTCGTTCAACTCACAGAGTTTAACCTTTCTGTTCATAGAGCAGTTAGGAAACACTCTGTTTGTAAAGTCTGCAAGTGGATATTCAGACCTCCTTGAGGCCTTCGTTGGAAACGGGATTTCTTCATATTCTGCTAGACAGAAGAATTCTCAGTAACTTCCTTGTGTTGTGTGTATTCAACTCACAGAGTTGAACGATCCTTTACACAGAGCAGACTTGAAACACTCTTTTTGTGGAATTTGCAAGTAGAGATTTCAGCCGCTTTGAGGTCAATGGTAGAAAAGGAAATATCTTCGTATAAAGACTAGACAGAATGATTCTCAGAAACTCCTTTGTGATGTGTGCGATCAACTCACAGAGTTTAACCTTTCTTTTCATAGAGCAGTTAGGAAACACTCTGTAAAGTCTGCAAGTGGATATTCAGACATCCTTGAGGCTTTCGTTGGAAACGGGATTTCTTCATATTCTGCTAGAAAGAAGAATTCTCAGTAACTTCCTTGTGTTGTGTGTATTCAACTCAGAGTTGAACGATCCTTTACACAGAGCAGACTTGAAACACTCTTTTTGTGGAATATGCAAGTGGAGATTTCAGCCGCTTTGAGGTCAATGTTAGAATAGGAAATATCTTCCTATAGAAACTAGACACAATCATTCTCAGAAACTGCTCTGCGATGTGTGCGTTCAACTCTCAGAGTTTAACTTTTCTTTTCATTCAGCAGTTTGGAAACACTCTGTTTGTAAAGTCTGCACGTGGATAATTTGACCACTTAGAGGCCTTCGTTGGAAACGGGTTTTTTTCATGTAAGGCTAGACAGAAGAATTCCCAGTAACTTCCTTGTGTTGTGTGCATTCAACTCACAGAGTTGAACGTTCCCTTAGACAGAGCAGATTTGAAACACTCTATTTGTGCAATTTGCAAGTGTAGATTTCAAGCTCTTTAAGGTCAACGGCAGAAAAGGAAATATCTTCGTTTCAAAACTAGACAGAATCATTCCCACAAACTGCGTTGTGATGTGTTCGTTCAACTCACAGAGTTTAACCTTTCTTTTCATAGAGCAGTTAGGAAACAGTCTGTTTGTAAATTCTGTAAGTGGATATTCTGACATGTTGTGGCCTTCGTTGGAAACGGGATTTCTTCATATTCTGCTAGACAGAAGAATTCTCAGTAACTTCCTTGTGTTGTGTGTATTCAACTCACAGAGTTGAACGATCCTTTACACAGAGCAGACTTGAAACATTCTTTTTGTGGAATTTGCAAATGGAGATTTCAGCCGCTTTGAGGTCAATGGTAGAATAGGAAATATCTTCCTATAGAAACTAGACAGAATGATTCTCAGAAACTCCTTTGTGATGTGTGCGTTCAACTCACAGAGTTTAACCTTTCTTTTCATAGAGCAGTTAGTAAACACTCTGTTTATAAAGTCTGCAAGTGGATATTCAGACCCCTTTGAGGCCTTCGTTGGAAACGGGATTTCTTCATATTATGCTAGACAGAAGAATTCTCACTAACTTCCTTCTGTTGTGTGTATTCAACTGACAGAGTTGAACTTTCATTTAGAGAGAGCAGATTTGAAACACTGTTTTTGTGGAATTTGCAAGTGGAGATTTCAAGCGCTTTCGGGCCAAAGGCAGAAAAGGAAATATCTTCGTATAAAAACTAGACAGAAATCATTCTCAGAAACTGCTCTGCGATGTGTGCGTTCAACTCTCAGAGTTTAACTTTTCTTTTCATTCAGCAGTTTGGAAACACTCTGTTTGTAAAGTCTGCACGTGGATATTTTGACCACTTAGAGGCCTTCGTTGGAAACGGGTTTTTTTCCTGTAAGGCTAAACAGAAGAATTCTCAGTAACTTCCTTGTGTTGTGTGTATTCAACTCACAGAGTTGAACGATCCTTTACACAGAGCAGACTTGAAACACTCTTTTTGTGGAATTTGCAAGTGGAGATTTCAGCCGCTTTGGGGTCAATGGTAGAATAGGAAATATCTTCCTATAGAAACTAGACAGAATGATTCTCAGAAACTCCTTTGTGATGTGTGCGTTCAACTCACAGAGTTTAACCTTTCTTTTCATAGAGCAGTTAGGAAACACTCTTTTTGTAAAGTCTGCAAGTGGAAATTCAGACATCCTTGAGGCTTTCGTTGGAAACGGGATTTCTTCATGTTCTGCTAGAAAGAAGAATTCTCAGTAACTTCCTTGTGTTGTGTGTATTCAACTCACAGAGGTGAACGATCCTTTACACAGAGCAGACTTGAAACACTCTTTTTGTGGAATTTGCAAGTGGAGATTTCAGCCGCTTTGAGGTCAATGGTAGAAAAGGAAATATCTTCGTATAAAGACTAGACAGAATGATTCTCAGAAACTCGTTTGTGATGGGTGCGTTCAACTCACAGAGATTAACTTTTCTTTTCATAGAGCAGTTAGGAAACACTCTGTTTGTAAAGTCTGCAAGTGGATATTCAGACCTCTTTGTGGCCTTCGTTGGAAACGGGATTTCTTCATATTATGCTAGACAGAAGAATTCCCAGTAACTTCCCTTGTGTTGTGTGCATTCAACTCACAGAGTTGAACGTTCCCTTAGACAGAGCAGATTTGAAACACTCTATTTGTGCAATTTGCAAGTGTAGATTTCAAGCGCATTAAGGTCAATGGCAGAAAAGGAAATATCTTCGTTTCAAAACTAGACAGAATCATTCCCACAAACTGCGTTGTGATGTGTTCGTTCAACTCACAGAGTTTAACCTTTCTTATCATAGAGCACTTAGGAAACAGTCTGTTTGTAAATTCTGTAAGTGGATATTCTGACATCTTGTGGCCTTCGTTGGAAACGGGATTTCTTCATATTCTGCTAGACAGAAGAATTCCCAGTAACTTCCTTGTGTTGTGTGCATTCAACTCACAGAGTTGAACGTTCCCTTAGACAGAGCAGATTTGAAACACTCTATTTGTGCAATTTGCAAGTGTAGTTTTCAAGCTCTTTAAGGTCAACGGCACAAAAGGAAATATCTTCGTTTCAAAACTAGACAGAATCATTCCCACAAACAGCGTTGTGATGTGTTCGTTCAACTCACAGAGTTTAACCTTTCTTTTCATAGAGCAGTTAGGAAACAGTCTGTTTGTCAATTCTGTAAGTGGATATTCTGACATCTTGTGGCCTTCGTTGGAAACGGGATTTCTTCATATTCTGCTAGACAGAAGAATTCTCAGTAACTTTCCTTGTGTTGTGTGTATTCAACTCACAGAGTTGAACGATCCTTTACACAGAGCAGACTTGAAACACTCTTTTTGTGGAATTTGCAAGTGGAGATTTCAGCCGCTTTGAGTTCAATGGTAGAATAGGAAATATCTTCCTATAGAAACTAGACAGAATGATTCTCAGAAACTCCTTTGTGATGTGTGCGTTCAACTCACAGAGTTTAACCTTTCTTTTCATAGACCAGTTAGGAAACACTCTGTTTTTATAGTCTGTAAGTGGATATTCAGACATCTTTGAGGCCTTCGTTGGAAACGGGATTTCTTCATATTCTGCTATACAGAAGAATTCTCAGTAACTTCCTTGTGTTGTGTGTATTCAACTGACAGAGTTGAACATTCATTTAGAGAGAGCAGATTTGAAACACTGTTTTTGTGGAATTTGCAAGTGGAGATTTCAAGCGCTTTGGGGCCAAAGGCAGAAAAGGAAATATCTTCGTATAAAAACTAGACAGAATCATTCTCAGAAACTGCTGCGTGATGTCTGCGTTCAACTCTCAGAGTTTAACTTTTCTTTTCATTCAGCGGTTTGGAAACACTCTCTTTGTAAAGTCTGCACGTGGATATTTTGACCTCTTAGACGCCTTCGTTGGAAACGGGTTTTCTTCATGTAAGGCTAGACAGAAGAATTCCCAGTAACTTCCTTGTGTTGTGTGCATTCAACTCACAGAGTTGAACGTTCCCTTAGACAGAGCAGATTTGAAACACTCTATTTGTGCAATTTGCAAGTGTAGATTTCAAGCGCTTTAAGGTCAATGGCAGAAAAGGAAATTTCTTCTTTTCAAAACTAGACAGAAATCATTCCCACAAACTGCGTTGTGATGTGTTCGTTCAACTCACAGAGTTTAACCTTTCTGTTCATAGAGCAGTTAGGAAACACTCTGTTTGTAAAGTCTGTAAGTGGATATTCTGACATCTTGTGGCCTTCGTTGGGAACGGGATTTCTTCATATTCTGCTAGACAGAAGAATTCTCAGTAACTTCCTTGTGTTGTGTGTATTCAACTCACAGAGTTGAACGATCCTTTACACAGAGCAGACTTGAAACACTCTTTTTGTGGAATTTGCAAGTAGAGATTTCAGCCGCTTTGAGGTCAATGGTAGAATAGGAAATATCTTCCTATAGAAACTAGACAGAATGATTCTCATAAACTCCTTTGTGATGTGTGCGTTCAACTCACAGAGTTTAACTTTTCTTTTCATAGAGCAGTTAGGAAACACTCTGTTTGTAAAGTCTGCAAGTGGATATTCAGACCTCTTTGAGGCCTTCGTTGGAAACGGGATTTCTTCATATTCTGCTAGACAGAAGAATTCCCAGTAACTTCCTTGTGTTGTGTGTGTTCAACTCACAGAGTTGAACTTTCATTTACACAGAGCAGATTTGAAACACTCTTTTTGTGGAAGTTGCAAGTGGAGATTTCAAGCGCTTTGAGGCCAAAGGCAGAAAAGGAAATATCTTCGTTTCAAAACTAGACAGAATCATTCTCAGAAACTGCTCTGCGATGTGTGCGTTCAACTCTCAGAGTTTAACTTTTCTTTTCATTCAGCAGTTTGGAAACACTCTGTTTGTAAAGTCTGCACGTGGAGAATTTGACCACTTAGAGGCCTTCGTTGGAAACGGGTTTTTTTCATGTAAGGCTAGACAGAAGAATTCCCAGTAACTCCCTTGTGTTGTGTACATTCAACTCACAGAGTTGAACGTTCCCTTAGACAGAGCAGATTTGAAACACTCTTTTTGTGCAATTGGCAAATGGAGATTTCAAGCGCTTTAAGGTCAATGGCAGAAAAGGAAATATCTTCGTTTCAAAACTAGACAGAATCATTCCCACAAACTGCGTTGTGATATGTTCGTTCAACTCACAGAGTTTAACCTTTCTTTTCATAGAGCAGTTAGGAAACAGTCTGTTTGTAAATTCTGTAAGTGGATATTCTGACATCTTGTGGCCTTCGTTGGAAACGGGATTTCTTCACATTCTGCTAGACAGAAGAATTCTCAGTAACTTCCTTGTGTTGTGTGTATTCAACTCACAGAGTTGAACGATCCTTTACACAGAGCAGACTTGAAACACTCTTTTTGTGGAATTTGCAGGTGGAGATTTCAGCCGCTTTGTGTTCAATGGTAGAATAGGAAATATCTTCCTATAGAAACTAGACAGAATGATTCTCAGAAAATCCTTTGTGATGTGTGCGTTCAACTCACAGAGTTTAACCTTTCTTTTCATAGAGCAGTTAGGAAACACTCTGTTTGTAAAGTCTGCAAGTGGATATTCAGACAACTTTGAGGCTTTCGTTGGAAACGGGATTTCTTCATATTCTGCTATACAGAAGAATTCTCAGTAACTTCCTTGTGTTGTGTGTATTCAACTGACAGAGTTGAACTTTCATTTAGACAGAGCAGATTAGAAACACTCTTTTTGTGGAATTTGCAAGTGGAGATTTCAAGGGCTTTGAGGCCAAAGGCAGAAAAGGAAATATCTTCGTATAAAAACTAGACAGAATCATTCTCAGAAACTGCTCTGCGATGTGTGCGTTCAACTCTCAGAGTTTAACTTTTCTTTTCATTCAGCAGTTTGGAAACACTCTGTTTGTAAAGTCTGCACGTGGATAACTTGACCACTTAGAGGCCTTCGTTGGAAACGGTTTTTTTTCATGTAAGGCTAGACAGAAGAATTCTCAGTAACTTCCTTGTGTTGTGTGTATTCAACTGACAGAGTTGAACTTTCATTTAGAGAGAGCAGATTTGAAACACTGTTTTTGTGGAATTTGCAAGTGGTGATTTCAAGCGTTTTGGGGCCAAAGGCAGAAAAGGAAATATCTTCGTATAAAAACTAGACAGAATCATTCTCAGAAACTGCTCTGCGATGTGTGCGTTCAACTCTCAGAGTTTAACTTTTCTTTTCATTCAGTAGTTTGGAAACACTCTGTTTGTAAAGTCTGCACGTGGATAATTTGACCACTTAGAGGCCTTCGTTGGAAACGGGTTTTTTTCATGTAAGGCTAGACAGAAGAATTCTCAGTAACTTCCTTGTGTTGTGTGTATTCAACTCACAGAGTTGAACGATCGTTTACACAGAGCAGACTTGAGACACTCTTTTTGTGGAATTTGTAAGTGGAGATTTCAGCCGCTTTGTGGTCATTGGTAGAAAAGGAAATATCTTCATATAAAAACTAGACAGAATGATTCTCAGAAACTCCTTTGTGATGTGTGCGTTCAACTCACAGAGTTTAACCTTTCTTTTCATAGAGCAGTTAGGAAACACTCTGTTTGTAAAGTCTCCAAGTGGATATTCAGACCTCTTTGAGGCCTTCGTTGGAAACGGGTTTTTTCATATAAGGCTAGACAGAAGAATTCCCAGTAACTTCCTTGTGTTGTGTGTGTTCAACTCACAGAGTTGAACTTTCATTTACACAGAGCAGATTTGAAACACTCTTTTTGTGGAATTTGCAAGTGGAGATTTGAAGCGCTTTGAGGCCAAAGGCAGAAAAGGAAATATCTTCGTATAAAAACTAGACAGAATCATTCTCAGAAACTGCTGCGTGATGTGTGCGTTCAACTCTCAGAGTTTAACTTTTCTTTTCATTCAGCGGTTTGGAAACACTCTGTTTGTAAAGTCTGCACGTGGAAATTTTGACCACTTAGAGGCCTTCGTTGGAAACGGGATTTTTTCATGTAAGGCTAGGCAGAAGAATTCCCAGTAACTTCCCTTGTGTTGTGTGCATTCAACTCACAGAGTTGAACGTTCCCTTAGACAGAGCAGATTTGAAAAACTCTATTTGTGCAATTTGCAAGTGTAGATTTCAAGCGCTTTAAGGTCAATGGCAGAAAAGGAAATATCTTCGTTTCAAAACTAGACAGAATCATTCCCACAAACTGCGTTGTGATGTGTTCGTTCAACTCACAGAGTTTAACCTTTCTGTTCATAGAGCAGTTAGGAAACACTCTGTTTGTAAAGTCTGAAAGTGGATATTCTGACATCTTGTGGCCTTCGTTGGAAACGGGATTTCTTCATATTCTGCTAGACAGAAGAATTCTCAGTAACTTCCTTGTGTTGTGTGTATTCAACTCACAGAGTTGAACGATCCTTTACACAGAGCAGACTTGAAACACTCTTTTTGTGGAATTTGCAAGTGGAGATTTCAGCCGCTTTGAGGTCAACGGTAGAAAAGGAAATATCTTCGTATAAAGACTAGACAGAATGATTCTCAGAAACTTCTTTGTGATGTGTGCGTTCAACTCACAGAGTTTAACCTTTCTTTTCATAGAGCAGTTAGGAAACACTCTGTTTGTAAACTCTGCAAGTGGATATTCAGACCTCTTTGAAGCCTTCGTTGGAAACGGGATTTCTTCATACTATGCTAGACAGAAGAATTCTCAGTAACTTCTTTTTGTTGTGTGTATTCAACTCACAGAGTTGAACGATCCTTTACACAGAGCAGACTTGAAACACTCGTTTTGTGGAATTTGCAAGTGGAGATTTCAGCCGCGTTGAGGTCAATGGTAGAAAAGGAAATATCTTCGTATAAAAACTAGACAGAATCATTCTCAGAAACTGCTCTGCGATGTGTGCGTTCAACTCTCAAGAGTTTAACTTTGCTTTTCATTCAGCAGTTTGGAAACACTCTGTTTGTAAAGTCTGCACGTGGATAATTTGACCACTTAGAGGCCTTCGTTGGAAACGGGTTTTTTTCATGTAAGGCTAGACAGAAGAATTCCCAGTAACTTCCTTGTGTTGTGTACATTCAACTCACAGAGTTGAACGATCCTTTACACAGAGCAGACTTGTAACACTCTTTTTGTGGAATTTGCAAGTGGAGATTTCAGCCGCTTTGAAGTCAAAGGTAGAAAAGGAAATATCTTCCTATAAAAACTAGACAGAAAGATTCTCAGAAACTCCTTTGTGATGTGTTCGTTCATCTCACAGAGTTTAACCTTTCTTTTCATAGAGCAGTTAGGAAACAGTCTGTTTGTAAATTCTGTAAGTGGATATTCTGACATCTTGTGGCCTTCGTTGGAAACGGGATTTCTTCATATTCTGCTAGACAGAAGAATTCTCAGTAACTTCCTTGTGTTGTGTGTATTCAACTCACAGAGTTGAACGATCCTTTACACAAAGCAGACTTGAAACACTCTTTTTGTGGAATTTGCAAGTGGAGATTTCAGCCGCTTTGAGGTCAATGGTAGAAAAGGAAATATCTTCGTATAAAGACTAGACAGAATGATTCTCAGAAACTCTTTTGTGATGTGTGCGTTCAACTCACAGAGTTTAACCTTTCTGTTCATAGAGCTGGTAGGAAACACTCTGTTTGTAAAGTCTGCAAGTGGATATTCAGACCTCCTTGAGGCCTTCGTTGGAAACGGGATTTCTTCATATTCTGCTAGACAGAAGAATTCTCAGAAACTTCCATGTGTTGTGTGTTTTCAACTCACAGAGTTGAACGATGCTTTACACAGAGTAGACTTGAAACACTCTTTTTGTGTAATTTGCAAGTGGAGATTTCAGCCGCTTTGAGGTCAATGGTAGAAAAGGAAATATCTTCGTATAAAAACTAGACAGAATGATTCTCAGAAACTTCTTTGTGATGTGTGCGTTCAACTCACAGAGTTTAACCTTTCTTTTCATAGAGCAGTTAGGAAACACTCTGTTTGTAAACTCTGCAAGTGGATATTCAGACCTCTTTGAGGCCTTCGTTGGAAACGGGATTTCTCCATACTGTGCTAGACAGAAGAATTCTCAGTAACTACCTTGTGTTGTGTGTATTCAACTCACAGAGTTGAACGATCCTTTACACAGAGCGGACTTGAAACACTCGTTTTGTGGAATTTGCAAGTGGAGATTTCAGCCGCGTTGAGGTCAATGGTAGAAAAGGAAATGTCTTCGTATAAAAACTAGACAGAATCATTCTCAGAAACTGCTCTGCGATGTGTGCGTTCAACTCTCAGAGTTTAACTTTGCTTTTCTTTCAGCAGTTTGGAAACACTCTGTTTGTAAAGTCTGCACGTGGATAATTTGACCACTTAGAGGCCTTCGTTGGAAACGGGTTTTTTTCATGTAAGGCTAGACAGAAGAATTCCCAGTAACTTCCTTGTGTTGTGTGCATTCAACTCACAGAGTTGAACGTTCCCTTAGACAGAGCAGATTTGAAACACTCTATTTGTGCAATTTGCAAGTGTAGATTTCAAGCGCATTAAGGTCAATGGCAGAAAAGGAAATATCTTCGTTTCAAAATTAGACAGAATCATTCCCACAAACTGCGTTGTGATGTGTTCGTTCAACTCACAGAGTTTAACCTTTCTTTTCATAGAGCAGTTAGGAAACACTCTGTTGTAAATTCTGTAAGTGGATATTCTGACATCTTGGGGCCTTCGTTGGAAACGGGATTTCTTCATATTCTGCTAGACAGAAGAATGCTCAGTAACTTCCGCGTGTTGTGTGTATTCAACTCAGAGAGTTGAACGATCCTTTACACAGAGCAGACTTGAAACACTCTTTTTGTGGAATTTGCAAGTGGAGATTTCAGCCGCTTTGAGGTCAATGGTAGAAAAGGAAATATCTTCCTATAAAAACTAGACAGAATGATTCTCAGAAACTCCTTTGTGATGTGTGTGTTCAACTCACAGAGTTTAACCTTTCTATTCATAGAGTAGTTAGGAAACACTCTGTTTGTAAAGTCTGCAAGTGGATATTTTGACCTCTTTGAGGCCTTCGTTGGAAACGGGTTTTTTTCATGTAAGGCTAGACAGAAGAATTCCCAGTAACTTCCTTGTGTTGTGTGTGTTCAACTCACAGAGTTGAACTTTCATTTACACAGAGCAGATTTGAAACACTCTTTTTGTGGAATTTGCAAGTGGAGATTTCAAGCGATTTGAGGCCAAAGGCAGAAAAGGAAATATCTTCGTATAAAAACGAGACAGAATCATGCTCAGAAACTGCTCTGCGATGTGTGCGTTCAACTCTCAGAGTTTAACTTTTCTTTTCATTCAGCAGTTTGGAAACACTCTGTTTGTAAAGTCTGCACGTGCATAATTTGACCGCTTAGAGGCCTTCGTTGGAAACGGGTTTTTTTCATGTAAGGCTAGACAGAAGAATTCCCAGTAACTTTCCTTGTGTTGTGTGCATTCAACTCACAGAGTTGAACGTTCCCTTAGACAGAGCAGATTTGAAACACTCTATTTGTGCAATTTGCAAGTGTAGATTTCAAGCGCTTTAAGGTCAATGGCAGAAAAGGAAATATCTTCGTTTCAAAACTACACAGAATCATTCCCACAAACTGCGTTGTGATGTGTTCGTTCAACTCATAGAGTTTAACCTTTCTGTTCATAGAGCAGTTAGGAAACACTCTGTTTGTAAAGTCTGTAAGTGGATATTCTGACCTCTTGTGGCCTTCGTTGGAAACGGGATTTCTTCATATTCTGCTAGACAGAATAATTCTCAGTAACTTCCTTGTGTTGTGTGTATTCAACTCACAGTAGTTGAAGGATCCTTTACAGCGAGCAGGCTTGAAACACTCTTTTTGTCGAATTTGCAAGTGGAGATTTCAGCCGCTTTGAGGTCAATGGTAGAATAGGAAATATCTTCTTATAGAAACTAGACAAAATGATTCTCATAAACTCCTTTGTGATGTGTGCGTTCAACTCACAGAGTTTAACCTTTCTTTTCATAGAGCAGTTAGGAAACACTCTGTTTGTAAAGTCTGCAAGTGGATATTCAGACCTCTTTGAGACCTTCGTTGGAAACGGGATTTCTTCATATTCTGCTAGACAGAAGAATTCTCAGTAACTTCCTTGTGTTGTGTGTATTCAACTGACAGAGTTGAACTTTCATTTAGAGGGAGCAGATTTGAGACACTGTTTTTGTGGAATTTGCAATTGGAGATTTCAAGCGCTTCGGAGCCAAAGGCAGAAAAGGAAATATCTTCGTATAAAAACTAGGCAGAACCATTCTCAGAAACTGCTGCGTGATGTGTGCGTTCAACTCTCAGAGTTTAACTTTTCTTTTCATTCAGCGGTTTGGAAACACTCTGTTTGTAAAGTCTGCACGTGGATATTTTGACCACTTAGAGGCCTTCGTTGGAATCGGGTTTTTTTCATGTAAGGCTAGACAGAAGAATTCTCAGAAACTTCCTTGTGTTGTGTGTTTTCAACTCACAGAGTTGAACGATGCTTTACACAGAGTAGACTTGAAACACTCTTTTTGTGTAATTTGCAAGTAGAGATTTCAGCCGCTTTGAGGTCAACGGTAGAAAAGGAAATATCTTCGTATAAAAACTAGACAGAATGATTCTCAGAAACTCCTTTGTGATGTGTGCATTCAACTCACAGAGTTTAACCTTTCTTTTCATAGAACAGTTAGGAAACACTCTGTTTGTAAAGTCTGCAAGTGGATATTCAGACCTCTTTGAGGCCTTCGTTGGAAACGGGATTTCTTCATATTATGCTAGACAGAAGAATTCTCAGTAACTTCCTTGTGTTGTGTGTATTCAACTCACAGAGTTGAACGATCCTTTACACAGAGCAGACTTGAAACACTCTTTTTGTGGAAATTGCAAGTGGAGATTTCAGCCGCTTTGAGGTCAATGGTAGAAAAGGAAATATCTTCGTATAAAAACTAGACACAATGATTCTCAGAAACTCCTTTGTGATGAGTGCGTTCAACTCACAGATTTTAACCTTTCTTTTCATAGAGCAGTTAGGAAACACTCTGTTTGTAAAGTCTGCACGTGGATATTTTGACCTCTTTGAGGCCTTCCGTGGAAACGGGATTTTTTCATATAAGGCTAGACAGAAGAATTCTCAGTAACTTCCTTGTGTTGTGTGTATTCAACTCACAGAGTTGAACTTTCATTTACACAGAGCAGATTTGAAACACTCTTTTTGTGGAATTTGCAAATGGAGATTTCAAGCGCTTTGAGGCCAAAGGCAGAAAAGGAAATATCTTCTTATAAAAACTAGACAGAATCATTCTCAGAAACTGCTCTGCGATGTGTGCGTTCAACTCTCAGAGTTTAACTTTTCTTTTCATTCAGCAGTTTGTAAACACTCTGTTTGTAAAGTCTGCACGTTGATAATTTGACCACTTAGAGGCCTTCGTTGGAAACGGGTTTTTTTCATATAAGGCTAGACAGAAGAATTCCCAGTAACTTCCTTGTGTTGTGTACATTCAACTCACAGAGTTGAACGTTCCCTTAGACAGAGCAGATTTGAAACACTCTTTTTGTGCAATTGGCAAATGGAGATTTCAAGCGCTTTAAGGTCAATGGCAGAAAAGGAAATATCTTCGTTTCAAAACTAGACAGAATGATTCTCAGAAAGTCCTTTGTGATGTGTGCGTTCAACTCACAGAGTTCAACCTTTCTTTTCATAGAGCAGTTGGGAAACACTCTGTTTGTAAAGTCTGCAAGTGGATATTCAGACTTCTTTGAGGCCTTCGTTGGAAGCGGGATTTCTTCATATTCTGCTAGACAGAAGAATTCTCAGTAACTTCCTTGTGTTGTGTGTATTCAACTCACAGAGTTGAACGATCCTTTACACAGAGCAGACTTGAAACACTCTTTTTGTGGAATTTGCAATTGGAGATTTCAGCCGCTTTGAGGTCAATGGTAGAATAGGAAATATCTTCCTATAGAAACTAGCCAGAATGATTCTCAGAAACTCCTTTGTGATGTGTGCGTTCAACTCTCAGAGTTTAACTTTTCTTTTCATTCAGCAGGTTGGAAACACTCTGTTTGTAAAGTCTGCACGTGGATAATTTGACCACTTAGAGGCCTTCGTTGGAAACGGGTTTTTTTCCTGTAAGGCTAGACAAAAGAATTCCCAGTAACTTCCTTGTGTTGTGTGTGTTCGACTCACAGAGTTGAACTTTCATTTACAGAGAGCAGATTTGAAACACTCTTTTTGTGGAATTTGCAAGTGGAGATTTCAAGCGCTTTGAGGCCAAAGGCAGAAAAGGAAATATCTTCGTTTCAAAACTAGACAGAATCATTCTCAGAAACTGCTGCGTGATGTGTGCGTTCAACTCTCAGAGTTTAACTTTTCTTTTCATTCAGCGGTTTGGAAACACTCTGTTTGTAAAGTCTGAACGTGGAAATTTTGACCACTTAGAGGCCTTCGTTGGAAACGGGTTTTTTTCTTGTAAGGCTAGACAGAAGAATTCCCAGTAACTTCCTTGTGTTGTGTGCATTCAACTCACAGAGTTGAACGTTCCCTTAGACAGAGCAGATTTGAAACACTCTATTTGTGCAATTTGCAAGTGTAGATTTCAAGCGCTTTAAGGTCAATGGCAGAAAAGGAAATATCTTCGTTTCAAAACTAGACAGAATGATTCTCAGAAACTCCTTTGTGATGTGTGCGTTCAACTCACAGAGTTTAACCTTTCTTTTCATAGAGCAGTTAGGAAACACTCTGTTTGTAAAGTCTGCAAGTGGATATTCAGACCTCCTTGAGGCCTTCGTTGGAAACGGGATTTCTTCATATTATGGTAGACAGAAGAATTCTCAGTAACTTCCTTGTGTTGTGTGTATTCAACTCACAGAGTTGAACGATCCTTTACACAGAGCAGACTTGAAACTCTCTTTTTGTGGAATTTGCAAGTGGAGATTTCAGCCGCTTTGAGGTCAATGGTAGAATAGGAAATATCTTCCTATAGAAACTAGACAGAATGATTCTCAGAAACTCCTTTGTGATGTGTGTGTTCAACTCACAGAATTTAACCTTTCTTTTCATAGAGCAGTTAGTAAACACTCTGTTTATAAAGTCTGCAAGTGGATATTCAGACCCCTTTGAGGCCTTCGTTGGAATCGGGATTTCTTCATATTATGCAAGACAGAAGAATTCCCAGTAACTTCCTTGTGTTGTGTGTGTTCAACTCACAGCGTTGAACTTTCATTTACACAGAGCAGATTTGAAACACTCTTTTTGTGGAATTTGCAAGTGGAGATTTCAAGCGCTTTGAGGCCAAAGGCAGAAAAGGAAATATCTTCGTATAAAAATTAGACAGAATCATTCTCAGAAACTGCTCTGCGATGTGTGCGTTCAACTCTCAGAGTTTAACTTTGCTTTTCATTCAGCAGTTTGGAAACACTCTGTTTGTAAAGTCTGCACGTGGATAATTTGACCACTTAGAGGCCTTCGTTGGAAACGGGTTTTTTTTATGTAAGGCTAGACAGAAGAATTCCCAGTAACTTCCTTGTGTTGTGTGCATTCAACTAACAGAGTTGAACGTTCCCTTAGACAGAGCAGATTTGAAACACTCTATTTGTGCAATTTGCAAGTGTAGATTTCAAGCGCTTTAAGGTCAATGGCAGAAAAGGAAATATCTTCGTTTCAAAACTAGACAGAATCATTCCCACAAACTGCGTTGTGATGTGTTCGTTCAACTCACAGAGTTTAACCTTTCTGTTCATAGAACAGTTAGGAAACACTCTGTTTGTAAAGTCTGCAAGTGGATATTCAGACCTCTTTGAGGCCTTCGTTGGAAACGGGATTTCTTCATATTATGCTAGACAGAAGAATTCTCAGTAACTTCCTTGTGTTGTGTGTATTCAACTCACAGAGTTGAACGATCCTTTACACAGACCAGACTTGAAACACTCTTTTTGTGGAATTTGCAAATGGAGATTTCAGCCGCTTTGAGGTCAATGGTAGAAAAGGAAATATCTTCGTATAAACACTAGACAGAATGATTCTCAGAAACTCCTTTGTGATGTGTGCGTTCAACTCACAGAGTTTAACCTTTCTTTTCATAGAGCAGTTAGGAAACACTCTGTTTGTAAAGTCTGCAAGTGGATATTCAGACATCTTTGAGGCTTTCGTTGGAAACGGGATTTCTTCATATTCTGCTATACAGAAGAATTCTCAGAAACTTCCTTGTGTTGTGTGTTTTCAACTCACAGAGTTGAACGATGCTTTACACAGAGCAGACTTGAAACACTCTTTTTGTGGAATTTGCAAGTGGAGATTTCAGCCGCTTTGAGGTCAATGGTAGAATAGGAAATATCTTCCTATAGAAACTAGACAGAATCATTCTCAGAAACTGCTCTGCGATGTGTGCGTTCAACTCTCAGAGTTTAACTTTTCTTTTCATTCAGCAGTTTGGAAACACTCTGTTTGTAAAGTCTGAAGGTGGATATTTTGACCACTTAGAGGCCTTCGTTGGAAACGGGTTTTTTTCCTGTAAGGCTAGACAGAAGAATTCCCAGTAACTTCCTTGTGTTGTGTACATTCAACTCACAGAGTTGAACGTTCCCTTAGACAGAGCAGACTTGTAACACTCTTTTTGTGTAATTTGCAAGTGGAGATTTCAGCCGCTTTGAAGTCAAAGGTAGAAAAGGAAATATCTTCCTATAAAAAGTAGACAGAATCATTCCCACAAACTGCGTTGTGATGTGTTCGTTCAACTCACAGAGTTTAACCTTTCTGTTCATAGAGCAGTTAGGAAACACTCTGTTTGTAAAGTCTGCAAGTGGATATTCAGACCTCCTTGAGGCCTTCGTTGGAAACGGGATTTCTTCATATTCTGCTAGACAGAATAATTCTCAGTAACTTCCTTGTGTTGTGTGTATTCAACTCACAGAGTTGAACGATCCTTTACACAGAGCAGACTTGAAACACTCTTTTTGTGGAATTTGCAAGTGTAGATTTCAAGCGCTTTAAGGTCAATGGCAGAAAAGGAAATATCTTCGTTTCAAAACTAGACAGAATGATTCTCAGAAACTCCTTTGTGATGTGTGCGTTGAACTCACAGAGTTTAACCTTTCTTTTCATAGAGCAGTTAGGAAACACTCTGTTTGTAAAGTCTGCAAGTGGATATTCAGACATCGTTGAGGCTTTCCTTGGAAACGGGATTTCTTCATATTCTGCTAGAAAGAAGAATTCCCAGTAACTTCCTTGTGTTGTGTGTGTTCAACTCACAGAGTTGAACTTTCATTTACACAGAGCAGATTTGAAACACTCTTTTTGAGGAATTTGCAAGTGGAGATGTCAAGCGCTTTGAGGCCAAAGGCAGAAAAGGAAATATCTTCGTTTCAAAACTAGACAGAATCATTCTCAGAAACTGCTCTGCGATGTGTGCGTTCAACTCTCAGAGTTTAACTTTTCTTTTCATTCAGCAGTTTGGAAACACTCTGTTTGTAAAGTCTCCACGTGGATATTTTGACCACTTAGAGGCCTTCGTTGGAAACGGGTTTTTTTCCTGTAAGGCTAGACAGAAGAATTCCCAGTAACTTCCTTGTGTTGTGTACATTCAACTCACAGAGTTGAACGTTCCCTTAGACAGAGCAGATTTGAAACACTCTTTTTGTGCAATTGGCAAGTGGAGATTTCAAGCGCTTTGAGGTCAATGGCAGAAAAGGAAATATCTTCGTTTCAAAACTAGACAGAATAATTCCCACAAACTGCGTTGTGATGTGTTCGTTCAACTCACAGAGTTTAACCTTTGTTTTCATAGAGGAGTTAGGAAACAGTCTGTTTGTAAATTCTGTAAGTGGATATTGTGACATCTTGTGGCCTTCGTTGGAAACGGGATTTCTTCATATTCTGCTATACAGAAGAATTCTCAGTAACTTCCTTGTGTTGTGTGTATTCAACTCAAAGAGTTCAACGATCCTTTATACAGAGCAGACTTGAAACACTCTTTTTGTGGAATTTGCAAGTGGAGATCTCAGCCGATTTGTGGTCAATAGTAGAAAAGGAAATATCTTCGTATAAAAACTAGACAGAATGACTCTCAGAAACTCCTTTGTGATGTGTGCGTTCAACTCACAGAGTTTAACTTTTCTTTTCATAGACCAGTTAGGAAACACTCTGTTTGTAATGTCTGCAAGTGGATATTCAGACCTCTTTGAGGCCTTCGTTGGAAACGGGATTTCTTCATATTCTGCTAGACAGAAGAATTCCCAGTAACTTCCTTGTGTTGTGTGTGTTCAACTCACAGAGTTGAACTTTCATTTACACAGAGCAGATTTGAAACACTCTTTTTGTGGAATTTGCAAGTGGAGATTTCAAGCGCTTTGAGGCCAAAGGCGGAAAAGGAAATATCTTCGTTTCAAAACTAGACAGAATCATTCCCAGAAACTGCTCTGCGATGTGTGCGTTCAACTCTCAGAGTTTAACTTTTCTTTTCATTCAGCAGTTTGGAAACACTCTGTTTGTAAAGTCTGCACGTGGATATTTTGACCACTTAGAGGCCTTCGTTGGAAACGGGTTTTTTTCCTGTAAGGCTAGACAGAAGAATTCCCAGTAACTTCCTTGTGTTGTGTACATTCAACTCACAGAGTGGAACGTTCCCTTAGACAGAGCAGATTTGAAACACTCTTTTTGTGCAATTGGCAAGTGGTGATTTCAGCCGCTTTGAGGTCAATGGTATAAAAGGAAATATCTTCGTATAAAAACTAGACAGAATCATTCCCACAAACTGCGTTGTGATGTGTTCGTTCAACTCACAGAGTTTAACCTTTCTGTTCATAGAGCAGTTAGGAAACACTCTGTTTGTAAAGTCTGCAAGTGGATATTCAGACCTCTTTGAGGCCTTCGTTGGAAACGGGATTTCTTCATATTATGCTAGACAGAAGAATTCTCAGTAACTTCCTTGTGTTGTGTGTATTCAACTCACAGAGTTGAACGATCCTTTACACAGAGCGGACTTGAAACACTCTTTTTGTGGAATTTGCAAGTGGAGATTTCAGCCGCGTTGAGGTCAATGGTAGAAAAGAAAATATCTTCGTATAAAAACTAGACAGAATGATTCTCAGAAACTCCTTTGTGATGTGTGTGTTCAACTCACAGAGTTTAACCTTTCTTTTCATAGAGCAGTTAGGAAACACTCTGTTTGTAAAGTCTGCAAGTGGATATTCAGACCTCTTTGAGGCCTTCATTGGAAACGGGTTTTTTTCATATAAGGCTAGACAGAAGAATTCCCAGTAACTTCCTTGTGTTGTGTGTGTTCAACTCACAGAGTTGAACTTTCATTTACACAGAGCAGATTTGAAACACTCTTTTTGTGGAATTTGCAAGTGGAGATTTCAAGCGATTTGAGACCAAAGGCAGAAAAGGAAATATCTTCGTTTCAAAACTAGACAGAATCATTCTCAGAAACTGCTGTGTGATGTGTGCGTTCAACTCTCAGAGTTTAACTTTTCTTTTCATTCAGCGGTTTGGAAACACTCTGTTTGTAAAGTCTGCACGTGGATATTTTGACCACTTAGAGGCCTTCGTTGGAAACGGGTTTTTTTCATGTAAGGCTAGACAGAAGAATTCTCAGTAACTTCCTTGTGTTGTGTACATTCAACTCACAGAGTTGAACGATCCTTTACACAGAGCAGACTTGTAACACTCTTTTTGTGGAATTTGCAAGTGGAGATTTCAGCCGCTTTGAAGTCAAAGGTAGAAAAGGAAATATCTTCCTATAAAAACTAGACAGAATGATTGTCAGAAACTCCTTTGTGATGTGTGCGTTCAACTCACAGAGTTTAACCTTTCTTTTCATAGAGCAGTTAGGAAACACTCTGTTTGTAAAGTCTGCAAGTGGATATTCAGACCTCTTTGAGGCCTTCGTTGGAAACGGGATTTCTTCATACTGTGCTAGACAGAAGAATTCTCAGTAACTTCCTTGTGTTGTGTGTATTCAATTCACAGAGTTGAACGATCCTTTACACAGAGCAGACTTGTAACACTCTTTTTGTGGAAATTGCAAGTGGAGATTTCAGCCGCTTTGAAGTCAAAGGTAGAAAAGGAAATATCTTCCTATAAAAACTAGACAGAATGATTCTCAGAAACTTCTTTGTGATGTGTGCGTTCAACTCACAGAGTTTAACCTTTCTTTTCATAGAGCAGTTAGGAAACACTCTGTTTGTAAACTCTGCAAGTGGATATTCAGACCTCTTCGAGGCCTTCGTTGGAAACGGGATTTCTTCATACTGTGCTAGACAGAAGAATTCCCAGTAACTTCCTTGTGTTGTGTGTGTTCAAGTCACAGAGTTGAACTTTCATTTACACAGAGAAGATTTGAAACACTCTTTTTGTGGAATTTGCAAGTGGAGATTTCAAGCGCTTTGAGGCCAAAGGCAGAAAAGGAAATATCTTCGTTTCAAAACTAGACAGAATCATTCTCAGAAACTGCTCTGCGATGTGTGCGTTCAACTCTCAGAGTTTAACTTTTCTTTTCATTCAGCAGTTTGGAAACACTCTGTTTGTAAAGTCTGCACGTGGATATTTTGACCATTTAGAGGCTTTCGTTGGAAACGGGTTTTTTTCTTGTAAGGCTAGACAGAAGAATTCCCAGTAACTTCCTTGTGTTGTGTACATTCAACTCACAGAGTTGAACGTTTCCTTAGAGAGAGCAGATTTGAAACACTCTTTTTGTGCAATTGGCAAGTGGTGATTTCAGCCGCTTTGAGGTCAATGGTAGAAAAGGAAATATCTTCGTATAAAAACTAGACAGAATGATTCTCAGAAACTCCTTTGTGATGTGTGCGTTCAACTCACAGAGTTTACCCTTTCTTTTCATAGAGCAGTTAGGAAACACTCTGTTTGTAAAGTCTGCAATTGGATATTCAGACATCCTTGAGGCTTTCGTTGGAAACGGGATTTCTTCATATTCTGCTAGAAAGAAGAATTCTCAGTAACTTCCTTGTGTTGTGTGTATTCAACTCACAGAGTTGAACGATCCTTTACACAGAGCAGACTTGAAACACTCTTTTTGTGGAATTTGCAAGTGGAGATTTCAGCCGCTTTGAAGTCAATGGTAGAATAGGAAATATCTTCCTATAGAAACTAGACAGAATGATTCTCAGAAACTCCTTTGTGATGTGTGTGTTCAACTCACAGAGTTTAACCTTTCTTTTCATAGAGCAGTTAGTAAACACTCTGTTTATAAAGTCTGCAAGTGGATATTCAGACCCCTTTGAGGTCTTCGTTGGAAACGGGATTTCTTCATATTATGCTAGACAGAAGAATTCCCAGTAACTTCCTTGTGTTGTGTGTGTTCAACTCACAGAGTTGAACTTTCATTTACACAGAGCAGATTTGAAACACTCTTTTTGTGGAATTTGCAAGTGGAGATTTCAAGCGCTTTGAGGCCAAAGGCAGAAAAGGGAATATCTTCGTATAAAAACTAGACAGAATCATTCTCAGAAACTGCTCTGCGATGTGTGCGTTCAACTCTCAGAGTTTGACTTTTCTTTTCATTCAGCAGTTTGGAAACACTCTGTTTGTAAAGTCTGCACGTGGATATTTTGACCACTTAGAGGCCTTCGTTGGAAACGGGTTTTTTTCCTGTAAGGCTAGACAGAAGAATTCCCAGTAACTTCCTTGTGTTGTGTACATTCAACTCACAGAGTTGAACGTTCCCTTAGACAGAGCAGATTTGAAACACTCTTTTTGTGCAATTGGCAAATGGAGATTTCAAGCGCTTTAAGGTCAATGGCAGAAAAGGAAATATCTTCGTTTCAAAACTAGACAGAATCATTCCCACAAACTGCGTTGTGATGTGTTCGTTCAACTCACAGAGTTTAACCTTTCTTTTCATAGAGCAGTTAGGAAACAGTCTGTTTGTCAATTCTGTAAGTGGATATTCTGACATCTTGTGGCCTTCGTTGGAAACGGGATTTCCTCATACTCTGCTAGACAGAAGAATTCTCAGTAACTTCCTTGTGTTGTGTGTATTCGACTCACAGAGTTGAACGATCCTTTACACAGAGCATACTTGAAACACTCTTTTTGTGGAATTTGCAAGTGGAGATTTCAGCCGCTTTGAGGTCAATGGTAGAATAGGAAATATCTTCCTATAGAAACTAGACAGAATGATTCTCAGAAACTCCTTTGTGATGTGTGCGTTCAACTCACAGAGTTTAACCTTTCTTTTCATAGAGCAGTTAGGAAACACTCTGTTTGTAAAGTCTGCAAGTGGATATTCAGACATCTTTGAGGCTTTCTTTGAAATGGGATTTCTTCATATTCTGCTAGACAGAAGAATTCCCAGTAACTTCCTTGTGTTGTGTGTGTTCAACTCACAGAGTTGAACTTTCATTTACACAGAGCAGATTTGAAACACTCTTTTTGTGGAATTTGCAAGTGGAGATTTCAAGCGCTGTGAGGCCAAAGGCAGAAAAGGAAATATCCTCGTATAAAAACTAGACAGAATCATTCTCAGAAACTGCTGCATGATGTGTGCGTTCAACTCTCAGAGTTTAACTTTTCTTTTCATTCAGCGGTTTGGAAACACTCTGTTTGTAAAGTCTGCACGTGGATATTTTGACCACTTAGAGGCCTTCGTTGGAAACGGGTTTTTTCATGTAAGGCTAGACAGAAGAATTCCCAGTAACTTCCCTTGTGTTGTGTGCATTCAACTCACAGAGTTGAACGTTCCCTTAGACAGAGCAGATTTGAAACACTCTATTTGTGCAATTTGCAAGTGTAGTTTTCAAGCTCTTTAAGGTCAACGGCAGAAAAGGAAATATCTTCGTTTCAAAACTAGACAGAATCATTCCCACAAACTGCGTTGTGATGTGTTCGTTCAACTCACAGAGTTTAACGTTTCTTTTCATAGAGCATTTAGGAAACAGTCTGTTTGTCAATTCTGTAAGTGGATATTCTGACATCTTGTGGCCTTCGTTGGAAACGGGATTTCTTCATATTCTGCTAGACAGAAGAATTCTCAGTAACTTCCTTGTGTTGTGTTTATTCAACACACAGAGTTGAATGATCCTTTACACAGAGCAGACTTGAAACACTCTTTTTGTGGAATTTGCAAGTGGAGATTTCAGCCGCTTTGTGGTCAATGGTAGAAAAGGAAACTATCTTCATATAAAGACTAGACAGAATGATTCTCAGAAACTCCTTTGTGATGTGTGCGTTCAACTCACGGAGTTTAACCTTTCTTTTCATAGAGCAGTTAGGAAACACTCTGTAAAGTCTGCAAGTAGATATTCAGACCTCTCTGAGGCCTTCGTTGGAAACGGGATTTCTTCATATTATGCTAGACAGAAGAATTCTCAGTAACTTCCTTGTGTTGTGTGCATTCAACTCACAGAGTTGAAAGATCCTTTACACAGAGCAGATTAGAAACAATATTTTTGTGGATTTTGCAAGCGGAGATTTCAGCCACTTTGAGGTCAATGGTAGAAAAGGAAATATCTTCATAAAAAAACTAGACAGAATCATTCTCAGAAACTGCTGCGTGATGTGTGCGTTCAACTCTCAGAGTTTAACTTTTCTTTTCATTCAGCGGTTTGGAAACACTCTGTTTGTAAAGTCTGCACGTGGAAATTTTGACCACTTAGAGGCCTTCGTTGGAAACGGGTTTTTTTCATGTAAGGCTCGACAGAAGAATTCCCAGTAACTTCCTTGTGTTGTGTACATTCAACTCACAGAGTTGAACGTTCCCTTACACAGAGCAGATTTGAAACACTCTTTTTGTGCAATTGGCAAGTGGAGATTTCAAGCGCTTTAAGGTCAATGGCAGAAAAGGAAATATCTTCGTTTCAAAACTAGACAGAATCATTCCCACAAACTGCGTTGTGATGTGTGCGTTCAACTCACAGAGTTTAACTTTTCTTTTCATAGAGCAGTTAGGAAACACTCTGTTTGTAAAGTCTGCAAGTGGATATTCAGACCTCTTTGAGGCCTTCGTTGGAAACGGGATTTCTTCATATTCTGCTAGACAGAAGAATTCTCAGTAACTTCCTTGTGTTGTGTGTATTCAACTCACAGAGTTGAACGATCCTTTACACAGAGCAGACTTGGAACACTGTTCTTGTGGAATTTGCAAGTGGAGATTTCAGCCGCGTTGAGGTCAATGGTAGAAAAGGAAATATCTTCGTATAAAAACTAGACAGAATGATTCTCAGAAACTCCTTTGTGATGTGTGCGTTCAACTCACAGAGTTTAACCATTCTTTTCATAGAGCAGTTAGGAAACACTCTGTTTGTAAAGTCTGCAAGTGGATATTCAGACCTCCTTGAGGCCTTCGTTGGAAACGGGATTTCTTTATATTCTGCTAGACAGAAGGATTCCCAGTAACTTCCTTGTGTTGTGTGTGTTCAACTCACAGAGTTGAACTTTCATTTACAAAGAGCAGATTTGAAACACTCTTTTTGTGGAATTTGCAAGTGGAGATTTCAAGCGCTTTGAGGCCAAAGGCAGAAAAGTAAATATCTTCGTATAAAAACTAGACAGAATCATTCTCAGAAACTGCTCTGCGATGTGTGCGTTCAACTCTCAGAGTTTAACTTTTCTTTTCATTCAGCAGTTTGGAAACACTCTGTTTGTAAAGTCTGCACGTGGATAATTTGGCCACTTAGAGGCCTTCGTTGGAAACGTGTTTTTTTCATGTAAGGCTAGACAGAAGAATTCCCAGTAACTTCCTTGTGTTGTGTGCATTCAACTCACAGAGTTGAACGTTCCCTTAGACAGAGCAGATTTGAAACAGCCTATTTGTGCAATTTGCAAGTGTAGATTTCAAGCGCTTTAAGGTCAACGGCTGAAAAGGAAATATCTTCGTTTCAAAACTATACAGAATGATTCTCAGAAACTCCTTTGTGATGTGTGCGTTCAACTCACAGAGTTTAACCTTACTTTTCATAGAGCAGTTAGGAAACACTCTGTTTGTAAAGTCTGCAAGTGGATATTCAGACCTCCTTGAGGCCTTCATTGGAAACGGGATTTCTTCATGTTCTGCTAGACAGAATAATTCTCAGTAACTTCCTTGTGTTGTGTGTATTCAACTCACAGAGTTGCACGATCCTTTACACAGAGCAGACTTGAAACACTCTTTTTGTGGAATTTGCAAGTGGAGATTTCAGCCGCTTTGAGGTCAATAGTAGAAAAGGAAATATCTTCGTAGAAAAACTACACAGAATGATTCTCAGAAACTCCTTTGTGATGTGTGTGTTCAACTCACTGAGTTTAACCTTTCTTTTCATAGAACAGTTAGTAAACACTCTGTTTATAAAGTCTGCAAATGGATATTCAGACCCATTTGAGGCCTTCGTTGGAAACGGGATTTCTTCATATTATGCTAGACAGAAGAATTCCCAGTAACTTCCTTGTGTTGTGTGTGTTCAACTCACATAGTTGAACTTTCATTTACACAGAGCAGATTTGAAACACTCTTTTTGTGGAATTTGCAAATGGAGATTTCAAGCGCTTTGAGGCCAAAGGCAGAAAAGCAAATATCTTCGTATAAAAACTAGACAGAATCATTCTCAGAAACTGCTCTGCGATGTGTGCGTTCAACTCTCAGAGTTTAACTTTTCTTTTCATTCAGCAGTTTGGAAACACTCTGTTTGTAAAGTCTGCACGTGGATATTTTGACCACTTAGAGGCCTTCGTTGGAAATGGGTTTTTTTCCTGTAAGGCTAGACAGAAGAATTCGCAGTAACTTCCTTGTGTTGTGTACATTCAACTCACAGAGTTGAACGTTCCCTTAGACAGAGCAGATTTGAAACACTCTTTTTGTGCAATTGGCAAGTGGAGATTTCAAGCGCTTTAAGGTCAATGGCAGAAAAGGAAATATCTTCGTTTCAAAACTAGACAGAATCATTCCCACAAACTGCGTTGTGATGTGTTCGTTCAACTCACAGAGTTTAACCTTTCTGTTCATAGAGCAGTTAGGAAACACTCTGTTTGTAAAGTCTGTAAGTGGATATTCTGACATCTTGTGGCCTTCGTTGGAAACGGGATTTATTCATATTCTGCTAGACAGAAGAATTCTCAGTAACTTCCTTGTGTTGTGTGTATTCAACTCACAGAGTTGAATGATCCTTTACACAGAACAGACTTGAAACACTCTTTTTGTGGAATTTGCAAGTGGAGATTTCAGCCGCTTTGTGGTCAATGGTAGAATAGGAAATATCTTCCTATAGAAACTAGACAGAATGATTCTCAGAAAATCTTTTGTGATGTGTGCGTTCAACTCACAGAGTTTAACTTTTCTTCTCATAGAGCAGTTAGGAAACACTCTGTTTGTAAAGTCTGCAAGTGGATATTCAGACCTCCTTGAGGCCTTCGTTGGAAACGGGATTTCTTCATATTCTGCCAGACAGAAGGATTCCCAGTAACTTCCTTGTGTTGTGTGTGTTCAACTCACAGAGTTGAACTTTCATTTACAAAGAGCAGATTTGAAACACTCTTTTTGTGGAATTTGCAAGTGGAGATTTCAAGCGCTTTGAGGCCAAAGGCAGAAAAGGAAATATCTTCGTATAAAAACTAGACAGAATCATTCTCAGAAACTGCTCTGCGATGTGTGCGTTCAACTCTCAGAGTTTAACTTTTCTTTTCATTCAGCAGTTTGGAAACAATCTGTTTGTAACGTCTGCACGTGAATAATTTGACCACTTAGAGGCCTTCGTTGGAAACGGGTTTTTTTCATGTAAGGCTAGACAGAAGAATTCCCAGTAACTTCCTTGTTTTGTGTACATTCAACTCACAGAGTTGAACGTTCCCTTAGATAGAGCAGATTTGAAACACTCTTTTTGTGCAATTGGCTAGTGGTGATTTCAGCCGCTTTGAGGTCAATGGTAGAAAAGGAAATATCTTCGTATAAAAACTAGACAGAATGATTCTCAGAAACTTCATTGTGATGTGTGCGTTCAACTCACAGAGTTTAACCTTTCTTTTCATACAGCAGTTAGGAAACACTCTGTTTGTAAACTCTGCAAGTGGATATTCAGACCTCTTTGAGGCCTTCGTTGGAAACGGGAATTCTTCATACTGTGCTAGACAGAAGAATTCTCAGTAACTTCCTTGTGTTGTGTGTATTCAACTCACAGAGTTGAAGGATCCTTTACAGAGAGCAGGCTTGAAACACTCTTTTTGTCGAATTTGCAAGTGGAGATTTCAGCCGCTTTGAGGTCAATGGTAGAATAGGAAATATCTTCTTATAGAAACTAGACAAAATGATTCTCAGAAACTTCTTTGTGATGTGTGCGTTCAACTCACAGAGTTTAACCTTTCTTTTCATAGAGCAGTTAGGAAACCCTCTGTTTGTAAACTCTGCAAGTGGATATTCAGACCACTTTGAGGCCTTCGTTGGAAACGGGATTTCTTCATACTATGCTAGACAGAAGAATTCCCAGTAACTTCCTTGTGTTGTGTGTGTTCAACTCACAGAGTTGAACTTTCATTTACACAGAGCAGATTTGAAACACTCTTTTTGTGGAATTTGCAAATGGAGATTTCAAGCGCTTTGGGGCCAAAGGCAGAAAAGGAAATATCTTCGTATAAAAACTAGACAGAATCATTCTCAGAAACTGCTCTGCGATGTGTGCGTTCAACTCTCAGAGTTTAACTTTTCGTCTCATTCAGCAGTTTGGAAACACTCTGTTTGTAAAGTCTGCACGTGGATAATTTGACCACTTAGAGGCCTTCGTTGGAAACGGGTTTTTTTCATGTAAGGCTAGACAGAAGAATTCCCAGTAACTTCCTTGTGTTGTGTACATTCAACTCACAGAGTTGAACGTTCCCTTAGACAGAGCAGATTTGAAACACTCTTTTTGTGCAATTGGCAAGTGGAGATTTCAAGCGCTTGAGGTCAATGGCAGAAAAGGAAATATCTTCGTTTCAAAACTAGACAGAATCATTCCCACAAACTGCGTTGTGATGGGTTCGTTCAACTCACAGAGTTTAACCTTTCTTTTCATAGAGCAGTTAGGAAACAGTCTGTTTGTCAATTCTGTAAGTGGATATTCTGACATCTTGTGGCCTTCGTTGGAAACGGGATTTCTTTATATTCTGCTAGACAGAATAATTCTCAGTAACTTCCTTGTGTTGTGTGTATTCAACTCACAGAGTTGAACGATCCTTTACAGAGTGCAAACTTGAAACACTCTTTTTGTGGAATTTGCAAGTGGAGATTTCAGCCGCTTTGAGGTCAATGATAGAATAGGAAATATCTTCCTATAGAAACTAGACAGAATGATTCTCAGAAACTCCTTTGTGATGTGTGTGTTCAACTCACAGAGTTTAACCTTTCTTTTCATTCAGCAGTTAGGAAACACTCTGTTTGTAAAGTCTGCAAGTGGATATTCAGACCTCTTTGAGGCCTTCGTTGGAAACGGGTTTTTTTCATATAAGGCTAGACAGAAGAATTCCCAGTAACTTCCTTGTGTTGTGTGTGTTCAACTCACAGAGTTGAACTTTCATTTACACAGAGCAGATTTGAAACACTCTTTTTGTGGAATTTGCAAGTGGAGATTTCAAGCGCTTTGTGGCCAAAGGCAGAAAAGGAAATATCTTCGTATAAAAACTAGACAGAATCATTCTCAGAAACTGCTGCGTGATGTGTGCGTTCAACTCTCAGAGTTTAACTTTTCTTTTCATTCAGAGGTTTGGAAACACTCTGTTTGTAAAGTCTGCACGTGGATATTTTGACCACTTAGAGGCCTTCGTTGGAAACGGGTTTTTTGCATGTAAGGCTAGACAGAAGAATTCCCAGTAACTTCCTTGTGTTGTGTGCATTCAACTCACAGAGTTGAACGTTCCCTTAGACAGAGCAGATTTGAAACACTCTATTTGTGCAATTTGCAAGTGTAGATTTCAAGCGCTTTAAGGTCAATGGCAGAAAAGGAAATATCTTCGTTTCAAAACTAGACAGAATCATTCCCACAAACTGCGTTGTGATGTGTTCGTTCAACTCACAGAGTTTAACCTTTCTGTTCATAGAGCAGTTAGGAAACACTGTGTAAAGTCTGTAAGTGGATATTCTGACATCTTGTGGCCTTCGTTGGAAACGGGATTTCTTCATATTCTGCTAGACAGAAGAATTCTCAGTAACTGCCTTGTGTTGTGTGTATTCAACTCACAGAGTTGAACGATCCTTTACACAGAGCAGACTTGAAACACTCTTTTTGTGGAACTTGCAAGTGGAGATTTCAGCCGCTTTGAGGTCAATGGTAGAATAGGAAATATCTTCCTATAGAAACTAGACAGAATGATTCTCAGAAACTTCTTTGTGATGTGTGCGTTGAACTCACAGAGTTTAACCTTTCTTTTCATAGAGCAGTTAGGAAACACTCTGTTTGTAAACTCTGCAAGTGGATATTCAGACCTCTTTGAGGCCTTCGTTGGAAACGGGATTTCTTCATACTGTGCTAGACAGAAGAATTTTCAGTAACTTCCTTGTGTTGTGTGTATTCAACTCACAGAGTTGAACGATCCTTTACACAGAGCAGACTTGAAACACTCTTTTTGTGGAAATTGCAAGTGGAGATTTCAGCCGCTTTGAGGTCAATGGTAGAAAAGGAAATATCTTCGTATAAAAACTAGACACAATGATTCTCAGAAACTCCTTTGTGATGTGTGCGTTCAACTCACAGAGTTTAACCTTTCTTTTCATAGAGCAGTTAGGAAACACTCTGCTTGTAAAGTCTGCATGTGGATATTCAGACCTCTTTGAGGCCTTCGTTGGAAACGGGTTTTTTTCATATAAGGCTAGACAGAAGAATTCCCAGTAACTTCCTTGTGTTGTGTACATTCAACTCACAGAGTTGAACGTTCCCTTAGACAGAGCAGATTTGAAACACTCTTTTTGTGCAATTGGCAAATGGAGATTTCAAGCGCTTTAAGGTCAATGGCAGAAAAGGAAATATCTTCGTTTCAAAACTAGACAGAATCATTCTCAGAAACTGCTGCGTGATGTGTGCGTTCAACACTCATAGTCTAACTTTTCTTTTCATTCAGCGGTTTGGAAACACTCTGTTTGTAAAGTCTGAACGTGCATATTTTGACCACTTAGAGGCCTTCGTTGGAAACGGGTTTTTTTCATGTAAGGCTAGACAGAAGAATTCCCAGTAACTTCCTTGTGTTGTGTCCATTCAACTCACAGAGTTGAACGTTCCCTTAGACAGAGCAGATTTGAAACACTCTATTTGTGCAATTTGCAAGTGTAGATTTCAAGCACTTTAAGGTCAACGGCAGAAAAGGAAATATCTTCGTTTCAAAACTAGACAGAATCATTCCCACAAACTGCGTTGTGATGTGTTCGTTCAACTCACAGAGTTTAACCTTTCTGTTCATAGAGCAGTTAGGAAACACTCTGTTTGTAAAGTCTGCAAGTGGATATTCAGACCTCCTTGAGGCCTTCGTTGGAAACGGGATTTCTTCATATTCTGCTAGACAGAAGAATTCCCACTAACATCCTTGTGTTGTGTGTGTTCAACTCACAGAGTTGAACTTTCATTTACACAGAGCAGATTTGAAACACTCTTTTTGTGGAATTTGCAAATGGAGATTTCAAGCGCTTTGAGGCCAAAGGCAGAAAAGGAAATATCTTCGTTTCAAAACTAGACAGAATGATTCTCAGAAACTCCTTTGTGATGTGTGCGTGCAACTCACAGAGTTTAACTTTTCTTTTCATAGAGCAGTTAGGAGACACTCTGTTTGTAAAGTCTGGAAGTGGATATTCAGACCTCCTTGAGGCCTTCGTTGGAAACGGGATTTCTTCATATTCTGCTAGACAGAAGAATTCTCAGTAACTTCCTCGTGTTGTGTGTATTCAACCTCACAGAGTTGAACGATCCTTTACACAGAGCAGACTTGAAACACACTTTTTGTGGAATTTGCAAGTGGAGATTTCAGCCGCTTTGAGGTCAATGGTAGAAAAGGAAATATCTTCGTATAAAGACTAGACAGAATCATTCCCACAAACTGCGTTGTGATGTGTGCGTTCAAGTCAAAGAGTTTAACCTTTCTTTTCATAGAGCAGTTAGGAAACACTCTGTTTGTAAAGTCTGCAAGTGGATATTCAGACCTCCTTGAGGCCTTCGTTGGAAACGGGATTTCTTCATATTCTGCTAGACAGAAGAATTCTCAGAAACTTCCTTGTGTTGTGTGTATTCAACTCACAGAGTTGAACGATCGTTTACACAGAGTAGACTTGAGACACTCTTTCTGTGGAATTTGCAAGTGGAGATTTCAGCCGCTTTGAGGTCAATGGTAGAAAAGTAAATATCTTCGTATAAAGACTAGACAGAACGATTCTCAGAAACTCCTTTGTGATTTGTGCGTACAACTCACAGAGTTTAACCTTTCTTTTCATAGAGCAGTTAGGAAACACTCTCTTTGTAAAGTCTGCAAGTGGATATTCAGACCTCTTTGAGGCCTTCGTTGGAAACGGGATTTCTTCATATTCTGCTAGACAGAAGAATTCTCAGTAACTTCCTTGTGTTGTGTTTATTCAACTGACAGAGTTGAACTTTCATTTAGAGAGAGCAGATTTGAAACACTGTTTTTGTGGAATTTGCAAGTGGAGATTTCAAGCTTTGGGGCCAAAGGCAGAAAAGGAAATATCTTCGTATAAAAACTAGACAGAATCATTCTCAGAAACTGCTGCGTGATGTGTGCGTTCAACTCTCAGAGTTTAACTTTTCTTTTCATTCAGCGGTTTGGAAACACTCTGTTTGTATAGTCTGCACGTGGATATTTTGACCACTTAGAGGCCTTCGTTGGAAACGGGTTTTTTTCATGTAAGGCTAGACAGAAGAATTCCCAGTAACTTCCTTGTGTTGTGTGCATTCAACCCACAGAGTTGAACGTTCCCCTAGACAGAGCAGATTTGAAACACTCTATTTGTGCAATTTGCAAGTGTAGTTTTCAAGCTCTTTTAGGTCAACGGCAGAAAAGGAAATATCTTGGTTTCAAAACTAGACAGAATCATTCCCACAAACTGCGTTGTGATGTCTTCGTTCAACACACAGAGTTTAACCTTTCTTTTCATAGAGCAGTTAGGAAACAGTCTGTTTGTAAATTCTGTAAGTGGATATTCTGACATCTTGTGGCCTTCGTTGGAAACGGGATTTCTTCATATTCTGCTAGACAGAAGAATTCTCAGAATCTTCCTTGTGTTGTGTGTATTCAACTCACAGAGGTGAACGGTCCTTTACACAGAGCAGACTTGAAACACTCTTTTTGTGGAATTTGCAAGTGGAGATTTCAGCCGCTTTGAGGTCCATGGTAGAAAAGGAAATATCTTCGTATAAAAACTAGACAGAATGATTCTCAGAACCTCCTTTGTGATGTGTGCGTTCAACTCACAGAGTTTAACCTTTCTTTTCATAGAGCAGTTAGGAAACACTCTGTTTGTAAAGTCTGCAAGTGGATATTCAGACATCCTTGAGGCTTTCGTTGGAAACGGGATTTCTTCATATTCTGCTAGAAAGAAGAATTCTCAGTAACTTCCTTGTGTTGTGTGTATTCAACTGACAGAGTTGAACTTTCATTTAGAGAGAGCAGATTTGAAACACTGTTTTTGTGGAATTTGCAAGTGGAGATATCAAGCGCCTTGGGGCCAAAGGCAGAAAAGGAAATATCTTCGTTTAAAAAGTAGACAGAATGATTCTCAGAAACTCCTTTGTGATGTGTGCGTTCAACTCACAGAGTTTAACTTTTCTTTTCATAGAGCAGTTAGGAAACACTCTGTTTGTAAAGTCTGCAAGTGGATATTCAGACCTCTTTGAGGCCTTCGTTGGAAACGGGATTTCTTCATATTTTGCTAGACAGAAGAATTCCCAGTAACTTCCTTGTGTTGTGTGCACTCAACTCACAGAGTTGAACGTTCCCTTAGACAGAGCAGATTTGAAACACTCTATTTGTGCAATTTGCAAGTGGAGATTTCAAGCGCTTTATGGTCAATGGAAGAAAAGGAAATATCTTCGTTTCAAAACTAGACAGAATGATTCTCAGAAACTTCTTTGTGATGTGTGCGTTCAACTCACAGAGTTTAACCTTTCTTTTCATAGAGCAGTTAGGAAACACTCTGTTTGTAAACTCTGCAAGTGGATATTCAGACCTCTTTGAGGCCATTGTTGGAAACGGGATTTCTTCATACTATGCTAGACAGAAGAATTCTCAGAATCTTCCTTGTGTTGTGTGTATTCAACTCACACAGTTGAACGACTGTTTACACAGAGCAGATGTGAAACACTCTTTTTGTGGAATTTGCAAGTGGAGATTTCAGCCGCTTTGAGGTCAATGGTAGAAAAGGAAATATCTTCGTATAAAAACTAGACAGAATGATTCTCAGAAACTTCTTTGTGATGTGTGCGTTCAACTCACAGAGTTTAACCTTTCTTTTCATAGAGCAGTTAGGAAACACTCTGTTTGTAAACTCTGCAAGTGGATATTCAGACCTCTTTGAGGCCTTCGTTGGAAACGGGATTTCTTCATACTGTGCTAGACAGAAGAATTCTCAGTAACTTCCTTGTGTTGTGTGTATTCAACTCACAGAGTTGAACGATCCTTTACACAGAGCGGACTTGAAACACTCTTTTTGTGGAATTTGCAAGTGGAGATTTCAGGCGCGTTGAGGTCAATGGTAGAAAAGGAAATATCTTCGTATAAAAACTAGACAGAATCATTCTCAGAAAATGCTCTGTGATGTGTGCGTTCAACTCTCAGAGTTTAACTTTTCTTTTCATTCAGCACTTTGGAAACACTCTGTTTCTAAAGTCTGCACGTGGATATTTTGACCACTTAGAGGTCTTTGTTGGAAACGGGTTTTTTTCACGTAAGGCTAGACAGAAGAATTCCCAGTAACTTCCTTGTGTTGTGTACATTCAACTCACAGAGTTGAACGTTCCCTTAGACAGAGCAGATTTGAAACACTCTTTTTGTGCAATTGGCAAATGGAGATTTCAAGCGCTTTAAGGTCAATGGCAGAAAAGGAAATATCTTCGTTTCAAAACTAGACAGAATGATTCTCAGAAAATTCTTTGTGATGTGTGCATCAAATCACAGAGTTTAACCTTTCTTTTCATAGAGCAGTTAGGAAACACTCTGTTTGTAAACTCTGCAAGTGGATATTCAGACCTCTTTGAGGCCTTCGTTGGAAACGGGATTTCTTCATACTGTGCTAGACAGAAGAATTCTCAGTAACTTCCTTGTGTTGTGTGTATTCAACTCACAGAGTTGAACGATCCTTTACACAGAGCAGACTTGAAACGCTCTTTTTGTGGAATTTGCAAGTGGAGATTTCAGCCGCGTTGAGGTCAATGGTAGAAAAGGAAATATCTTCGTATAAAAACTAGACAGAATGATTCTCAGAAACTCCTTTGTGATGTGTGCTGTTCAACTCACAGAGTTTAACCTTTCTTTTCATAGAGCAGTTAGGAAACACTCTGTTTGTAAAGTCTGCAAGTGGATATTCAGACCTCTTTGAGGCCTTCGTTGGAAACGGGTTTTTTTCATATAAGGCTAGACAGAAGAATTCTCAGTAACTTCCTTGTGTTGTGTGTATTCAACTGACAGAGTTGAACTTTCATTTAGAGAGAGCAGATTTGAAACACTGTTTTTGTGGAATTTGCAAATGGAGATTTCAAGCGCTTTGGGGCCAAAGGCAGAAAAGGAAATATCTTCGTATAAAAACTAGACAGAATCATTCTCAGAAACTGCTGCGTGATGTGTGCGTTCAACTCTCAGAGTTTAACTTTTCTTTTCATTCAGCGGTTTGGAAACACTCTGTTTGTAAAGTCTGCACGTGGAAATTTTGACCACTTAGAGGCCTTCGTTGGAAACGGGTTTTTTTCATGTAAGGCTAGACAGAAGAATTCCCAGTAACTTCCTTGTGTTGTGTGCATTCAACTCACAGAGTTGAACGTTCCCTTAGACAGAGCAGATTTGAAACACTCTATTTGTGCAATTTGAAAGTGTAGATTTCAAGCGCTTTAAGGTCAACGGCAGAAAAGGAAATATCTTCGTTTCAAAACTAGACAGAATGATTCTCATAAACTCCTTTGTGATGGGTGCGTTCAACTCACAGAGTTTAACCTTTCTTTTCATAGAGCAGTTAGGAAACACTCTGTTTGAAAAGTCTGCAAGTGGATATTCAGACCTCCTTGAGGCCTTCGTTGGAAACGGGATTTCTTCATATTCTGCTAGACAGAAGAATTCTCAGTAACTTCCTTGTGTTGTGTTTATTCAACTCACAGAGTTGAATGATCCTTTACACAGAGCAGACTTGAAACACTCTTTTTGTGGAATTTGCAAGTGGAGATTTCAGCCGCTTTGAGGTCAATGGTAGAATAGGAAATATCTTCGTATAAAGACTAGACAGAATGATTCTCAGAAACTCCTTTGTGATGTGTGCGTTCAACTCACAGAGTTTAACCTTTCTTTTCATAGAGCAGTTAGGAAACACTCTGTTTGTAAAGTCTGCAAGTGGATATTCAGACCTCCTTGAGGCCTTCGTTGGAAACAGGATTTCTTCATATTCTGCTAGACAGAAGAATTCTCAGTAACTTCTTTGTGTTGTGTGTATTCAACTCACAGAGTTGAACGATCCTTTACACAGAGCAGACTTGAAACACTCTTTTTGTGGAATTTGCAAGTGGAGATTACAGCCGCTTTGACGTCAATGGTAGAAAAGGAAATATATTCGTATAAAGACTAGACAGAATCATTCTCAGAAACTACTCTGTGATGTGTGCGTTCAACTCTCCGAGTTTAACTTTTCTTTTCATTCAGTAGTTTGGAAACACTCTGTTTGTAAATCTGCACGTGGATATTTTGACGACTTAGAGGCTTTCGTTGGAAACGGGTTTTTTTCATGTAAGGCTAGACAGAAGAATTCCCAGTAACTTCCTTGTGTTGTGTGCATTCAACTCACAGAGTTGAACGTTCCCTTAGACAGAACAGATTTGAAACACTCTATTTGTGCAATTTGCAAGTGTAGATTTCAAGCGCTTTAAGGTCAATGGCAGAAAAGGAAATATCTTCGTTTCAAAACTAGACAGAATCATTCCCACAAACTGCGTTGTGATGTGCTCGTTCAACTCACAGAGTTTAACCTTTCTGTTCATAGAGCAGTTAGGAAACACTCTGTTTGTAAAGTCTGCAAGTGGATATTCAGACCTCCTTGAGGCCTTCGTTGGAAACGGGATTTCTTCATATTCTGCTAGACAGAATAATTCTCAGTAACTTCCTTGTGTTGTGTGTATTCAACTCACAGAGTTGTACGATCCTTTACACAGAGCAGACTTGAAACACTCTTTTTGTGGAATTTGCAAGTGGAGATTTCAGCCGCTTTGAGGTCAATGGTAGAAAAGGAAATATCTTCGTATAAAGACTAGACAGAATGATTCTCAGAAACTCCTTTGTGATGTGTGCGTTCAACTCACAGAGTTCAACCTTTCTTTTCATAGAGCAGTTAGGAAACACTCTGTTTGTAAAGTCTGCAAGTGGATATTCAGACCTCCTTGAGGCCTTCGTTGGAAACGGGATTTCTTCATATTATGCTAGACAGAAGAATTCTCAGTAACTTCCTTGTGTTGCGTGTATTCAACTCACAGAGTTGAACGATCCTTTACACAGAGCAGACTTGAAACACTCTTTTTGTGGAATTTGCAAGTGGAGATTTCAGCCGCTTTGAGGTCAATGGTAGAATAGGAAATATCTTCCTATAGAAACTAGACAGAATCATTCTCAGAAACTGCTGCGTGATGTGTGCGTTCAACTCTCAGAGTTTAACTTTTCTTTTCATTCAGCGGTTTGGAAACACTCTGTTTGTAAAGTCTGCACGTGGAAATTTTGACCACTTAGAGGCCTTCGTTGGAAACGGGTTTTTTTCATTTAAGGCTAGACAGAAGAATTCCCAGTAACTTCCTTGTGTTGTGTGCATTCAACTCACAGAGTTGAACGTTCCCTTAGACAGAGCAGATTTGAAACACTCTATTTGTGCAATTTGCAAGTGTAGATTTCAAGCGCTTTAAGGTCAACGGCAGAAAAGGAAATATCTTCGTTTCAAAACTAGACAGAATCATTCCCACAAACTGCGTTGTGATGTGTTCGTTCAACTCAGAGTTTAACCTTTCTGTTCATAGAGCAGTTAGGAAACACTCTGTTTGTAAAGTCTGTAAGTGGATATTCTGACATCTTGTGGCCTTCGTTGGAAACGGGATTTCTTCATATTCTGCTAGACAGAAGAATTCTCAGTAACTTCCTTGTGTTGTGTGTATTCAACTCACAGAGTTGAACGATCCTTTACACAGAGCAGACTTGTAACACTCTTTTTGTGGAATTTGCAAGTGGAGATTTCAGCCGCTTTGAAGTCCAAGGTAGAAAAGGAAATATCTTCCTATAAAAACTAGACAGAATGATTCTCAGAAACTCCTTTCTGATGTGTGCGTTCAACTCGCAGAGTTTAACTTTTCTTTTCATAGAGCAGTTAGGAAACACTCTGTTTGTAAAGTCTGCAAGTGGATATTCGGACCTCTTTGAGGCCTTCGTTGGAAACGGGAATTCTTCATATTATGCTAGACAGAAGAATTCCCAGTAACTTCCTTGTGTTCTGTGTGTTCAACTCACAGAGTTGAACTTTCATTTACACAGAGCAGATTTGAAACACTCTTTTTGTGGAATTTGCAAGTGGAGATTTCAAGCGCTTTGAGGCCAAAGGCAGAAAAGGAAATATCTTCGTTTCAAAACTAGACAGAATCATTCTCAGAAACTGCTGCGTGATGTGTGCGTTCAACTCTCAGAGTTTAACTTTTCTTTTCATTCAGCGGTTTGGAAACACTCTGTTTGTAAAGTCTGCACGTGGAAATTTTGACCACTTAGAGGCCTTCGTTGGAAACGGGTTTTTTTCATGTAAGGCTAGACAGAAGAATTCCCAGTAACTTCCTTGTGTTGTGTGCATTCAACTCACAGAGTTGAACGTTCCATTAGACAGAGCAGATTTGAAACACTCTATTTGTGCAATTTGCAAGTGTAGATTTCAAGCGCTTTAAGGTCAATGGCAGAAAAGGAAATATCTTCGTTTCAAAACTAGACAGAATGATTCTGAGAAACTCCTTTGTGATGTGTGCGTTCAACTCACAGAGTTTAACTTTTCTTTTCATAGAGCAGTTAGGAAACACTCTGTTTGTAAAGTCTGCAAGTGGATATTCAGACCTCCTTGAGGCCTTGGTTGGAAACGGGATTTCTTCATATTATGCTAGACAGAATAATTCTCAGTAACTTCCTTGTGTTGTGTGTATTCAACTCACAGAGTTGAACGATCCTTTACAGAGAGCAGAGTTGAAACACTCTTTTTGTGGAATTTGCAAGTGGAGATTTCAGCCGCTTTGAGGTCAATGGTAGAAAAGGAAATATCTTTGTATAAAGACTAGACAGAATGATTCTCAGAAACTCCTTTGTGATGTGTGCGTTCAACTCACAGAGTTTAACTTTTCTTTTCATAGAGCAGTTAGGAAACACTCTGTTTGTAAAGTCTGCAAGAGGATATTCAGACCTCTTTAAGGCCTTCGTTGGAAAAGGGATTTCTTCATATTCTGCTAGACAGAAGAATTCTCAGTAACTTCCTTGTGTTGTGTGTATTCAACTGACAGAGTTGAACTTTCATTTAGAGAGAGCAGATTTGAAACACTGTTTTTGTGGAATTTGCAAGTGGAGATTTCAAGCACTTTGGGGCCAAAGGCAGAAAACGAAATATCTTCGTATAAAAAGTAGACAGAATCATTCTCAGAAACTGCTGCGTGATGTGTGCGTTCAACTCTCAGACTTTAACTTTTCTTTTCATTCAGCGGTTTGGAAACACTCTGTTTGTAAAGTCTGCACGTGGATATTTTGACCACTTAGAGGCCTTCGTTGGAAACGGGTTTTTTTCATGTAAGGCTAGACAGAAGAATTCCCAGTAACTTCCTTGTGTTGTGTACATTCAACTCACAGAGTTGAACGTTCCCTTAGACAGAGCAGATTTGAAACACTCTTTTTGTGCAATTGGCAAATGGAGATTTCAAGCGCTTTAAGTTCAATGGCAGAAAAGGAAATATCTTCGTTTCAAAACTAGACAGAATCATTCCCACAAACTGCGTTGTGATGTGTTCGTTCAACTCACAGAGTTTAACCTTTCCGTTCATAGAGCAGTTAGGAAACACTCTCTAAAGTCTGTAAGTGGATATTCAGATCTCCTTGAGGTCTTCGTTGGAAACGGGATTTCTTCATATTCTGCTAGACAGAAGAATTCTCAGTAACTTTCCTTGTGTTGTGTGTATTCAACTCACAGAGTTGAACGATCCTTTACACAGAGCAGACTTGTAACACTCTTTTTGTGGAATTTGCAAGTGGAGATTTCAGCCACTTTGAAGTCAAAGGTAGAAAAGGAAATAACTTCCTATAAAAACTAGACAGAATGATTCTCAGAAACTCCTTTGTGATGTGTGCGTTCAACTCACAGAGTTTAACCTTTCTTTTCATAGAGCAGTTAGGAAACACTCTGTTTGTAAAGTCTGCAAGTGGATATTCTGACCTCTTTGAGGCCTTCGTTGGAAACGGGTTTTTTTCATATAAGGCTAGACAGAAGTAATCTCAGTAACTTCCTTGTGTTGTGTGTATTCAACTGACAGAGTTGAAATTTCATTTAGAGGGAGCAGATTTGAAACACTGTTTTTGTGGAATTTGCAAGTGGAGATTTCAAACGCTTTGGGGCCAAAGGCAGAAAAGGAAACATCTTCGTATAAAAACTAGACAGAATCATTCTCAGAAACTGCTGCGTGATGTGTGCGTTCAACTCTCAGAGTTTAACTTTTCTTTTCATTCAGCGGTTTGGAAACACTCTGTTTGTAAAGTCTGCACGTGGAAATTTTGACCACTTAGAGGCCTTCGTTGGAAACGGGATTTTTTCATGTAAGGCTAGACAGAAGAATTCCCAGTAACTTCCTTGTGTTGTGTGCATTCAACTCACAGAGTTGAACGTTCCCTTAGACAGAGCAGATTTGAAACACTCTATTTGTGCAATTTGCAAGTGTAGTTTTCAAGCTCTTTAAGGTCAACGGCAGAAAAGGAAATATCTTCGTTTCAAAACTAGACCGAATCATTCCCACAAACTGCGTTGTGATGTGTTCGTTCAACTCACAGAGTTTAACCTTTCTGTTCATAGAGCAGTTAGGAAATACTCTGTTTGTAAAGTCTGCAAGTGGATATTCAGACCTCCTTGAGGCCTTCGTTGGAAACGGGATTTCTTCATATTCTGCTAGACAGAATAATTCTCAGTAACTTTCCTTGTGTTGTGTGTATTCAACTCACAGAGTTGAACGATCCTTTACACAGAGCAGACTTGAAACACTCTATTTGTAGAATTTGCAAGTGGAGATTTCAGCCGCTTTGAGGTCAATAGTAGAAAAGGAAATATCTTCGTAGAAAAACTAGACAGAATGATTCTCAGAAACTCCTTTGTGATGTGTGCGTTCAACTCACAGAGTTTAACCTTTCTTTTCATAGAGCAGTTAGGAAACACTGTGTTTGTAAAGTCTGCAAGTGGATATTCAGACCTCCTTGAGGCCTTCGTTGGAAACGGGATTTCTTCATATTATGCTAGACAGAAGAATTCTCAGTAACTTCCTTGTGTTGTGTGTATTCAACTCACAGAGTTGAACGATCCTTTACACAGAGCATACTTGAAACACTCTTCTTGTGGAATTTGCAAGTGGAGATTTCAGCCACTTTGAGGTCAATGGTAGAATAGGAAATATCTTCCTATAGAAACTAGACAGAATGATTCTCAGAAACTCCTTTGTGATGTGTGTGTTCAACTCACAGAGTTTAACCTTTCTTTTCATACAGCATTTAGTAAACACTCTGTTTATAACGTCTGCAAGTGGATATTCAGACCCCTTTGAGGCCTTCGTTGGAAACGGGATTTCTTCATATTATGCTAGACAGAAGAATTCCCAGTAACTTCCTTGTGTTGTGTGCATTCAACTCACAGAGTTGAACGTTCCCTTAGACAGAGCAGATTTGAAACACTCTATTTGTGCAATTTGCAAGTGTAGATTTCAAGCGCTTTAAGGTCAACGGCAGAAAAGGAAATATCTTCGTTTCAAAACTAGACAGAATCATTACCACAAACTGCGTTGTGATGTGTTCGTTCAACCCACAGAGTTTAAGCTTTCTCTTCATAGAGCAGTTAGGAAACACTCTGTTTGTGAAGTCTGTAAGTGGATATTCTGACATCTTGTGGCCTTCGTTGGAAACGGGATTTCTTCATATTCTGCTAGACAGAAGAATTCTCAGAATCTTCCTTGTGTTGTGTGTATTCAACTCACAGAGTTGAACGATCCTTTACACAGAGCAGACTTGAAACACTCTTTTTGTGGAATTTGTAAGTGGAGATTTCAGCCGCTTTGAGGTCCATGGTAGAAAAGGAAATATCTTCGTATAAAAACTAGACAGAATGATTCTCAGAAACTCCTTTGTGATGTGTGCATTCAACTCACAGAGTTCAACCTTTCTTTTCATAGAGCAGTTGGGAAACACTCTGTTTGTAAAGTCTGCAAGTGGATATTCAGACTTCTTTGAGGCCTTCGTTGGAAGCGGGATTTCTTCATGTTCTGCTAGACAGAAGAATTCCCAGTAACTTCCCTTGTGTTGGCTGTGTTCAACTCACAGAGTTGAACTTTCATTTACACAGAGCAGATTTGAAACACTCTTTTTGTGGAATTTGCAAATGGAGATTTCAAGCGCTTTGAGGCCAAAGGCAGAAAAGGAAATATCTTCGTATAAAAACTCGACAGAATCATTCTCAGAAACTGCTCTGCGATGTGTGCGTTCAACTCTCAGAGTTTAACTTTTCTTTTCATTCAGCAGTTTGGAAACACTCTGTTTGTAAAGTCTGCACGTGGATAACTTGACCACTTAGAGGCCTTCGTTGGAAACGGGTTTTTTTCATGTAAGGCTAGACAGAAGAATTCCCAGTAACTTCCTTGTGTTGTGTGCATTAAACTCACATAGTTGAACGTTTCCTTAGACAGAGCTGAATTGAAACACGCTATTTGTGCAATTTGCAAGTGTAGATTTCAAGCGCTTTAAGGTCAATGGCAGAAAAGGAAATATCTTCGTTTCAAAACTAGACAGAATCATTCCCAAAAACTGCGTTATGATGTGTTCGTTCATCTCACAGAGTTTAACCTTTCTTTTCATAGAGCAGTTAGGAAACAGTCTGTTTGTAAATTCTGTAAGTGGATATTCTGACATCTTGTGGCCTTCGTTGGAAACGGGATTTCTTCATATTCTGCTAGACAGAAGAATTCTCAGTAACTTCCTTGTGTTGTGTGTATTCAACTCACAGAGTTGAACGATCATTTACACAGAGCAGACTTGAAACACTCTTTTTGTGGAATTTGCAAGTGGAGATTTCAGCCGCTTTGAGGTCAATGGTAGAAAAGGAAATATCTTCGTATAAAGACTAGACAGAACGATTCTCAGAAACTCCTTTGTGATGTGTGCGTTCAACTCACAGAGTTTAACCTTTCTTTTCATAGAGCAGTTAGGAAACACTTTGTTTGTAAAGTCTGCAAGTGGATATTCAGACCTCTTTGAGGCCTTCGTTGGAAACGGGATTTCTTCCTATTCTGCTAGACAGAAGAATTCTCAGTAACTTCCTTGTGTTGTGTGTATTCAACTCACAGAGTTGAACGATCCTTTACACAGAGCAGAGTTGAAACACTCTTTTTGTGGAATTTGCAAGTGGAGATTTCAGCCGCTTTGAGGTCAATAGTAGAAAAGGAAATATCTTCGTAGAAAAACTAGACAGAATCATTCTCAGAAAGTGCTCTGCGATGTGTGCGTTCAACTCTCAGAGTTTAACTTTGCTTTTCATTCAGCAGTTTGGAAACACTCTGTTTGTAAAGTCTGCACGTGGATAATTTGACCACTTAGAGGCCTTCGTTGGAAACGGGTTTTTTTCATGTAAGGCTAGACAGAAGAATTCCCAGTAACTTCCTTGTGTTGTGTACATTCAACTCACAGAGTTGAACGTTCCCTTAGACAGAGCAGATTTGAAACACTCTTTTTGTGCAATTGGCAAGTGGAGATTTCAAGCGCTTTGAGGTCAATGGCAGAAAAGGAAATATCTTCGTTTCAAAACTAGACAGAATCATTCCCACAAACTGCGTTGTGATGTGTTCGTTCAACTCACAGAGTTTAACCTTTCTTTTCATAGAGCAGTTAGGAAACAGTCTGTTTGAAAATTCTGTAAGTGGATATTCTGACATCTTGTGGCCTTCGTTGGAAACGGGATTTCTTCATATTACTGCTAGACAGAAGAATTCTCAGTAACTTCCGCGTGTTGTGTGTATTCAACTCACAGAGTTGAACGATCCTTTACACAGAGCAGACTTGAAACACTCTTTTTGTGGAATTTGCAAGTGGAGATTTCAGCCGCTTTGAGGTCAATGGTAGAAAAGGAAATACCTTCCTATAAAAACTAGACAGAATGATTCTCAGAAACTCCTTTGTGATGTGTGCGTTCAACTCACAGAGTTTAACCTTTCTTTTCATAGAGCAGTTAGGAAACACTCTGTTTGTAAAGTCTGCAAGTGGATATTCAGACCTCTTTGAGGCCTTCGTTGAAAACGGGATTTCTTCATATTCTGCTAGGGAGAAGAATTCTCAGTAACTTCCTTGTGTTGTGTGTATTCAACTGACAGAGTTGAACTTTCATGTAGAGAGAGCAGATTTGAAACACTGTTTTTGTGGAATTTGCAAGTGGAGATTTCAAGCGCTTTGGGGCCAAGGGCAGAAAAGGAAATATCTTCGTATAAAAACTAGACAGAATCATTCTCAGAAACTGCTCTGCGATGTGTGCGTTCAACTCTCAGAGTTTAACTTTTCTTTTCATTCAGCAGTTTGGAAGCACTCTGTTTGTAAAGTCTGCACGTGGATAATTTGACCACTTAGAGGCCTTCGTTGGAAACGGGTTTTTTTCATATAAGGCTAGACAGAAGAATTCCCAGTAACTTCCTTGTGTTGTGTGCATTCAACTCACAGAGTTGAACGTTCCCTTAGACAGAGCAGATTTGAAACACTCTATTTGTGCAATTTGCAAGTGTAGATTTCAAGCGCTTTAAGGTCAATGGCAGAAAAGGAAATATCGTCGTTTCAAAACTAGACAGAATGATTCTCAGAATCTCCTTTGTGATGTGTGCGTTCAACTCACAGAGTTCAACCTTTCTTTTCATAGAGCAGTTGGGAAACACTCTGTTTGTAAAGTCTGCAAGTGGATATTCAGACTTCTTTGAGGCCTTCGTTGGAAGCGGGATTTCTTCATGTTCTGCTAGACAGAAGAATTCTCAGTAACTTCTTTGTGTTGCGTGTATTCAACTCACAGAGTTGAACGATCCTTTACACAGAGGAGACTTGAAACACTCTTTTTGTGGAATTTGCAAGTGGAGATTACAGCCGCTTTGAGGTCAATGGTAGAAAAGGAAATATCTTCGTATAAAGACTAGACAGAATGATTCTCAGAAACTCCTTTGTGATGTGTGCGTTCAACTCACAGAGCTTAACCTTTCTTTTCATAGAGCAGTTAGGAAACACTCTGTTTGTAAAGTCTGCAAGTGGATATTCAGACACCTTTGAGGCCTTCGTTGGAAACGGGATTTCTTCATGTTCTGCTAGACACAAGAATTCCCAGTAACTTCCTTGTGTTGTGTGTGTTCAACTCACAGAGTTGAACTTTGATTTACACAGAGCAGATTTGAAACACTCTTTTTGTGGAATTTGCAAGAGGAGATTTCAAGCGCTTTGAGGCCAAAGGCAGAAAAGGAAATATCTTCGTATAAAAACTAGACAGAATCATTCTCAGAAACTGCTCTGCGATGTGTGCGTTCAACTCTCAGAGTTTAACTTCTCTTTTCATTCAGCAGTTTGGAAACACTCTGTTTGTAAAGTCTGCACGTGGATAACTTGACCACTTAGAGGCCTTCGTTGGAAACGGGTTTTTTTCATGTAAGGCTAGACAGAAGAATTCCCAGTAACTTCCTTGTGTTGTGTACATTCAACTCACAGAGTTGAACGATCCCTTAGTCAGAGCAGATTTGAAACACTCTTTTTGTGCAATTGGCAAGTGGAGACTTCAAGCGCTTTAAGGTCAATGGCAGAAAAGGAAATATCTTCGTTTCAAAACTAGACAGAATCATTCCCACAAACTGCGTTGTGATGTGTTCGTTCATCTCACAGAGTTTAACCTTTCTTTTCATAGAGCAGTTAGGAAACAGTCTGTTTGTAAATTCTGTAAGTGGATATTCTGACATCTTGTGGCCTTCGTTGGAAACGGGATTTCTTCATATTCTGCTAGACAGAAATAATTCTCAGTAACTTCCTTGTGTTGTGTGTATTCAACTCACAGAGTTGAACGATCCTTTACAGAGAGCAGACTTGAAACACTCTTTTTGTGGAATTTGCAAGTGGAGATTTCAGCCGCTTTGAGGTCAATGGTAGAATAGGAAATATCTTCCAATAGAAACTAGACAGAATGATTCTCAGAAACTCCTTTGTGATGTGTGTGTTCAACTCACAGAGTTTCACCTTTCTTTTCATAGAGCAGTTAGGAAACACTCTGTTTGTAAAGTCTGCAAGTGGATATTCAGACCTCCTTGAGGCCTTCGTTGGAAACGGGATTTCTTCATATTCTGCTAGACAGAAGAATTCCCAGTAACTTCCTTGTGTTGTGTGTGTTCAACTCACAGAGTTGAACTTTCATTTACCCAGAGCAGATTTGAAACACTCTTTTTGTGGAATTTGCAAGTGGAGATTTCAAGCGCTTTGAGACCAAAGGCAGAAAAGGAAATATCTTCGTTTCAAAACTAGACAGAATCATTCTCATAAACTGCTCTGCGATGTGTGCGTTCAACTCTCAGAGTTTAACTTTTCTTCTCATTCAGCAGTTTGGAAACACTCTGTTTGTAAAGTCTGCACGTGGATAATTTGACCACTTAGAGGCCTTCGTTGGAAACGGGTTTTTTTCATGTAAGGCTAGACAGAAGAATTCCCAGTAACTTCCTTGTGTTGTGTACATTCAACTCACAGAGTTGAACGTTCCCTTAGACAGAGTAGATTTGAAACACTCTTTTTGTGCAACTGGCAAATGGAGATTTCAAGCGCTTTAAGGTCAATGGCAGAAAAGGAAATATCTTCGTTTCAAAACTAGACAGAATGATTCTCATGAACTCCTTTGTGATGTGTGCGTTCAACTCACAGAGTTTAACCTTTGTTTTCATAGAGCAGTTAGGAAACACTCTGTTTGTAAAGTCTGCAAGTGGATATTCAGACCTCCTTGAGGCCTTTTTTGGAAACGGGATTTCTTCATATTCTGCTAGACAGAAGAATTCTCAGTAACTTCCTTGTGTTGTGTGTATTCAACTCACAGAGTTGAATGATCCTTTACACAGAACAGTCTTGAAACACTCTTTTTGTGGAATTTGGAAGTGGAGATTTCAGCCGCTTTGAGGTCAATGGTAGAATAGGAAATATCTTCCTATAGAAACTAGACAGAATGATTCTCAGAAACTCCTTTGTGATGTGGGCGTTCAACTCACAGAGTTTAACCTTTCTTTTCATAGAGCAGTTAGGAAACACTCTGTTTGTAAAGTCTGCAAGTGGATATTCAGACATCTTTGAGGCTTTCGTTGGAAACGGGATTTCTTCATATTCTGATATACAGAAGAATTCTCAGAAACTTCCTTGTGTTGTGTGTATTCAACTCACAGAGTTGAACGATCGTTTACACAGAGCAGACTTGAGACACTCTTTTTGTGGAATTTGTAAGTGGAGATTTCAGCCGCTTTGAGGTCAATGGTAGAGAAGGAAATATCTTCATATAAAAACTAGACAGAATCATTCTCAGAAACTACTCTGCAATGTGTGCGTTCAACTCTCAGAGTTTAACTCTTCTTTTCATTCAGCAGTTTGGAAACACTCTGTTTGTAAACTCTGCACGTGGATATTTTGACCACTTAGAGGCCTTCGTTGGAAACGGGTTTTTTTCCTGTAAGGCTAGACAGAAGAATTCCCAGTAACTTCCTTGTGTTGTGTGCATTCAACTCACAGAGTTGAACGTTCCCTTAGACAGAGCAGATTTGAAACACTCTATTTGTGCAATTTGCAAGTGTAGTTTTCAAGCTCTTTAAGGTCAACGGCAGAAAAGGAAATATCTTCGTTTCAAAACTAGACAGAATCATTCCCACAAACTGCGTTGTGATGTGTTCGTTCAACTCACAGAGTTTAACCTTTCTTTTCATAGAGCAGTTAGGAAACAGTCTGTTTGTAAATTCTGTAAGTGGATATTCTGACATCTTGTGGCCTTCGTTGGAAACGGGATTTCTTCATATTCTGCTAGACAGAAGAATTCTCAGTAACTTCCTTGTGTTGTGTGTATTCAACTCACAGAGTTGAACGATCCTTTACACAGAGCAGACATGAAACACTCTTTTTGTGGAATTTGCAAGTGGAGATTTCAGCCGCTTTGGGGTCAATGGTAGAAAAGGAAATATCTTCGTATAAAGACTAGACAGAATGATTCTCAGTAACTCCTTTGTGATGTGTGCGTTCAACTCACAGAGTTTAACCTTTCTTTTCATAGAGCAGTTAGGAAACACTCTGTTTGTAAAGTCTGCAAGTGGATATTCAGACCTCTTTGAGGCCTTCGTTGGAAACGGGTTTTTTTCATATAAGGCTAGACAGAAGAATTCCCAGTAACTTCCTTGTGTTGTGTGTGTTCAACTCACAGAGTTGAACTTTCATTTACACAGAGCAGATTTGAAACACTCTTTTTGTGGAATTTGCAAGTGGAGATTTCAAGCGCTTTGAGGCCAAAGGCAGAAAAGGAAATATCTTCGTTTAAAAACTAGACAGAATCATTCTCAGAAACTGCTCTGCGATGTGTGCGTTCAACTCTCAGAGTTTAACTTTTCTTTTCATTCAGCAGTTTGGAAACACTCTGTTTGTAAAGTCTGCACGTGGATATTTTGACCATTTAGAGGCCTTCGTTGGAAACGGGTTTTTTTCCTGTAAGGCTAGACAGTAGAATTCCCAGTAACTTCCTTGTGTTGTGTACATTCAACTCACAGAGTTGAACGTTCCCTAAGACAGAGCAGATTTGAAACACTCTTTTTGTGCAATTGGCAAGTGGTTATTTCAGCCGCTTTGAGGTCAATGGTAGAAAAGGAAATATCTTCGTATAAAAACTAGACAGAATGATTCTCAGAAACTCCTTTGTGATGTGTGCGTTCAACTCACACAGTTTAACCTTTCTTTTCATAGAGCAGTTAGGAAACACTCTGTTTGTAAAGTCTGCAAGTGGATATTCAGACCTCCTTGAGGCCTTCGTTGGAAACGGGATTTCTTCATATTATGCTAGAAAGAAGAATTCTCAGAAACTTCGTTGTGTTGCGTGTTTTCAACTCACAGAGTTCAACGATCCTTTACACAGAGTAGACTTGAAACACTCTTTTTGTGGAATTTGCAAGTGGAGATTTCAGCCGCTTAGAGGTCAATGGTAGAAAAGGAAATATCTTCGTATAAAAACTAGACAGAATGATTCTCAGAAACTCCTTTGTGATGTGTGCGTTCAACTCACAGAGTTCAACCTTTCTTTTCATAGAGCAGTTGGGAAACACTCTGTTTGTAAAGCCTGCAAGTGGATATTCAGACTTCTTTGAGGCCTTCGTTGGAAGCGGGATTTCTTCATATTCTGCTAGACAGAAGAATTCCCAGTAACTTCCTTGTGTTGTGTGTGTTCAACTCACAGAGTTGAACGTTCCCTCAGACAGAGCAGATTTGAAACACTCTTTTTGTGGAATTTGCAAGTGGAGATTTCAAGCGCTTTGAGGCCAAAGGCAGAAAAGGAAATATCTTCGTATAAAAACTAGACAGAATCATTCTCAGAAACTGCTCTGCGATGTGTGCGTTCAACTCTCAGAGTTTAACTTTTCTTTTCATTCAGCAGTTTGGAAACACTCTGTTTGTAAAGTCTGCACGTGGATAATTTGACCACTTAGAGGCCTTCGTTGGAAACGGGTTTTTTTCATGTAAGGCTAGACAGAAGAATTCCCAGTAACTTCCTTGTGTTGTGTGCATTCAACTCACAGAGTTGAACGTTCCCTTAGACAGAGCAGATTTGAAACACTCTATTTGTGCAATTTGCAAGCGTAGATTTCAAGCGCTTTAAGGTCAATGGCAGAAAAGGAAATATCTTCGTTTCAAAACTAGACAGAATCATTCCCACAAACTGCGTTGTGATGTGTTCGTTCAACTAACAGAGTTTAACCTTTCTGTTCATAGAGCAGTTAGGAAACACTCTGTTTGTAAAGTCTGTAAGTGGATATTCTGACATCTTGTGGCCTTCGTTGGAAACGGGATTTCTTCATATTCTGCTAGACAGAAGAATTCTCAGTAACTTCCTTGTGTTGTGTGTATTCAACTCACAGAGTTGAAGGATCCTTTACAGAGAGCAGGCTTGAAACACTCTTTTTGTGGAATTTGCAAGTGGAGATTTCAGCCGCTTTGAGGTCAATGGTAGAATAGGAAATATCTTCTTATAGAAACTAGACAGAATGATTCTCAGAAACTCCTTTGTGATGTGTGTGTTCAACTCACAGAGTTTAACCTTTCTTTTCATAGAGCAGTTAGTAAACACTCTGTTTATAAAGTCTGCAAGTGGATATTCAGACCCCTTTGGGGCCTTCGTTGGAAACGGGATTTCTTCATATTATGCTAGACAGAAGATTTCCCAGTAACTTCCTTGTGTTGTGTGTTTTCAACTCACAGAGTTGAACTTTCATTTACACAGAGCAGATTTGAAACACACTTTTTGTGGAATTTGCAAATGGAGATTTCAAGCGCTTTGAGGCCAAAGGCAGAAAAGGAAATATCTTCGTTTCAAAACTAGACAGAATCATTCTCAGAAACTGCTCTGCGATGTGTGCGTTCAACTCTCAGAGTTTAAATTTTCTTTTCATTCAGCAGTTTGGAAACACTCTGTTTGTAAAGTCTGCACGTGGATATTTTGACCACTTAGAAGCCTTCGTTGGAAACGGGTTTTTTTCCTGTAAGGCTAGACAGAAGAATTCCCAGTAACTTCCTTGTGTTGTGTACATTCAACTCACAGAGTTGAACGTTTCCTTAGACAGAGCAGATTTGAAACACTCTTTTTGTGCAATTGGCAAGTGGAGATTTCAAGCGCTTTAAGGTCAATGGCAGAAAAGGAAATATCTTCGTTTCAAAACTAGACAGAATCATTCCCACAAACTGCGTTGTGATGTGTACGTTCAACTCACAGAGTTTAACCTTTCTGTTCATAGAGCAGTTAGGAAACACTCTGTTTGTAAAGTCTGTAAGTGGATATTCTGACATCTTGTGGCCTTCGTTGGAAACGGGATTTCTTCATATTCTGCTAGACAGAATAATTCTCAGTAACTTCCTTGTGTTGTGTGTATTCAAGTCACAGAGTTGAACGATCCTTTACAGAGAGCAGACTTGAAACACTCTTTTTGTGGAATTTGCAAGTGGAGATTTCAGCCGCTTTGAGGTCAATGTTAGAAAAGGAAATATCTTCGTATAAAGACTAGACAGAATGATTCTCAGAAACTCCTTTGTGATGTGTGCGTTCAACTCACAGAGTTCAACCTTTCTTTTAATAGAGCAGTTGGGAAACACTCTGTTTGTAAAGTCTGCAAGTGGATATTCAGACTTCTTTGAGGCCTTCGTTGGAAGCGGGATTTCTTCATATTCGGCTAGACAGAAGAATTCTCGGTAACTTCCTTGTGTTGTGTGTATTCAACTCACAGAGTTGAACGATCCTTTACACAGAGCGGACTTGAAACACTCTTTTTGTGGAATTTGCAAGTGGAGATTTCAGCCGCGTTGAGGTCAATGGTAGAAAAGGAAATATCTTCGTATAAAAACTAGACAGAATGATTCTCAGAAACTCCTTTGTGATGTGTGCGTTCAACTCACAGAGTTCAACCTTTCTTTTCATAGAGCAGTTAGGAAACACTCTGTTTGTAATGTCTGCAAGTGGATATTCAGACCTCCTTGAGGCCTTCGTTGGAAACGGGATTTCTTCATATTATGCTAGACAGAAGAATTCTCAGTAACTTCCTTGTGTTGTGTGTATTCAACTGACAGACTTGAACTTTCATTTAGAGAGAGCAGATTTGAAACACTGTTTTTGTGGAATTTGCAAGTGGAGATTTCAAGCGCTTTGGGGCCAAAGGCAGAAAAGGAAATATCTTCGTATAAAAAGTAGACAGAATCATTCTCAGAAACTGCTCTGCGATGTGTGCGTTCAACTCTCAGAGTTTAACTTTTCTTTTCATTCAGCAGTTTGGAAACACTCTGTTTGTAAGGTCTGCACGTGGATAATTTGACCACTTAGAGGCCTTCGTTGGAAACGGGTTTTTTTCATGTAAGGCTAGACAGAAGAATTCCCAGTAACTTCCTTGTGTTGTGTGCATTCAACTCACAGAGTTGAACGTTCCCTTAGACAGAGCAGATTTGAAACACTCTATTTGTGCAATTTGCAAGTGTAGATTTCAAGCGCTTTAAGGTCAATGGCAGAAAAGGAAATATCTTCGTTTCAAAACTAGACAGAGTGATTCTCAGAAACTCCTTTGTGATGTCTGCGTTCAACTCACAGAGTTTAACGTTTCTTTTCATAGAGCAGTTAGGAAACACTCTGTTTGTAAAGTCTGCAAGTGGATATACAGACCTCCTTGAGGCCTTCGTTGGAAACGGGATTTCTTCATATTCTGCTATACAGAAGAATTCTCAGAAACTTCCTTGTGTTGTGTGTATTCAACTCACAGAGTTGAACGATCCTTTACACAGAACAGACTTGAGACACTCTTTTTGTGGAATTTGCAAGTGGAGATTTCAGCCGCTTTGAGGTCAATGGTAGAAAAGGAAATATCTTCGTATAAAAACTAGACAGAATGATTCTCAGAAACTCCTTTGTGATGTGTGCGTTCAACTCACAGAGTTTAACCTTTCTTTTCATAGAGCAGTTAGGAAACACTCTGTTTGTAAAGTCTGCAAGTGGATATTCAGACATCCTTGAGGCTTTCGTTGGAAACGGGATTTCTTCCTATTCTGCTAGAAAGAAGAATTCCCAGTAACTTCCTTGTGTTGTGTGTGTTCGACTCACAGAGTTGAACTTTCATTTACACAGAGCAGATTTGAAACACTCTTTTTGTGGAATTTGCAAGTGGAGATTTCAAGCGCTTTGAGGCCAAAGGCAGAAAAGGAAATATCTTCGTTTCAAAACTAGGCAGAATCATTCTCAGAAACTGCTCTGCGATGTGTGCGTTCAACTCTCAGAGTTTAACTTTTCTTTTCATTCAGCAGTTTGGAAACACTCTGTTTGTAAAGTCTGCACGTGGATATTTTGACCACTTAGAGGCCTTCGTTGGTAACGGGTTTTTTTCCTGTAAGGCTAGACAGAAGAATTCCCAGTAACTTCCTTGTGTTGTGTGCATTCAACTCACAGTAGTTGAACGTTCCCTTAGACAGAGCAGATTTGAAACACTCTATTTGTGCAATTTGCAAGTGTAGTTTTCAAGCTCTTTAAGGTCAACGGCAGAAAAGGAAATATCTTCGTTTCAAAACTAGACAGAATGATTCTCATAAACTCCTTTGTGATGTGTGCGTTCAACTCACAGAGTTTAACTTTTCTTTTCATAGAGCAGTTAGGAAACACTCTGTTTGTAAAGTCTGCAAGTGGATATTCAGACCTCTTTGAGGCCTTCGTTGGAAACGGGATTTCTTCATATTATGCTAGACAAAATAATTCTCAGTAACTTCCTTGTGTTGTGTGTATTCAACTCACAGAGTTGAACGATCCTTTACACAGAGCAGACTTGAAACACTCTTTTTGTGGAATTTGCAAGTGGAGATTTCATCCAATTTGAGGTCAATAGTAGAAAAGGAAATATCTTCGTAGAAAAACTAGACAGAATGATTCTCAGAAACTCCTTTGTGATGTGTGCGTTCAACTCACAGAGTTTAACCTTTCTTTTCATAGAGCAGTTAGGAAACACTCTGTTTGTAAAGTCTGCATGTGGATATTCAGACATCTTTGAGGCTTTCGTTGGAAACGGGATTTCTTCATATTCTGCTAGACAGAAGAATTCTCAGTAACTTCCTTGTGTTGTGTGTATTCAACTGACACAGTTGAACTTTCATTTAGAGAGAGCAGATTTGAAACACTGTTTTTGTGGAATTTGCAAGTGGAGATTTCAAGCGCTTTCGGGCCAAAGGCAGAAAACGAAATATCTTCGTATAAAAACTAGACAGAATCATTCTCAGAAACTGCTCTGCGATGTGTGCGTTCAACTCTCAGAGTTTAACTTTTCTTTTCATTCAGCAGTTTGGAAACACTCTGTTTGTAAAGTCTGCACGTGGATATTTTGACCACTTAGAGGCCTTCGTTGGAAACGGGTTTTTTTCATGTAAGGCTAGACAGAAGAATTCCCAGTAACTTCCTTGTGTTGTGTACATTCAACTCACAGAGTTGAACGTTCCCTTAGACAGAGCAGATTTGAAACACTCTTTTTGTGCAATTGGCAAGTGGTGATTTCAGCCGCTTTGAAGTCTATGGTAGAAAAGGAAATATCTTCGTATAAAAACTAGACAGAATCATTCCCACAAACTGCGTTGTGATGTGTTCGTTCAACTCACAGAGTTTAACCTTTCTGTTACATAGAGCAGTTAGGAAACACTCTGTTTGTAATGTCTGTAAGTGGATATTCTGACATCTTGTGGCCTTCGTTGGAAACGGGATTTCTTCATATTCTGCTAGACAGAATAATTCTCAGTAACTTTCCTTGTGTTGTGTGTATTCAACTCACAGAGTTGAAGGATCCTTTACAGAGAGCAGGCTTGAAACACTCTTTTTGTCGAATTTGCAAGTGGAGATTTCAGCCGCTTTGAGGTCAATGGTAGAATAGGAAATATCTTCTTATAGAAACTAGACAGAATGATTCTCAGAAACTCCTTTGTGATGTGTGTGTTCAACTCACAGAGTTTAACCTTTCTTTTCATAGAGCAGCTAGTAAACACTCTGTTTATAAAGTCTGCAAGTGGATATTCAGACCCCTTTGAGGCCTTCGTTGGAAACGGGATTTCTTCATATTATGCTAGACAGAAGAATTCCCAGTAACTTCCTTGTGTTGTGTGTGTTCAACTCACAGAGTTGAACTTTCATTTACACAGAGCAGATTTGAAACACTCTTTTTGTGGAATTTGCAAATGGAGATTTCAAGCGCTTTGAGGCCAAAGGCAGAAAAGGAAATATCTTTGTATAAAAACTAGACAGAATCATTCTCAGAAACTGCTCTGCGATGTGTGCGTTCAACTCTCAGAGTTTAACTTTTCTTTTCATTCAGCAGTTTGGAAACACTCTGTTTGTAAAGTCTGCACGTGGATATTTCGACCACTTAGAGGCCTTCGTTGGAAACGGGTTTTTTTCCTGTAAGGCTAGACAGAAGAATTCCCAGTAACTTCCTTGTGTTGTGTACATTCAACTCACAGAGTTGAACGTTCCCTTAGACAGAGCAGATTTGAAACACTCTTTTTGTGCAATTGGCAAATGGAGATTTCAAGCGCTTTAAGGTCAATGGCAGGAAAGGAAATATCTTCGTTTCAAAACTAGACAGAATGATTCTCAGAAAATCCTTTGTGATGTGTGCGTTCAACTCACAGAGTTTAACTTTTCTTTTCATAGAGCAGTTAGGAAACACTCTGTTTGTAAAGTCTGCAAGTGGATATTCAGACCTCTTTGAGGCCTTCATTGGAAACGGGATTTCTTCATATTATGCTAGACAGAATAATTCTCAGTAACTTCCTTGTGTTGTGTGTATTCAACTCACAGAGTTGAACGATCCTTTACAGAGAGCAGACTTGAAACACTCTTTTTGTGGAATTTGCAAGTGGAGATTTCAGCCGCTTTGAGGTCAATGGTAGAATAGGAAATATCTTCCTATAGAAACTAGACAGAATGATTCTCAGAAACTCCTTTGTGATGCGTGCGTTCAACTCACAGAGTTTAACCTTTCTTTTCATAGAGCAGTTGGGAAACACTCTGTTTGTAAAGTCTGCAAGTGGATATTCAGACTTCTTTGAGGCTTTCGTTGGAAACGGGATTTCTTCATATTCTGCTAGAAAGAAGAATTCCCAGTAACTTCCTTGTGTTGTGTGTGTTCAACTCACAGAGTTGAACTTTCATTTACACAGAGCAGATTTGAAACACTCTTTTTGTGGAATTTGCAAGTGGAGATTTCAAGCGCTTTGAGGCTAAAGGCAGAAAAGGAAATATCTTCGTATAAAAACTAGACAGAATCATTCTCAGAAACTGCTGCGTGATGTGTGCGATCAACACTCAGAGTTTAACTTTTCTTTTCATTCAGCGGTTTGGAAACACTCTGTTTGTAAAGTCTGCACGTGGAAATTTTGACAACTTAGAGACCTTCGTTGGAAACGGGATTTTTTCATGTAAGGCTAGACAGAAGAATTCCCAGTAACTTCCTTGTGTTGTGTACATTCAACTCACAGAGTTGAACGTTCCCTTAGACAGAGCAGATTTGAAACACTCTTTTTGTGCAATTGGCAAATGGAGATTTCAAGCGCTTTAAGGTCAATGCAGAAAAGGAAATATCTTCGTTTCAAAACTAGGCAGAATCATTCCCACAAACTGCGTTGTGATGTGTTCGTTCAACTCACAGAGTTTAACCTTTATGTTCATAGAGCAGTTAGGAAACACTCTGTTTGTAAAGTCTGTAAGTGGATATTCCGACATCTTGTGGCCTTCGTTGGAAACGGGATTTCTTCATATTCTGCTAGACGGAAGAATTCTCATAAACTTCCTTGTGTTGTGTGTTTTCAACTCACAGAGTTGAACGATCCTTTACACAGAGCAGACTTGAAACACTCCTTTTGTGGAATTTGCAAGTGGAGATTTCAGCCGCTTTGAGGTCAATGGTAGAATAGGAAATATCTTCCTATAGAAACTAGACAGAATGATTCTCAGAAACTTCTTTGTGATGTGTGCGTTCAACTCACAGAGTTTAACCTTTCCTTTCATAGAGCAGTTAGGAAACACTCTGTAAACTCTGCAAGTGGATATTCAGACCTCTTTGAGGCCTTCGTTGGAAACGGGATTTCTTCATACTATGCTAGACAGAAGAATTCTCAGTAACTTCCTTGTGTTGTGTGTATTCAACTGACAGAGTTGAACATTCATTTAGAGAGAGCAGATTTGAAACACTGTTTTTGTGGAATTTGCAAGTGGAGATTTCAAGCGCTTTGGGGCCAAAGGCAGAAAAGGTAATATCTTCGTATAAAAACTAGACAGAATCTTTCTCAGAAACTGCTCTGCGATGTATGCGTTCAACTCTCAGAGTTTAACTTTTCTTTTCATTCAGCAGTTTGGAAACACTCTGTTTGTAAAGTCTGCACGTGGATATTTTGACCACTTAGAGGCCTTCGTTGGAAACGGGTTTTTTTCCTGTAAGGCTAGACAGAAGAATTCCCAGTAACTTCCTTGTGTTGTGTACATTCAACTCACAGAGTTGAACGTTCCCTTAGACAGAGCAGATTTGAAACACTCTTTTTGTGCAATTGGCAAATGGAGATTTCAAGCGCTTTAAGTTCAATGGCAGAAAAGGAAATATCTTCGTTTCAAAACTAGACAGAATGATTCTCAGAAACTCCTTTGTGATGTGTGCGTTCAACTCACAGAGTTTAACTTTTCTTTTCATTCAGCAGTTTGGAAACACTCTGTTTGTAAAGTCTGCACGTGGATAATTTGACCACTTAGAGGCCTTCATTGGAAACGGGTTTTTTTCATGTAAGGCTAGACAGAGCAATTCCCAGTAACTTCCTTGTGTTGTGTACATTCAACTCACAGAGTTGAACGTTCCCTTAGACAGAACAGATATGAAACACTCTTTTTCTGCAATTGGCAAGTGGTGATTTCAGCCGCTTTGAGGTCAATGGTAGAAAAGGAAATATCTTCGTATAAAAACTAGACAGAATGATTCTCAGAAACTTCATTGTGACGTGTGCGTTCAACTCACAGAGTTTAACCTTTCTTTTCATAGAGCAGTTAGGAAACACTCTGTTTGTAAAGTCTGCAAGTGGATATTCAGACCTCTTTGAGGCCTTCGTTGGAAACGGGATTTCTTCATACTGTGCTAGACAGAAGAATTCTCAGTAACTTCCTTGTGTTGTGTGTATTCAACTCACAGAGTTGAACGATCCTTTACACAGAGCGGACTTGAAACACACTTTTTGTGGAACTTGCAAGTGGAGATTTCAGCCGCGTTGAGGTCAATGGTAGAAAAGGAAATATCTTCGTATAAAAACTAGACAGAATGATTCTCAGAAACTCCTTTGTGATGTGTGTGTTCAACTCACAGAGTTTAACCTTTCTTTTCATAGAGCAGTTAGGAAACACTCTGTTTGTAAAGTCTGCAAGAGGATATTCAGACCTCTTTGAGGCCTTCTTTGGAAACGGGTTTTTTTCATATAAGGCTAGACGGAAGAATTCCCAGTAACTTCCTTGTGTTGTGTGTGTTCAACTCACAGAGTTGAACTTTCATTTACACAGAGCACATTTGAAACACTCTTTTTGTGGAATTTGCAAATGGAGATTTCAAGCGCTTTGAGGCCAAAGGCAGAAAAGGAAATATCTTCGTATAAAAACTAGACAGAATCATTCTCAGAAACTGCTCTGCGATGTGTGCGTTCAACTCTCAGAGTTTAACTTTTCTTTTCATTCAGCAGTTCGGAAACACTCTGTTTGTAAAGTCTGCACGTGGATAACTTGACCACTTAGAGGCCTTCGTTGGAAACAGGTTTTTTTCACGTAAGGTTAGACGGAAGAATTCTCAGTAACTTCCTTGTGTTGTGTGTATTCAACTCACAGAGTTGAACGATCCTTTACACAGAGCAGACTTGAAACACTCTATTTGTAGAATTTGCAAGTGGAGATTTCAGCCGCTTTGACGTCAATAGTAGAAAAGGAAATATCTTCGTAGAAAAACTAGACAGAATGATTCTCAGAAACTCCTTTGTGATGTGTGCGTTCAACTCACAGAGTTTAACCTTTCTGTTCATAGAGCAGTTAGGAAACACTCTGTTTGTAAAGTCTGCAAGTGGATATTCAGATCTCCTTGAGGCCTTCGTTGGAAACGGGATTTCTTCATATTCTGCTAGACAGAAGAATTCCCAGTAACTTCCTTGTGTTGTGTGTGTTCAACTCACAGAGTTGAACTTTCATTTACACAGAGCAGATTTGAAACACTCTTTTTGTGGAATTTGCAAATGGAGATTTCAAGCGCTTTGAGGCCAAAGGCAGAAAAGGAAATATCTTCGTATAAAAACTAGACAGAATCATTCTCAGAAACTGCTCTGCGATGTGTGCGTTCAACTCTCAGAGTTTAACTTTTCTTTTCATTCAGCAGTTTGGAAACACTCTGTAAAGTCTGCACGTGGATAACTTGACCACTTAGAGGCCTTCGTTGGAAACGGGTTTTTTTCCTGTAAGGCTAGACAAAAGAATTCCCAGTAACTTCCTTGTGTTGTGTACATTCAACTCACAGAGTTGAACGTTCCCTTAGACAGAGCAGATTTGAAACACTCTTTTTGTGCAATTGGCAAGTGGAGATTTCAAGCGCTTTGAGGTCAATGGCAGAAAAGGAAATATCTTCGTTTCAAAACTAGACAGAATCATTCCCACAAACTGCGTTGTGATGTGTTCGTTCTACTCACAGAGTGTAACCTTTCTTTTCATAGAGCAGTTAGGAAACAGTCTGTTTGAAAATTCTGTAAGGGGATATTCTGACATCTTGTGGCCTTCGTTGGAAACGGGATTTCTTCATATTCTGCTAGACAGAAGAATTCTCAGTAACTTCCCTGTGTTGTGTGTATTCAACTCACAGAGTTGAATGATCCTTTACACAGAGCAGACTTGAAACACTCTTTTTGTGGAATTTGCAAGTGGAGATTTCAGCCGCTTTGAGTTCAATGGTAGAATAGGAAATATCTTCCTATAGAAACTAGACAGAATGATTCTCAGAAACTCCTTTGTGATGTGTGCGTTCAACTCACAGAGTTTAACCTTTCTTTTCATAGAGCAGTTAGGAAACACTCTGTTTGTAAAGTCTGCAAGTGGATATTCAGACCTCTTTGAGGCCTTCGTTGGAAACGGGTTTTTTTCATATAAGCTAGACAGAAGAATTCCCAGTAACTTCCTTGTGTTGTGTGTGTTCAACTCACAGAGTTGAACTTTCATTTACACAGAGCAGATTTGAAACACTCTTTTTGTGGAATTTGCAAGTGGAGATTTCAAGCGCTTTGAGGCCAAAGGCAGAAAAGTTAATATCTTCGTTTGAAAACTAGACAGAATCATTCTCAGAAACTGCTGCGTGATGTGTGCGTTCAACTCTAAGAGTTTAACTATTCTTTTCATTCAGCGGTTTGGAAACACTCTGTTTGTAAAGTCTGCACGTGGATATTTTGACCACTTAGAGGCCTTCGTTGGAAACGGGTTTTTTGCATGTAAGGCTAGACAGAAGAATTCCCAGTAACTTCCTTGTGTTGTCCACATTCAACTCACAGAGTTGAACGTTCCCTTAGACAGAGCAGATTTGAAACACTCTTTTTGTGCAATTGGTAAGTGGTGATTTCAGGCGCTTTGAGGTCAATGGTAGAAAAGGAAATATCTTCGTATAAAAACTAGACAGAAATGATTCTCAGAAACTCCTTTGAGATGTGTGTGTTCAACTCACAGGAGTTTAACCTTTCTTTTCATAGAGCAGTTAGGAAACACTCTGTTTGTAAACTCTGCAAGTGGATATTCAGACCTCTTTGAGGCCTTCGTTGGAAACCGGATTTCTTCATACTGTGCTAGACAGAAGAATTCTCATTAACTTCCTTGTGTTGTGTTTATTCAACTCACAGAGTTGAATGATCCTTTACACAGAGCAGACTTGAAACACTCTTTTTGTGGAATTTGCAAGTGGAGATTTCAGCCGCTTTGAGGTCAATGGTAGAAAAGTAAATATCTTCGTATAAAGACTAGACAGAATGATTCTCAGAAACTCCTTTGTGATGTGTGCGTTCAACTCACACAGTTTAACCTTTCTTTTCATAGAGCTGTTAGGAAACACTCTGTTTGTAAAGTCTGCAAGTGGATATTCAGACCTCCTTGAGGCCTTCGTTGGAAACGGGATTTCTTCATATTCTGCTAGAAAGAAGAATTCTCAGTAACTTCCTTGTGTTGTGTGTACTCAACTCACAGAGTTGAACGATCCTTTACACAAAGCAGACTTGAAACACTCTTTTAGTGGAATTTGCAAGTGGAGATTTCAGCCGCTTTGAGGTCAATAGTAGAAAAGGAAATATCTTCGTAGAAAAACTAGACAGAATCATGCTCAGAAACTGCTCTGCGATGTGTGCGTTCAACTCTCAGAGTTTAACTTTTCCTTTCATTCAGCAGTTTGGAAACACTCTGTTTGTAAAGTCTGCACGTGCATAATTTGACCGCTTAGAGGCCTTCGTTGGAAACGGGTTTTTTTCATGTAAGGCTAGACAGAAGAATTCCCAGTAACTTCCTTTTGTTGTGTGCATTCAACTCACAGAGTTGAACGTTCCCTTAGACAGAGCAGATTTGAAACACTCTATTTGTGCAATTTGCAAGTGTAGATTTCAAGCGCTTTAAGGTCAATGGCAGAAAAGGAAATATCTTCGTTTCAAAACTAGACAGAATCATTCCCACAAACTGCGTTGTGATGTGTTCGTTCAACTCACAGAGTTTAACCTTTCTGTTCATAGAGCAGTTAGGAAACACTCTGTTTGTAAAGTCTGTAAGTGGATATTCTGACATCTTGTGGCGTTCGTTGGAAACGGGATTTCTTCATATTCTGCTAGACAGAAGAATTCTCAGTAACTTCCTTGTGTTGTTTGTATTCAACTCACAGAGTGGAACGATCCTTTACACAGAGCAGACTTGAAACACTCTTTTTGTGGAATTTGCAAGTGGAGATTTCAGCCGCTTTGAGGTCAATGGTAGAAAAGGAAATATCTTCGTAAAAAAACTAGACAGAATGATTCTCAGAAACTCCTTTGTGATGTGTGCGTTCATCTCACAGGGTTTAACCTTTCTTTTCATAGAGCAGTTAGGAAACACTCGGTTTGTAAAGTCTGCACGTGGATATTTGGACTTCTTTGAGGCCTTCGTTGGAAACGGGTTTTTTCATGTAAGGCTAGACAGAAGAATTCCCAGTAACTTCCCTTGTGTTGTGTGTGTTGAACTCACAGAGTTGAACTTTCATTTAGACAGAGCAGATTTGAAACACTCTTTTTGTGGAATTTGCAAATGGAGAATTCATGCACTTTGAGGCCAAAGGCAGAAAAGGAAATATCTTCGTATAAAAACTAGACAGAATCATTCTCAGAAACTGCTGCGTGATGTGCGCGTTCAACTCTCAGAATTTAACTTTTCTTTTCATTCAGCGGTTTGGAAACACTGTGTTTGTAAAGTCTGCACGTGGATATTTTGACCACTTAGAGGCCTTCGTTGGAAACGGGTTTTTTTCATGTAAGGCTAGACAGAAGAATTCCCAGTAACTTCCTTGTGTTGTGTGCATTCAACTCACAGAGTTGAACGTTCCCTTAGACAGAGCAGATTTGAAACACTCTATTTGTGCAATTTGCAAGTGTAGATTTCAAGCGCTTTAAGGTCAGTGGCAGAAAAGGAAATATCTTCGTTTCAAAACTAGACAGAATCATTCCCACAAACTGCGTTGTGATGTGTTCGTTCAACTCACAGAGTTTAACCTTTCTCTTCATAGAGCAGTTAGGAAACACTCTGTTTGTAAAGTCTGTAAGTGGATATTCTGACATCTTGTGGCCTTCGTTGGAAAAGGGATTTCTTCATATTCTGCTAGACAGAAGAATTCTCAGTAACTTCCTTGTGTTGTGTGTATTCAACTCACAGAGTTGAACGATCCTTTACACAGAGCAGACTTGAAACACACTTTTTGTGGAATTTGCAAGTGGAGATTTCAGCCGCTTTGAGGTCAATGGTAGAATAGGAAATATCTTCCTATAGAAACTAGACAGACAATGATTCTCAGAAACTCCTTTGTGATGTGTGCGTTCAACTCACAGCAGTTTAACCTTTCTTTTCATAGAGCAGTTAGGAAACACTCTGTTTGTAAAGTCTGCAAGTGGATATTCAGACCTCTTTGAGGCCTTCGTTGGAAACGGGTTTTTTTCATATAAGGCTAGACAGAAGAATTCCCAGTAACTTCCTTGTGTTGTGTGTGTTCAACTCACAGAGTTGAACTTTCATTTACACAGAGCAGATTTGAAACACTCTTTTTGTGGAATTTGCAAGTGGAGATTTCAAGCGCTTTGAGGCCAAAGGCAGAAAAGGAAATATCTTCGTTTCAAAACTGGACAGAATCATTCTCAGAAACTGCTCTGCGATGTGTGCGTTCAACTCTCAGAGTTTAACTTTTCTTTTCATTCAGCAGTTTGGAAACACTCTGTTTGTAAAGTCTGCACGTGGATAATTTGACCACTTAGAGGCCTTCGTTGGAAACGGGTTTTTTTCATGTAAGGCTAGACAGAAGAATTCCCAGGAACTTCCTTGTGTTGTGTACATTCAACTCACAGAGTTGAACGTTCCCTTAGACAGAGCAGATTTGAAACACTCTTTTTGTGCAATTGGCAAGTGGTGATTTCAGCCGCTTTGAGGTCAATGGTAGAAAAGGAAATATGTTCGTATAAAAACTAGACAGAATGATTCTCAGAAACTCCTTTGTGATGTGTGCGTTCAACTCACAGAGTTTAACCTTTCTTTTCATAGAGCAGTTAGGAAACACTCTGTTTGTAAACTCTGCAAGTGGATATTTAGACCTCTTTGAGGCCTTCGTTGGAAACGGGATTTCTTCATACTGTGCTAGACAGAAGAATTCTCAGAAACTTCCTTGTGTTGTGTGTTTTCAACTCACAGAGTTGAACGATGCTTTACACTGAGTAGACTTGAAACACACTTTTTGTGTAATTTGCAAGTGGAGATTTCAGCCGCTTTGAGTTCAATGGTAGAAAAGGAAATATCTTCGTATAAAAACTAGACAGAATGATTCTCAGAAACTTCTTTGTGATGTGTGCGTTCAACTCACAGAGTTTAACCTTTCTTTTCATAGAGCAGTTAGGAAACACTCTGTTTGTAAAGTCTGCAAGTGGATATTCAGACCTCCTTGAGGCCTTCGTTGGAAACGGGTTTTTTTCATATAAGGCTAGACAGAAGAATTCTCAGTAACTTCCTTGTGTTGTGTGTATTCAAGTGACAGAGTTGAACTTTCATTTAGAGAGAGCAGATTTGAAACACTGTTTTTGTGGAATTTGCACGTGGAGATTTCAAGCGCTTTGGGGCCAAAGGCAGAAAAAGATATATCTTCGTATAAAAACTAGACAGAATCATTCTCAGAAACTGCTGCGTAATGTGTGCGTTCAACTCTCAGAGTTTAACTTTTCTTTTCATTCAGCGGTTTGGAAACACTCTGTTTGTAAAGTCTACACGTGGAAATTTTGACCACTTAGAGGCCTTCGTTGGAAACGGGTTTTTTTCATGTAAGGCTAGACAGAAGAATTCCCAGTAACTTCCTTGTGTTGTGTGCATTCAACTCACAGAGTTGAACGTTCCCTTAGACAGAGCAGATTTGAAACACTCTATTTGTGCAATTTGCAAGTGTAGTTTTCAAGCTCTTTAAGGTCAACGGCAGAAAAGGAAATATCTTCGTTTCAAAACTAGACAGAATGATTCTCATAAACTCCTTTGTGATGTGTGCGTTCAACTCACAGAGTCTAACCTTTCTTTTCATAGAGCAGTTAGGAAACACTCTGTTTGTAAAGTCTGCAAGTGGATATTCAGACCTCCTTGAGGCCTTCGTTGGAAACGGGATTTCTTCATATTCTGCTAGACAGAAGAATTCTCAGTAACTTCCTTGTGTTGTGTTTATTCAACTCACAGAGTTGAATGATCCTTTACACAGAGCAGACTTGAAACACTCTTTTTGTGGAATTTGCAAGTGGAGATTTCAGCCGCTTTGAGGTCAATGGTAGAAAAGTAAATATCTTCGTATAAAGACTAGACAGAATGATTCTCAGAAACTTCTTTGTGATGTGTGCGTTCAACTCACAGAGTTTAACCTTTCTTTTCATAGAGCAGTTAGGAAACACTCTGTTTGTAAACTCTGCAAGTTGATATTCAGACCTCTTTGAGGCCTTCGTTGGAAACGGGATTTCTTCATACTATGCTAGACAGAAGAATTCTCAGTAACTTCCGCGTGTTGTGTGTATTCAACTCACAGAGTTGAACGATCCTTTACACAGAGCAGACTTGAAACACTCTTTTTGTGGAATTTGCAAGTGGAGATTTCAGCCGCTTTGAGGTCAAAGGTAGAAAAGGAAATATCTTCCTATAAAAACTAGACAGAATCATTCCCACAAACTGCGTTGTGATGTGTTCGTTCAACTCACAGAGTTTAACCTTTCTTTTCATAGAGCAGTTAGGAAACACTCTGTTGGTAAATTCTGTAAGTGGATATTCTGACATCTTGTGGCCTACCGTTGGAAACGGGATTTCTTCATATTCTGCTAGACAGAAGAATTCCCAGTAACTTCCTTGTGTTGTGTGCATTCAACTCACAGAGTTGAACGTTCCCTTAGACAGAGCAGATTTGAAACACTCTATTTGTGCAATTTGCAAGTGTAGATTTCAAGCTCTTTATGGTCAACGGCAGAAAAGGAAATATCTTCGTTTCAAAACTAGACAGAATCATTCCCACAAACTGCGTTGTGATGTGTTCGTTCAACTCACAGAGTTTAACCTTTCTGTTCATAGAGCAGTTAGGAAACACTCTGTTTGTAAAGTCTGCAAGTGGATATTCAGACCTCCTTGAGGCCTTCGTTGGAAACGGGATTTCATCATATTATGCTAGACAGAAGAATTCTCAGTAACTTCCTTGTGTTGTGTGTATTCAACTCACAGAGTTGAACGATCCTTTACAGAGAGCAGACTTGAAACACTCTTTTTGTGGAATTTGCAAGTGGAGATTTCAGCCGCTTTGAGGTCAATGGTAGAAAAGGATATATCTTCGTATAAAGAATAGACAGAATGATTCTCAGAAACTCCTTTGTGATGTGTGCGTTCAACTCACAGAGTTTCACCTTTCTTTTCATAGAGCAGTTAGGAAACACTCTGTTTGTAAAGTCTGCAAGTGGATATTCAGACCTCCTTGAGGCCTTCGTTGGAAACGGGATTTCTTCATATTCTGCTAGACAGAAGAATTCCCAGTAACTTCCTTGTGTTGTGTGTGTTCAACTCACAGAGTTGAACTTTCATTTACACAGAGCAGATTTGAAACACTCTTTTTGTGGAATTTGCAAATGGAGATTTCAAGCGCTTTGAGGCCAAAGACAGAAAAGGAAATATCTTCGTATAAAAACTAGACAGAATCATTCTCAGAAACTGCTGCGTGATGTGTGCGTTCAACTCTCAGAGTTTAACTTTTCTTTTCATTCAGCGGTTTGGAAACACTCTGTTTGTAAATTCTGCACGTGGAAATTTTGACCACTTAGAGGCCTTCGTTGGAAACGGGTTTTTTTCATGTAAGGCTAGACAGAAGAATTCCCAGTAACTTCCTTGTGTTGTGTGCATTCAACTCACAGAGTTGAACGTTCCCTTAGACAGAGCAGATTTGAAACACTCTATTTGTGCAATTTGCAAGTGTAGATTTCAAGCGCTTTAAGGTCAACGGCAGAAAAGGAAATATCTTCGTTTCAAAACTAGACAGAATGATTCTCAGAAACTCCTTTGTGATGTGTGCGTTCAACTCACAGAGTTTAACCTTTCTGTTCATAGAGCAGTTAGGAAACACTCTGTTTGTAAAGTCTGCAAGTGGATATTCAGACCTCCTTTAGGCCTTCGTTGGAAACGGGATTTCTTCATATTCTGCTAGACAGAAGAATTCTCAGTAACTTCCTTGTGTTGTGTGTATTCAACTCACAGAGTTGAACAATCCTTTACACAGAGCAGACTTGAAACACTCTTTTTGTGGAATTTGCAAGTGGAGATTTCAGCCGCTTTGAGGTCAATGGTAGAAAAGGAAATATCTTCGTATAAAGACTAGACAGAATGATTCTCAGAAACTCCTTTGTGATGTGTGCGTTCAACTCACAGAGTTTAAACTTTCTTTTCATAGAGCAGTTAGGAAACACTCTGTTTGTAAAGTCTGCAAGTGGATATTCACACATCCTTGAAGCTTTCGTTGGAAACGGGATTTCTTCATATTCTGCTAGAAAGAAGAATTCCCAGTAACTTCCTTGTGTTGTGTGTGTTCAACTCACAGATTTGAACTTTCATTTACACAGAGCAGATTTGAAACACTCTTTTTGTGGAATTTGCAAGTGGAGATTTCAAGCGCTTTGAGGCCAAAGGCAGAAAAGGAAATATCTTCGTTTCAAAACTAGACAGAATCATTCTCAGAAACTGCTGCGTGATGTGTGCGTTCAACTCTCAGAGTTTAACTTTTCTTTTCATTCAGCGGTTTGGAAACACTCTGTTTGTAAAGTCTGCACGTGGAAATTTTGACCACTTAGAGGCCTTCGTTGGAAACGGGTTTTTTTCATGTAAGGCTAGAGAGAAGAATTCCCAGTAACTTCCTTGTGTTGTGTGCATTCAACTCACAGAGTTGAACGTTCCCTTAGACAGAGCAGATTTGAAACACTCTATTTGTGCAATTTGCAAGTGTAGATTTCAAGCGCTTTAAGGTCAACGGCAGAAAAGGAAATATCTTCGTTTCAAAACTAGACAGAATGATTCTCAGAAACTCCTTTGTGATGTGTGTGTCCAACTCACAGAGTTTAACCTTTCTTTTCATAGAGCAGTTAGGAAACACTCTGTTTGTAAAGTCTGCAAGAGGATATTCAGACCTCTTTGAGGCCTTCGTTGGAAACGGGTTTTTTTCCTGTAAGGCTAGACAGAAGAATTCCCAGTAACTTCCTTGTGTTGTGTGTGTTCAACTCACAGAGTTGAACTTTCATTTACACAGAGCAGATTTGAAACACTCTTTTTGTGGAATTTGCAAATGGAGATTTCAGCCGCGTTGAGGTCAATGGTAGAAAAGGAAATATCTTCGTTTCAAAACTAGACAGAATGATTCTCAGAAACTCCTTTGTGATGTGTGCGTTCAACTCACAGAGTTTAACCTTTCTTTTCATAGAGCAGTTAGGAAACACTCTGTTTGTAAAGTCTGCACGTGGATATTTGGACTTCTTTGAGGCCTTCGTTGGCAACGGGGTTTTTTCATATAAGGCTAGACAGAAGAATTCTCAGTAACTTCCTTGTGTTGTGTGTATTCAACTGACAGAGTTGAACTTTCATTTAGAGAGAGCAGATTTGAAACACTGTTTTTGTGGAATTTGCAAGTGGAGATTTCAAGCGCTTTGGGGCCAAAGGCAGAAAAGGAAATATCTTCGTATAAAAACTCAGCAGAATCATTCTCAGAAACTGCTCTGCGATGTGTGCGTTCAACTCTCAGAGTTTAACTTTTCTTTTCATTCAGCAGTTAGGAAACACTCTGTTTGTAAAGTCTGCAAGTGGATATTCAGACCTCTTTGAGGCCTTCGTTGGAAACGGGTTTTTTTCATATAAGGCTAGACAGAAGAATTCCCAGTAACTTCCTTGCGTTGTGTACATTCAACTCACAGAGTTGAACGTTCCCTTAGACAGAGCAGATTTGAAACACTCTTTTTGTGCAATTGGCAAGTGGAGATTTCAAGCGCTTTAAGGTCAATGGCAGAAAAGGAAATATCTTCGTTTCAAAACTAGACAGAATGATTCTCAGAAACTCCTTTCTGATGTGTGCGTTCAACTCGCAGAGTTTAACTTTTCTTTTCATAGAGCAGTTAGGAAACACTCTGTTTGTAAAGTCTGCAAGTGGATATTCAGACCTCTTTGAGGCCTTCGTTGGAAACGGGATTTCTTCATATTCTGCTAGACAGAAGAATTCTCAGAATCTTCCCTTGTGTTGTGTGTATTCAACTCACAGAGTTGAAAGACCCTTTACACAGAGCGGACTTGAAACACTCTTTTTGTGGAATTTGCAAGTGGAGATTTCAGCCGCGTTGAGGTCAATGGTAGAAAAGGAAATATCTTCGTATAAAAACTAGACAGAATGATTCTCAGAAACTCCTTTGTGATGTGTGCGTTCAACTCACAGAGTTTAACCTTTCTATTCATAGAGTAGTTAGGAAACACTCTGTTTGTAATGTCTGCAAGTGGATATTTTGACCTCTTTGAGGCCTTCGTTGGAAACGGGTTTTTTTCATGTAAGGCTAGACAGAAGAATTCCCAGTAACTTCCTTGTGTTGTGTGTGTTCAACTCACAGAGTTGAACTTTCATTTACACAGAGCAGATTTGAAACACTCTTTTTGTGGAATTTGCAAGTGGAGACTTCAAGCGCTTTGAGGCCAAAGGCAGAAAAGGAAATATCTTCGTTTCAAAACTAGACAGAATCATTCTCAGAAACTGCTGCATGATATGTGCGTTCAACTCTCAGAGTTTAACTTTTCTTTTCATTCAGCGGTTTGGAAACACTCTGTTTGTAAAGTCTGCACGTGGATATTTTGACCACTTAGAGGCCTTCGTTGGAAACGGGTTTTTTTCATGTAAGGCTAGACAGAAGAATTCTCAGTAACTTCCTTGTGTTGTGTGTATTCAACTCACAGAGTTGAACGATCCTTTACACAGAGCAGACTTGAAACACTCTATTTGTGCAATTTGCAAGTGTAGATTTCAAGCGCTTTAAGGTCAATGGCAGAAAAGGAAATATCTTCGTTTTAAAACTAGACAGAATCATTCCCACAAACTGCGTTGTGATGTGTTCGTTCAACTCACAGAGTTTAACCTTTCTGTTCATAGAGCAGTGAGGAAACACTCTGTTTGTAAAGTCTGTAAGTGGATATTCTGACATCTTGTGGCCTTCGTTGGAAACAGGATTTCTTCATATTCTGCTAGACAGAATAATTCTCAGTAACTTCCTTGTGTTGTGTGTATTCAACTCACAGAGTTGAAGGATCCTTTAGAGAGAGCAGGCTTGAAACACTCTGTTTGTCGAATTTGCAAGTGGAGATTTCAGCCGCTTTGAGGTCAATGGTAGAATAGGAAATATCTTCTTATAGAAACTAGACAGAATGATTCTCAGAAACTTCTTTGTGATGTGTGCGTTCAACTCACAGAGTTTAACCTTTCTTTTCATAGAGCAGTTAGGAAACACTCTGTTTGTAAACTCTGCAAGTGGATATTCAGACCTGTTTGAGGCCTTCGTTGGAAACGGGATTTCTTCATACTATGCTAGACAGAAGAATTCTCAGTAACTTCCTTGTGTTGTGTGTATTCAACTCACAGAGTTGAACGATCCTTTACACAGAGCAGACTTCTAACACTCTTTTTGTGGAATTTGCAAGTGGAGATTTCAGCCGCTTTGAAGTCAAAGGTAGAAAAGGAAATATCTTCCTATAAAAACTAGACAGAATGATTCTCAGAAACTCCTTTGTGATGTGTGCGTTCAACTCACAGAGATTAACCTTTCTTTTCATAGAGCAGTTAGGAAACACTCTGTTTGTAAAGTCTTCAAGTGGATATTCAGACCTCTTTGAGGCCTTCGTTGGAAACGGGATTTCTTCATATTCTGCTAGACAGAAGAATTCTCAGTAACTTCCTTGTGTTGTGTGTATTCAACTCACAGAGTTGAACGGATCCTTTACACAGAGCAGACTTGAAACACTCTATTTGTGCAATTTGCAAGTGTAGATTTCAAGCGCTTTAAGGTCAATGGCAGAAAAGGAAATATCTTCGTTTTAAAACTAGACAGAAATCATTCCCAAAAACTGCGTTGTGATGTGTTCGTTCATCTCACAGAGTTTAACCTTTCTTTTCATAGAGCAGTTAGGAAACAGTCTGTTTGTAAATTCTGTAAGTGGATATTCTGACATCTTGTGGCCTTCGTTGGAAACGGGATTTCTTCATATTCTGCTAGACAGAATAATTCTCAGTAACTTCCTTGTGTTGTGTGTATTCAACTCACAGAGTTGAACGGTCCTTTACACAGAGCAGACTTGAAACATTCTTTTTGTGGAATTTGCAAGTGGAGATTTCAGCCGCTTTGAGGTCAATGGTAGAATAGGAAATATCTTCCTATAGAAACTAGACAGAATGATTCTCAGAAACTCCTTTGTGATGTGTGCGTTCAACTCACAGAGTTTAACCTTTCTTTTCATAGAGCAGTTAGGAAACACTCTGTTTGTAAAGTCTGCAAGTGGATATTCAGACCTCCTTGAGGCCTTCGTTGGAAGCGGGATTTCTTCATGTTCAGCTAGACAGAAGAATTCTCAGAAACTTCCTTGTGTTGTGTGTTTTCAACTCACAGAGTTGAACGATCCTTTACACAGAGCAGACTTGAAACACTCTTTTTGTGGAATTTGCTAGTGGAGATTTCAGCCGCTTTGAGGTCAATGGTAGAATAGGAAATATCTTCCTATAGAAACTAGACAGAACGATTCTCAGAAACTCCTTTGTGATGTGTGCGTTCAACTCACAGTAGTTTAACTTTTCTTTTCATAGAGCAGTTAGGAAACACTCTGTTTGTAAAGTCTGCAAGTGGATATTCAGACCTCTTTGAGGCCTTCGTTGGAAACGGGATTTCTTCCTATTCTGCTAGACAGAATAAATCTCAGTAACTTCCTTGTGTTGTGTGTATTCAACTCACAGAGTTGAACGATCCTTTACACAGAGCAGACTTGAAACACTCTTTTTGTGGAATTTGCAAGTGGAGATTTCAGCCGCTTTGAGGTCAATAGTAGAAAAGGAAATATCTTCGTAGAAAAACTAGACAGAATCATTCCCACAAACTGCGCTGTGATGTGCTCGTTCAACTCACAGAGTTTAACCTTTCTGTTCATAGAGCAGTTAGGAAACACTCTGTTTGTAAAGTCTGTAAGTGGATATTCTGACATCTTGTGGCCTTCGTTGGAAACGGGTTTTCCTCATATTCTGCCAGACAGAAGAATTCTCAGTAACTTCCTTGTGTTGTGTGTATTCAACTCACAGAGTTGAACGATCCTTTACACAGAGCAGACTTGAAACTCTCTTTTTGTGGAATTTGCAAGTGGAGATTTCAGCCGCTTTGAGGTCAATGGTAGAATAGGAAATATCTTCCTATAGAAAATAGACAGAATGATTCTCAGAAACTCCTTTGTGATGTGTGCGTTCAACTCACAGATTTTAACCTTTCTTTTCATAGAGCAGTTAGGAAACACTCTGCTTGTAAAGTCTGCAAGTGGATATTCAGCCCTCTTTGAGGCCTTCGTTGGAAACGGGTTTTTTTCATATAAAGCTAGACAGAAGGATTCCCAGTAACTTCCTTGTGTTGTGTGTGTTCAACTCACAGAGTTGAACTTTCATTTACAATGAGCAGATTTGAAACACTCTTTTTGTGGAATTTGCAAGTGGAGATTTCAAGCGCTTTGAGGCCAAAGGCAGAAAAGGAAATATCTTCGTATAAAAACTAGACAGAATCATTCTCAGAAACTGCTCTGTGATGTGTGCGTTCAACTCTCAGAGTTTAACTTTTCTTTTCATTCAGCAGTTTGGAAACACTCTGTTTGTAAAGTCTGCACGTGGATAATTTGATCACTTAGAGGCCTTCGTTGGAAAGGGGTTTTTTTCATGTAAGGCTAGACAGAAGAATTCCCAGTAACTTCCTTGTGTTGTGTGCATTCAACTCACAGAGTTGAACGTTCCCTTAGACAGAGCAGATTTGAAACACTCTATTTGTGCAATTTGCAAGTGTAGTTTTCAAGCTCTTTAAGGTCAACGGCAGAAAAGGAAATATCTTGGTTTCAAAACTAGACAGAATGATTCTGAGATATCCTTTGTGATGTGTGCGTTCAACTCACAGAGTTCAACCTTTCTTTTCATAGAGCAGTTAGGAAACACTCTGTTTGTAAAGTCTGCAAGTGGATATTCAGACCTCCTTGAGGCCTTCGTTGGAAACGGGATTTCTTCATATTATGCTAGACAGAGGAATTCTCAGGAACTTCCTTGTGTTGTGTGTATTCAACTCACAGAGTTGAACGATCCTTTACACAGAGCAGACTTGAAACACTCTTTTTGTGGAATTTGCAAGTGGAGATTTCAGCCGCTTTGAGTTCAATGGTAGAATAGGAAATATCTTCCTATAGAAACTACACAGAATGATTCTCAGAAACTCCTTTGTGATGTGTGCGTTCAACTCACAGAGTTTAACCTTTCTTTTCATAGAGCAGTTAGGAAACACTCTGTTTGTAAAGTCTGCAAGTGGATATTCAGACCTCTTTGAGGCCTTCGTTGGAAACGGGATTTCTTCCTATTCTGCTAGACAGAAGAATTCTCAGTAACTTCCTTGTGTTGTGTGTATTCAACTCACAGAGTTGAACGATCCTTTACACAGAGCAGACTTGAGACACTCTTTTTGTGGAATTTGCAAGTGGAGATTTCAGCCGCTTTCAGGTCAATAGTAGAAAAGGAAATATCTTCGTAGAAAAACTAGACAGAATCATTCTCAGAAACTGCTGCGTGATGTGTGCGTTCAACTCTCAGAGTTTAACTTTTCTTTTCATTCAGCGTTTTGGAAACACTCTGTTTGTAAAGTCTGCACGTGGATATTTTGACCACTTAGAGGCCTTCGTTGGAAACGGGTTTTTTTTCATGTAAGGCTAGACAGAAGAATTCCCAGTAACTTCCTTGTGTTGTGTGCATTCAACTCACAGAGTTGAACGTTCCCTTAGACAGAGCAGATTTGAAACACTCTATTTGTGCAATTTGCAAGTGTAGATTTCAAGCGCTTTAAGGTCAACGGCAGAAAAGGAAATATCTTCGTTTCAAAACTAGACAGAATGATTCTCAGAAACTCCTTTGTGATGTGTGCGTTCAACTCACAGAGTTTAACCTTTCTGTTCATAGAGCTGTTAGGAAACACTCTGTTTGTAAAGTCTGCAAGTGGATATTCAGACCTCCTTGAGGCCTTCGTTGGAAACGGGATTTCTTCCTATTCTGCTAGACAGAATAATTCTCAGTAACTTCCTTGTGTTGTGTGTATTCAACTCACAGTAGTTGAACGATCCTTTACACAGAGCAGACTTGAAACACTCTTTTTGTGGAATTTGCAAGTGGAGATTTCAGCCGCTTTGAGGTCAATAGTAGAAAAGGAAATATCTTCGTAGAAAAACTAGACAGAATGATTCTCAGAAACTCCTTGTTGATGTGTGCGTTCAACTCACAGAGTTTAACTTTTCTTCTCATAGAGCAGTTAGGAAACACTCTGTTTGTAAAGTCTGCAAGTGGATATTCAGACCTCTTTGAGGCCTTCGTTGGAAACGGGTTTTCTTCATATTATGCTAGACAGAAGAATTCCCAGTAACTTTCCTTGTGTTGTGTGTGTTCAACTCACAGAGTTGAACTTTCATTTACACAGAGCAGATTTGAAACACTCTTTTTGTGGAATTTGCAAGTGGAGATTTCAAGCGCTGTGAAGCCAAAGGCAGAAAAGGAAATATCTTCGTATAAAAACTAGACAGAATCATTCTCAGAAACTGCTCTGCGATGTGTGCGTTCAACTCTCAGAGTTTAACTTTTCTTTTCATTCAGCAGTTTGGAAACACTCTGTTTGTAAAGTCTGCACGTGGATAATTTGACCCCTTAGAGGCCTTCGTTGGAAACGGGTTTTTTTCATGTAAGGCTAGACAGAAGAATTCCCAGTAACTTCCTTGTGTTGTGTGCATTCAACTCACAGAGTTGAACGTTCCCTTAGACAGAGCAGATTTGAAACACTCTATTTGTGCAATTTGCAAGTGTAGATTTCAAGCGCTTTAAGGTCAAAGGCAGAAAAGGAAATATCTTCGTTTCAAAACTAGACAGAAATCATTCCCACAAACTGCGTTGTGATGTGTTCGTTCAACTCACAGTAGTTTAACCTTTCTGTTCATAGAGCAGTTAGGAAACACTCTGTTTGTAAAGTCTGTAAGTGGATATTCTGACATCTTGTGGCCTTCGTTGGAAACGGGATTTCTTCATATTCTGCTAGACAGAAGAATTCTCAGTAACTTCCTTGTGTTGTGTGTATTCAACTCACAGAGTTGAACGATCCTTTACACAGAGCAGACTTGAAGTACTCTTTTTGTGGAATTTGCAAGTGGAGATTTCAGCCGCTTTGAGGTCAATGGTAGAAAAGGAAACTACCTTCATATAAAGACTAGACAGAATGATTCTCAGAAAATCTTTTGTGATGTGTGCGTTCAACTCACAGAGTTTAACTTTTCTTCTCATAGAGCAGTTAGGAAACACTCTGTTTGTAAAGTCTGCAAGTGGATATTCAGACCTCTTTGAGGCCTTCTTTGGAAACGGGATTTCTTCATATTCTGCTAGACAGAAGAATTCCCAGTAACTTCCTTGTGTTGTGTGTGTTCGACTCACAGAGTTGAACTTTCATTTACACAGAGCAGATTTGAAACACTCTTTTTGTGGAATTTGCAAGTGGAGATTTCAAGCGCTTTGAGGCCAAAGGCAGAAAAGGAAATATCTTTGTTTCAAAACTAGACAGAATCATTCTCAGAAACTGCTCTGCGATGTGTGCGTTCAACTCTCAGAGTTTAACTTTTCTTTTCATTCAGCAGTTTGGAAACACTCTGTTTGTAAAGTCTGCACGTGGATATTTTGACCACTTAGTGGCCTTCGTTGGAAACGGGTTTTCTTCCTGTAAGTCTAGACAGAAGAATTCCCAGTAACTTCCTTGTGTTGTGTACATTCAACTCACAGAGTTGAACGTTCCCTTAGACAGAGCAGATTTGAAACACTCTTTTTGTGCAATTGGCAAATGGAGATTTCAATCGCTTTAAGGTCAATGGCAGAAAAGGAAATATCTTCGTTTCAAAACTAGACAGACATCATTCCCACAAACTGCGTTGTGATGTGTTCGTTCATCTCACAGAGTTTAACCTTTCTTTTCATAGAGCAGTTAGGAAACAGTCTGTTTGTAAATTCTGTAAGTGGATATTCTGACATCTTGTGGCCTTCGTTGGAAACGGGATTTCTTCATATTCTGCTAGACAGAAGAATTCTCAGAATCTTCCTTGTGTTGTGTGTATTCAACTCACAGAGTTGAATGATGGTTTACACAGAGCAGATTTGAAACACTCTTTTTGTGGAATTTGCAAGTGGACATTTCAGCCGCTTTGAGGTCAATGGTAGAAAAGGAAATATCTTCGTATAAAAACTAGACAGAATGATTCTCAGAAACTCCTTTGTGATGTGTGTGTTCAACTCACAGAGTTTAACCTTTCTTTTCATAGAACAGTTAGTAAACACTCTGTTTATAAAGTCTGCAAGTGGATATTCAGACCCATTTGAGGCCTTCGTTGGAAACGGGATTTCTTCATATTATGCTAGACAGAAGAATTCCCAGTAACTTCCTTGTGTTGTGTGTGTTCAGCTCACAGAGGTGAACTTTCATTTACACAGAGCAGATTTGAAACACTCTTTTTGTGGAATTTGCAAGTGGAGATTTCAAGCGCTTTGAGGCCAAAGGCAGAAAAGGAAATATCTTCGTATAAAAAGTAGACAGAATCATACTCAGAAACTGCTGCGTGATGTGTGCGTTCAACTCTCAGAGTTTAACTTTTCTTTTCATTCAACGGTTTGGAAACACTCTGTTTGTAAAGTCTGCACGTGGATATTTTGACCACTTAGAGGCCTTCGTTAGAAACGGGTTTTTTTCATGTAAGGCTAGACAGAAGAATTCCCAGTAACTTCCTTGTGTTGTGTACATTCAACTCACAGAGTTGAACGTTCCCTTAGACAGAGCAGATTTGAAACACACTTTTTGTGCAATTGGCAAGTGGTGATTTCAGCCGCTTTGAGGTCAATGGTAGAAAAGGAAATATCTTCGTATAAAAACTAGACAGAATCATTCCCACAAACTGCGTTGTGATGTGTTCGTTCAACTCACAGAGTTTAACCTTTCTTTTCATAGCGCAGTTAGGAAACAGTCTGTTTGAAAATTCTGTAAGTGGATATTCTGACATCTTGTGGCCTTCGTTGGAAACGGGATTTCTTCATATTCTGCTAGACAGAAGAATTCTCAGTAACTTCCTTCTGTTGTGTGTATTCAACTCACAGAGTTCAACGATTCTTTACACAGAGCAGACTTGAGACACTGTTTTCGTGGAATTTGCAAGTGGAGATTTCAACCGCTTTGAGGTCAATTGTAGAAAAGGAAATATCTTCGTATAAAAACTAGACAGAACGATTCTCAGAAACTCCTTTGTGATGTGTGCGTTCAACTCACAGAGTTTAACTTTTCTTTTCATAGAGCAGTTAGGAAACACTCTGTTTGTAAAGTCTGCAAGTGGATATTCAGACCCCTTTGAGGCCTTCGTTGAAAACGGGATTTCTTCATATTCTGCTAGACAGAAGAATTCCCAGTAACTTCCTTGTGTTGTGTGTGTTCAACTCACAGAGTTGAACTTTCATTTACACAGAGCAGATTTGAAACACTCTTTTTGTGGAATTTGCAAGTGGAGATTTCAAGCGCTTTGAGGCCAAAGGCAGAAAAGGAAATATATTCGTATAAAAACTAGACAGAATCATTCTCAGAAACTGCTCTGCGATGTGTGCGTTCAACTCTCAGAGTTTAACTTTTCTTTTCATTCAGCAGTTTGGAAACACTCTGTTTGTAAAGTCTGCAAGTGGATATTTTGACCTCTTTGAGGCCTTCGTTGGAAACGGGTTTTTTTCATGTAAGGCTAGACAGAAGAATTCACAGTAACTTCCTTGTGTTGTGTACATTCAACTCACAGAGTTGAACGTTCCCTTAGACAGAGCAGATTTGAAACACTCTTTTTGTGCAATTGGCAAGTGGAGATTTCAAGCGCTTTAAGGTCAATGGCAGAAAAGGAAATATCTTCCTTTCAAAACTAGACAGAATCATTCCCACAAACTGCGTTGAGATGTGTTCGTTCAACTCACAGAGTTTAACCTTTCTTTTCATAGAGCAGTTAGGAAACAGTCTGTTTGTCAATTCTGTAAGTGGATATTCTGACATCTTGTGGCCTTCGATGGAAACGGGATTTCTTCATATTCTGCTAGAGAGAAGAATTCTCAGAATCTTCCTTGTGTTGTGTGTATTCAACTCACAGAGTTGAACGATCCTTTACACAGAGCAGACTTGAAACACTCTTTTTGTGGAATTTGCAAGTGGAGATTTCAGCCGCTTTGAGGTCCATGGTAGAAAAGGAAATATCTTCGTATAAAAACTAGACAGAATGATTCTCAGAAACTCCTTTGTGATGTGTGTGTTCAACTCACAGAGTTTAACCTTTCTTTTCATAGAGCAGTTAGGAAACACTCTGTTTGTAAAGTCTGCAAGTGGATATTCAGACCTCGTTGAGACCTTCGTTGGAAACGGGATTTCTTCATATTCTGCTAGACAGAAGAATTCTCAGTAACTTCCTTGTGTTGTGTTTATTCAACTCACAGAATTGAATGATCCTTTACACAGAGCAGACTTGAAACACTCTTTTTGTGGAATTTGCAAGTGGAGATTTCAGCCGCTTTGTGGTCAATGGTAGAAAAGGAAATATCTTCGTATAAAGACTAGACAGAATCATTCTCAGAAACTGCTGCGTGATGTGTGCGTTCAACTCTCAGAGTTTAACTTTTCTTTTCATTCAGCGGTTTGGAAACACTCTGTTTGTAAAGTCTGCACGTGGAAATTTTGACCACTTAGAGGCCTTCGTTGGAAACGGGTTTTTTTCATGTAAGGCTAGACAGAAGAATTCCCAGTAACTTCCTTGTGTTGTGTACATTCAACTCACAGAGTTGAACGTTCCCTTAGACAGAGCAGATTTGAAACACTCTTTTTGTGCAATTGGCAAGTGGAGATTTCAAGCGCTTTGAGGTCAATGGCAGAAAAGGAAATATCTTCGTTTCAAAACTAGACAGAATCATTCCCACAAACTGCGTTGTGATGTGTTCGTTCAACTCACAGAGTTTAACCTTTCTGTTCATAGAGCAGTTAGGAAACACTCTGTTTGTAAAGTCTGCAAGTGGATATTCAGACCTCCTTGAGGCCTTCGTTGGAAACGGGATTTCTTCATATTCTGCTAGACAGAAGTATTCTCAGTAACTTCCTTGTGTTGTGTGTATTCAACTCTCAGAGTTGAACGATCCTTTACACAGAGCGGACTTGTAACACTCTTTTTGTGGAATTTGCAAGTGGAGATTTCAGCCGCTTTGAAGTCAAAGTTAGAAAAGGAAATAACTTCCTATAAAAACTAGACAGAATGATTCTCAGAAACTCCTTTGTGATGTGTGAGTTCAACTCACAGAGTTTAACCTTTCTTTTCATAGAGCAGTTAGGAAACACTCTGTTTCTAAAGTCTGCAAGTGGATATTCAGACCTCTTTGAGGCCTTCGTTGGAAACGGGTTTTTTTCATATAAGGCTAGAGAGAAGAAATCCCAGTAACTTCCTTGTGTTGTGTGTGTTCAACTCACAGAGATGAACTCTCATTTACACAGAGCAGATTTGAAACTCTCTTTTTGTGGAATTTGCAAATGGAGATTTCAAGCGCTTTGAGGCCAAAGGCAGAAAAGGAAATATCTTCGTATAAAAACTAGACAGAATCATTCTCAGAAACTGCTGCGTGATGTGTGCGTTCAACTCTCAGAGTTTAACTTTTCTTTTCATTCAGCGGTTTGGAAACACTCAGTTTGTAAAGTCTGCACGTGGATATTTTCACCACTTAGAGGCCTTCGTTGGAAACGGGTTTTTTTTCATGTAAGGCTAGACAGAAGAATTCCCAGTAACTTCCTTGTGTTGTGTACATTCAACTCACAGAGTTGAACGTTCCCTTAGACAGAGCAGATTTGAAACACTCTTTTTCTGCAATTGGCAAGTGGAGATTTCAAGCGCTTTGAGGTCAATGGCAGAAAAGGAAATATCTTCGTTTCAAAACTAGACAGAATCATTCCCACAAACTGCGTTGTGATGTGTTCCTTCAACTCACAGAGTTTAACCTTTCTTTTCATAGAGCAGTTAGGAAACAGTCTGTTTGTCAATTCTGTAAGTGGATATTCTGACATCTTGTGGCCTTCGTTGGAAACGGGATTTCTTCATATTCTGCTAGACAGAAGAATTCTCAGTAACTGCCTTGTGTTGTGTGTATTCAACTCACAGAGTTGAACGATCGTTTACACAGAGCAGACTTGAAACACTCTTTTTGTGGAATTTGCAAGTGGAGATTTCAGCCGCTTTGAGGTCAATGGTAGAATAGGAAATATCTTCCTATAGAAACTAGACAGAATGATTCTCAGAAACTCCTTTGTGATGTGTGCGTTCAACTCACAGAGTTTAACCTTTCTTTTCATAGAGCAGTTAGGAAACACTCTGTTTGTAAAGGCTGCAAGTGGATATTCAGACATCTTTGAGGCCTTCGTTGGAAAAGGGATTTCTTCATGTTCTGCTAGAAAGAAGAATTCCCAGTAACTTCCTTGTGTTGTGTGTGTTCAACTCACAGAGTTGAACTTTCATTTACACAGAGCAGATTGGAAACACTCTTTTTGTGGAATTTGCAAGGGGAGATTTCAAGCGCTTTGAGGCCAAAGGCAGAAAAGGAAATATCTTCGTATAAAAACTAGACAGAATCATTCTCAGAAACTGCTGCGTGATGTGTGCGTTCAACTCTCAGAGTTTAACTTTTCTTTTCATTCAGCAGTTTGGAAACACTCTGTTTGTAAAGTCTGCACGTGGATATTTTGACCACTTAGAGGCCTTCGTTGGAAACGGGTTTTTTTCATGTAAGGCTAGACAGAAGAATTCCCAGTAACTTCCTTGTGTTGTGTGCATTCAACTCACAGAGTTGAACGTTCCCTTAGACAGAGCAGATTTGAAACACTCTATTTGTGCAATTTGCAAGTGTAGATTTCAAGCTCTTTAAGGTCAATGGCAGAAAAGGAAATATCTTCGTTTCAAAACTAGACAGAATGATTCTCAGAAACTCCTTTGTGATGTGTGCGTTCAACTCACAGAGTTTAACCTTTCTTTTCATAGAGCAGTTAGGAAACACTCTGTTTGTAAAGTCTACAAGTGGATATTCAGACATCTTTGAGGCTTTCGTTGGAAACGGGATTTCTTCATATTCTGCTGGACAGAAGAATTCTCAGAAACTTCGTTGTGTTGTGTGTTTTCAAATCACAGAGTTCAACGATCCTTTACACAGAGTAGACTTGAAACACTCTTTTTGTGGAATTGGCAGGGTGGAGATTTCAGCCGCTTTCAGGTCAATGGTAGAAAAGGAAATATCTTCGTATAAAAACTAGACAGAATGATTGTCAGAAACTCCTTTGTGATGTGTGCGTTCAACTCACAGAGTTTAACCTTTCTTTTCATAGAGCAGTTAGGAAACACTCTGTTTGTAAAGTCTGCAAGTGGATATTCAGACCTCTTTGAGGCCTTCGTTGGAAACGGGATTTCTTCATATTCTGCTAGACAGAAGAATTCCCAGTAACTTCCATGTGTTGTGTGTGTTCAACTCACAGAGTTGAACTTTCATTTACACAGAGCAGATTTGAAACACTCTTTTTGTGGAATTTGCAAATGGAGATTTCAAGCACTTTGAGGCCAAAGGCAGAAAAGGAAATATCTTCGTAGAAAAACTAGACAGAATCATTCTCAGAAACTGCTCTGCGATGTGTGCGTTCAACTCTCAGAGTTTAACTTTTCTTTTCATTCAGCAGTTTGGAAACACTCTGTTTGTAAAGTCTGCACGTGGATAACTTGACCACTTAGAGGTCTTCGTTGGAAACGGGTTTTTTTCATGTAAGGCTAGACAGAAGAATTCCCAGTAACTTCCTTGTGTTGTGTACATTCAACTCACAGAGTTGAACGTTCCCTTAGACAGAGCAGATTTGAAACACTCTTTTTGTGCAATTGGCAAGTGGTGATTTCAGCCGCTTTGAGGTCAATGGTAGAAAAGGAAATATCTTCGTATAAAAACTAGACAGAATCATTCCCACAAACTGCGTTCTGATGTGTTCGTTCAACTCACAGAGTTTAACCTTTCTGTTCATAGAGCAGTTAGGAAACACTCTGTTTGTAAAGTCTGTAAGTGGATATTCTGACATCTTGTGGCCTTCGTTGGAAACGGGATTTCTTCATATTCTGCTAGACAGAAGAATTCTCAGTAACTTCCTTGTGTTGTGTGTATTCAACACACAGAGTTGAACGATGCTTTACACAGAGCAGACTTGAAACACTCTTTTTGTGGAATTTGCAAGTGGAGATTTCAGCCGCTTTGAGGTCAATGGTAGAAAAGGAAATATCTTCGTATAAAGACTAGACAGAATGATTCTCAGAAACTCCTTTGTGATGTGTGCGTTCAACTCACAGAGTTTAACGTTTCTTTTCATAGAGCAGTTAGGAAACACTCTGTTTGTAATGTCTGCAAGTGGATATTCAGACCCCTTTGAGGCCTTCGTTGGAAACGGGATTTCTTCATATTATGCTAGACAGAAAGAATTCCCAGTAACTTCCTTGTGTTGTGTGTGTTCAACTCACAGAGTTGAACTTTGATTTACACAGAGCAGATTTGAAACACTCTTTTTGTGGAATTTGCAAGTGGAGATTTCAAGCGCTTTGAGGCCAAAGGCAGAAAAGGAAATATCTTCGTATAAAAACTAGACAGATCATTCTCAGAAACTGCTCTGCGATGTGTGCGTTCAAGTCTCAGAGTTTAACTTTTCTTTTCATTCAGCAGTTTGGAAACACTCTGTTTGTAAAGTCTGCACCTGGATAATTTGACCACTTAGAGGCCTTCGTTGGAAACGGGTTTTTTTCCTGTAAGGCTAGACAGAAGAATTCCCAGTAACTTCCTTGCGTTGTGTACATTCAACTCACAGAGTTGAACGTTCCCTTAGACAGAGCAGATTTGAAACACTCTTTTTGTGCAATTGGCAAGTGGAGATTTCAAGCGCTTTAAGGTCAATGGCAGAAAAGGAAATATCTTCGTTTCAAAACTAGACAGAATGATTCTCAGAAACTCCTTTGTGATGTGTGCGTTCAACTCACAGAGTTTAACCTTTCTTTTCATAGAGCAGTTAGGAAACACTCTGATTGTAAAGTCTGCAAGTGGATATTCAGAACTCCTTGAGGCCTTCGTTGGAAACGGGATTTCTTCATATTATGCTAGACAGAATAATTCTCAGTAACTTCCTTGTGTTGTGTGTATTCAACTCACAGAGTTGAACGATCCTTTACACAGAGCAGACTTGAAACACTCTATTTGTAGAATTTGCAAGTGGAGATTTCAGCCGCTTTGAGGTCAATAGTAGAATAGGAAATATCTTCGTAGAAAAACTAGACAGAATGATTCTCAGAAACTCCTTTGTGATGTGTGCGTTCAACTCACAGAGTTTAACATTTCTTTTCATAGAGCAGTTAGGAAACACTCTGTTTGTAAAGTCTGCAAGTGGATATTCAGACCTCCTTGAGGCCTTCGTTGGAAACGGGATTTCTTCATATTATGCTACACAGAAGAATTCTCAGTAACTTCCTTGTGTTGTGTGTATTCAACTGACAGAGTTGAACTTTCATTTAGAGAGAGCAGATTTGAAACACTGTTTTTGTGGAATTTGCAATTGGAGATTTCAAGCGCTTTGGGGCCAAAGGCAGAAAAGGAAATATCTTCGTATAAAAACTAGACAGAATGATTCTCAGAAAGTCCTTTGTGATGTGTGCGTTCAACTCACAGAGTTTAACCTTTCTGTTCATAGAGCTGTTAGGAAACACTCTGTTTGTAAAGTCTGCACGTGGAAATTTTGACCACTTAGAGGCCTTCGTTGGAAACGGGTTTTTTTCATGTAAGGCTAGACAGAAGAATTCCCAGTAACTTCCTTGTGTTGTGTACATTCAACTCACAGGAGTTGAACGTTCCCTTAGACAGAGCAGATTTGAAACACTCTTTTTGTGCAATTGGCAAATGGAGATTTCAAGCGCTTTAAGTTCAAAGGCAGAAAAGGAAATATCTTCGTTTCAAAACTAGACAGAATCATTCCCACAAACTGCGTTGTGATGTGTTCGTTCAACTCACAGAGTTTAACCTTTCTTTTCATAGAGCAGTTAGGAAACAGTCTGTTTGTCAATTCTGTAAGTGGATATTCTGACATCTTGTGGCATTCGTTGGAAACGGGATTTCTTCATATTCTGCTAGACAGAAGAATTCTCAGAATCTTCCTTGTGTTGTGTGTATTCAACTCACAGAGTTGAACGATCCTTTACACAGAGCAGACTTGAAACACTCTTTTTGTGGAATTTGCAAGTGGAGATTTCAGCCGCTTTGAGGTCCATGGTAGAAAAGGAAATATCTTCGTATAAAAACTAGACGGAATGATTCTCAGAAACTCCTTTGTGATGTGTGCGTTCAACTCACAGAGTTAAACCTTTCTTTTCATAGAGCAGTTAGGAAACACTCTGTTTGTAAAGTCTGCAAGTGGATATTCAGACCTCCTTGAGGCCTTCGTTGGAAACGGGATTTCTTCATATTCTGCTAGACAGAAGAATTCTCAGTAACTTCCTTTTGTTGTGTGTATTCAACTGACAGAGTTGAACTTTCATTTAGACAGAGCAGATTTGAAACACTCTTTTTCTGGAATTTGCAAGTGGAGATTTCAAGCGCTTTGAGGCCAAAGGCAGAAAAGGATATATCTTCGTATAAAAACTAGACGGAATCATTCTCAGAAACTGCTCTGCGATGTATGCGTTCAACTCTCAGAGTTTAACTTTTCTTTTCATTCAGCAGTTTGGAAACACTCTGTTTGTAAATTCTGCACGTGGATATTTTGACCACTTAGAGGCCTTCGTTGGAAACGGGTTTTTTTCATGTAAGGCTAGACAGAAGAATTCCCAGTAACTTCCTTGTGTTGTGTGCATTCAACTCACAGAGTTGAACGTTCCCTTAGACCGAGCAGGTTTGAAACACTCTATTTGTGCAATTTGCAAGTGTAGTTTTCAAGCTCTTTAAGGTCAACGGCAGAAAAGGAAATATCTTCGTTTCAAAACTAGACAGAATCATTCCCACAAACTGCGTTGTGATGTGTTCGTTCAACTCACAGAGTTTAACCTTTCTGTTCATAGAGCAGTTAGGAAACACTCTGTGTGTAAAGTCTGCAAGTGGATATTCAGACCTCTTTGAGGCCTTCGTTGGAAACGGGATTTCTTCATATTCTGCTAGACAGAAGAATTCTCAGTAACTTCCTTGTGTTGTGTGTATTCAACTCATAGAGTTGAACGATCCTTTACACAGAGCAGACTTGAAACACTCTATTTGTAGAATTTGCAAGTGGAGATTTCAGCCGCTTTGAGGTCAATAGTAGAAAAGGAAATATCTTCGTAGAAAAACTAGACAGAACGATTCTCAGAAACTCCTTTGTGATGTGTGCGTTCAACTCACAGAGTTTAAACTTTCTTTTCATAGAGCAGTTAGGAAACACTCTGTTTGTAAAGTCTGCAAGCGGATATTCAGACCTCTTTGAAGCCTTCGTTGGAAACGGGATTTCTTCATATTATGCTAGACAGAAGAATTCCCAGTAACTTCCTTGTGTTGTGTGTGTTCAACTCACAGAGTTGAACTTTCATTTACACAGAGCAGATTTGAAACACTCTTTTTGTGGAATTTGCAATTGGAGATTTCAAGCGCTTGGAGGCCAAAGGCAGAAAAGGAAATATCTTCGTATAAAAACTAGACAGAATCATTCTCAGAAACTGCTGCGTGATGTGTGCGTTCAACTCTCAGAGTTTAACTTTTCTTTTCATTCAGCGGTTTGGAAACACTCTGTTTGTAAAGTCTGCACGTGTATATTTTGACCACTTAGAGGCCTTCGTTGGAAACGGGTTTTTTCATGTAAGGCTAGACAGAAGAATTCCCAGTAACTTCCTTGTGTTGTGTGCATTCAACTCACAGAGTTGAACGTTCCCTTAGACAGAGCAGATTTGAAACACTCTATTTGTGCAATTTGCAAGTGTAGATTTCAAGCACTTTAAGGTCAATGGCAGAAAAGGAAATATCTTCGTTTCAAAACTAGACAGAATGATTCTCAGAAACTCCTTTGTGATGTGTGCGTTCAACTCACAGAGTTTAACCTTTCTTTTCATAGAGCAGTTAGGAAACACTCTGTTGGTAAAGTCTGCAAGTGGATATTCAGACCTCTTTGAGGCCTTCTTTGGAAACGGAATTTCTTCATATTCTGCTAGACAGAAGAATTCTCAGAAACTTCCTGGTGTTGCGTGTTTTCAACTCACAGAGTTCAACGATCCTTTACACAGAGTAGACTTGAAAAACTCTTTTTGTTGAATTGGCCAGTGGAGATTTCAGCCGCTTTGAGGTCAATGGTAGAAAAGGAAATATCTTCGTATAAAAACTAGACAGAATCATTCTCAGAAACTCCTTTGTGATGTGTGTGCCCAACTCACAGAGTTTAACCTTTCTTTTCATAGAGCTGTTAGGAAACACTCTGTTTGTAAAGTCTGCAAGAGGATATTCAGACCTCTTTGAGGCCTTCGTTGGAAACGGGTTTTTTTCATATAAGGCTAGACAGAAGAATTCTCAGTAACTTCCTTGTGTTGTGTGTATTCAACTGACGGAGTTGAACTTTCATTTAGAGAGAGCAGATTTGTAACACTGTTTTTGTGGAATTTGCAAGTGGAGATTTCATGCGCTTTGGGGCCAAAGGCAGAAAAGGAAATATCTTCGTATAAAAACTAGACAGAATCATTCTCAGAAACTGCTCTGCGATGTGTGCGTTCAACTCTCAGAGTTTAACTTTTCTTTTAATTCAGCAGTTTGGAAACACTCTGTTTGTAAAGTCTGCACGTGGATATTTTGACCACTTAGAGGCCTTCGTTGGAAACGGGTTTTTTTCCTGTAAGGCTAGACAGAAGAATTCCCAGTAACTTCCTTGTGTTGTGTGCATTCAACTCAAAGAGTTGAACGTTCCCTTAGACAGAGCAGATTTGAAAAACTCTATTTGTGCAATTTGCAAGTGTAGATTTCAAGCGCTTTAAGGTCAATGGCAGAAAAGGAAATATCTTCGTTTCAAAACTAGACAGAATCATTCCCACAAACTGCGTTGTGATGTGTTCGTTCAACTCACAGAGTTTAACCTTTCTGTTCATAGAGCAGTTAGGAAACACTCTGTTTGTAAAGTCTGTAAGTGGATATTCTGACATCTTGTGGCCTTCGTTGGAAAAGGGATTTCATCATATTCTGCTAGACAGAAGAATTCTCAGTAACTTCCATGTATTGTGTGTATTCAACTCACAGAGTTGAACGATCCTTTACACAGAGCAGACTTGAAACACTCTTTTTGTGAAATTTGCAAGTGGAGATTTCAGCCGCTTTGTGGTCAATGGTAGAATAGGAAATATCTTCCTATAGAAACTAGACAGAATGATTCTCAGAAACTCCTTTGTGATGTGTGCGTTCAACTCACAGAGTTTAACCTTTCTTTTCATAGAGCCGTTAGGAAACACTCTGTTTGTAAAGTCTGCAAGTGGATATTCAGACCTCCTTGAGGCCTTCGTTGGAAACGGGATTTCTTCATATTATGCTAGACAGAAGAATTCCCAGTAACTTCCTTGTGTTGTGTGTGTTCAACTCACAGAGTTGAACTTTCATTTAGACAGAGCAGATTTGAAACACTCTTTTTGTGGAATTTGCAAGTGGAGATTTCAAGCGCTTTGAGGCCAAAGGCAGAAAAGGAAATATCTTCGTATAAAAACTAGACAGAATCATTCTCAGAAACTGCTCTGCGATGTGTGCGTTCAACTCTCAGAGTTTAACTTTTCTTTTCATTCAGCAGTTTGGAAACACTCTGTTTGTAAAGTCTGCACGTGGATATTTTGACCACTTAGAGGCCTTAGTTGGAAACGGTTTTTTTTCCTGTAAGGCTAGACAGAAGAATTCCCAGTAACTTCCTTGTGTTGTGTACATTCAACTCACAGAGTTGAACGTTCCCTTAGACAGAGCAGATTTGAAACACTCTTTTTGTGCAATTGGCAAATGGAGATTTCAAGCGCTTTAAGGTCAATGGCAGGAAAGGAAATATCTTCGTTTCAAAACTAGACAGAATCATTCCCACAAACTGCGTTGTGATGTGTTCGTTCAACTCACAGAGTTTAACCTTTCTTTTCATAGAGCAGTTAGGAAACAGTCTGTTTGTCAATTCTGTAAGTGGATATTTTGACATCTTGTGGCCTTCGTTGGAAACGGGATTTCTTCATATTCTGCTAGACAGAAGAATTCTCAGTAACTTCCTTGTGTTGTGTGTATTCAACTCACAGAGTTGAAGGATCCTTTACAGAGAGCAGGCTTGAAACACTCTTTTTGTCGAATTTGCAAGTGGAGATTTCAGCCGCTTTGAGGTGAATGGTAGAATAGGAAATATCTTCTTATAGAAACTAGACAGAATGATTCTCAGAAACTTCTTTGTGATGTGTGCCTTCAACTCACAGAGTTTAACCTTTCTTTTCATAGAGCAGTTAGGAAACACTCTGTTTGTAAACTCTGCAAGTGGATATTCAGACCTCTTTGAGGCCTTCGTTGGAAACGGGATTTCTCCATACTATGCTAGACAGAAGAATTCCCAGTAACTTCCTTGTGTTGTGTGTGTTCAACTCACAGAGTTGAACTTTCATTTACACAGAGCAGATTTGAAACACTCTTTTTGTGGAATTTACAAGTGGAGATTTCAAGCGCTTTGAGGCCAAAGGCAGAAAAGGAAATATCTTCGTATAAAAACTAGACAGAATCATTCTCAGAAAGTGCTCTGCGATGTGTGCGTTCAACTCTCAGAGTTTAACTTTGCTTTTCATTCAGCAGTTTGGAAACACTCTGTTTGTAAAGTCTGCACGTGGATAATTTGACCACTTAGAGGCCTTCGTTGGAAACGGGTTTTTTTCATGTAAGGCTAGACAGAAGAATTCCCAGTAACTTCCTTGTGTTGTGTGCTTTCAACTCACAGAGTTGAACGTTCCCTTAGACAGAGCAGATTTGAAACACTCTATTTGTGCAATTTGCAAGTGTAGATTTCAAGCGCTTTAAGGTCAATGGCAGAAAAGGAAATATCTTCGTTTCAAAACTAGACAGAATCATTCCCACAAACTGCGTTGTGATGTGTTCCTTCATCTCACAGAGTTTAACCTTTCTTTTCGTAGAGCAGTTAGGAAACAGTCTGTTTGTAAATTCTGTAAGTGGATATTCTGACATCTTGTGGCCTTCGTTGGAAACGGGATTTCTTCATATTCTGCTAGACAGAATAATTCTCAGTAACTTCCTTGTGTTGTGTGTATTCAACTGTCAGAGTTGAACGATCCTTTACAGAGAGCAGACTTGAAACACTCTTTTTGTGGAATTTGCAAGTGGAGATTTCAGCCGCTTTGAGGTCAATGGTAGAATAGGAAATATCTTCCTATACAAACTAGACAGAATGATTCTGAGAAACTCCTTTGTGATGTGGGCGTTCAACTCACAGAGTTTAACCTTTCTTTTCATAGAGCAGTTAGGAAACACACTGTTTGTAAAGTCTGCAAGTGGATATTCAGACCTCCTTGAGGTCTTCGTTGGAAACGGGATTTCTTCATATTATGCTAGACAGAAGAATTCTCAGTAACTTCCTTGTGTTGTGTGTATTCAACTCAGAGAGTTGAACGATCCTTTACACAGAGCAGAGTTGAAACACTGTTTTTGTGGAATTTGCAAGTGGAGATTTCAGCCGCTTTGAGGTCAATGGTAGAATAGGAAATTTCTTCCTATAGAAACTAGAGAGAATCATTCTCAGAAACTGCTCTGCGATGTGTGCGTTCAACTCTCAGAGTTTAACTTTTCTTTTCATTCAGCAGTTTGGAAACACTCTGTTTGTAAAGTCTGCAGGTGGATATTTTGACCACTCAGAGGCCTTCGTTGGAAACGGGTTTTTTTCCTGTAAGGCTAGACAGAAGAATTCCCAGTAACTTCCTTGTGTTGTGTACATTCAACTCACAGAGTTGAACGTTCCCTTAGACAGAGCAGATTTGAAACACTCTTTTTGTGCAATTGGCAAATGGAGATTTCAAGCGCTTTAAGGTCAATGGCAGAAAAGGAAATATCTTCGTTTCAAAACTAGACAGAATCATTCCCACAAACTGCGTTGTGATGTGTTCGTTCAACTCACAGAGTTTAACCTTTCTTTTCATAGAGCAGTTAGGAAACAGTCTGTTTGTCAATTCTGTAAGTGGATATTCTGACATCTTGTGGCCTTCGTTGGAAACGGCATTTCTTCATATTCTGCTAGACAGAAGAATTCTCAGTAACTTCCTTGTGTTGTGTGTATTCAACTCACAAAGTTGAACGATCCTTTACACAGAGCAGACTTGAAACACTCTTTTTGTGGAATTTGCAAGTGGAGATTTCAGCCGCTTTGAGTTCAATGGTAGAATAGGAAATATCTTCCTATAGAAACTAGACAGAATGATTCTCGGAATCTCCTTTGTAATGTGTGCGTTCAACTCACAGAGTTTAACCTTTCTTTTCATAGAGCAGTTAGGAAACACTCTGTTTGTAAAGTCTGCAAGTGGATATTCAGACCTCTTTTAGGCCTTCGTTGGAAACGGGATTTCTTCATATTCTGCTAGACAGAAGAGTTCTCAGTAACTTCTTTGCGTTGTGTGTATTCAACTGACAGAGTTGAACTTTCATTTAGAGAGAGCAGATTTGAACCACTGTTTTTGTGGAATTTGCAAGTGGAGATTTCAAGCGCTTTGGGGCCAAAGGCAGAAAAGGAAATAAATTCGTATAAAAACTAGACATAATCATTCTCAGAAACTGCTCTGCGATGTGTGCGTTCAACTCTCAGAGTTTAACTTTTCTTTTCATTCAGCAGTTTGGAAACACTCTGTTTGTAAAGTCTGCACGTGGATATTTTGACCACTTAGAGGCCTTCGTTGGAAATGGGTTTTTTTCCTGTAAGGCTAGACAGAAGAATTCCCAGTAACTTCCTTGTGTTGTGTACATTCAACTCACAGAGTTGAACATTCCCTTAGACAGAGCAGATTTGAAACACTCTTTTTGTGCAATTGGCAAGTGGAGATTTCAAGAGTTTTAAGGTCAATGGCAGAAAAGGAAATATCTTGGTTTCAAAACTAGACAGAATGATTCTCAGAAACTCCTTTGTGATGTGTGCGTTCAACTCACAGAGTTTAACCTTTGTGTTCATAGAGCAGTTAGGAAACACTCTGTTTGTAAAGTCTGCAAGTGGATATTCAGACCTCCTTGAGGCCTTCTTTGGAAACGGGATTTCTTCATATTCTGCTAGACAGAAGAATTCTCAGTAACTTCCTTGTGTTGTGTGTATTCAACTCACAGAGTTGAACGATCCTTTACAGAGAGCAGACTTTAAACACTCTTTTTGTGGAATTTGCAAGTGGAGATTTCAGCCGCTTTGAGGTCAATGGTACAAAAGGAAATATCTTCGTATAAAGACTAGACAGAATGATTCTCAGAAACTCCTTTGTGATGTGTGCGTTCAACTCACAGAGTTTAACTTTTCTTTTCATAGAGCAGTTAGGAAACACTCTGTTTGTAAAGTCTGCAGGTGGATATTCAGACCTCTTTGAGGCCTTCGTTGGAAACGGGATTTCTTCATATTATGCTAGACAGAGGAATTCTCAGTAACTTCCTTGTGTTGTGTGTATTCAACTGACAGAGTTGAACTTTCATTTAGAGAGAGCAGATTTGAAACACTGTTTTTGTGGAATTTGCAAGTGGAGATTTCAAGCGCTTTGGGGACAAAGGCAGAAAAGGAAATATCTCCGTATAAAAACTAGACAGAATGATTCTCAGAAACTCCTTTGTGATGTGTGTGTTGAACTCACAGAGTTTAACCTTTCTTTTCATAGAGCAGTTAGGAAACACTCTGTTTGTAAAGTCTGCAAGTGGATATTCAGACCTCTTTGAGGCCTTCGTTGGAAACGGGTTTTTTTCATATAAGCCTAGACAGAAGAATTCCCAGTAACTTCCTTGTGTTGTGTGTGTTCAACTCACAGAGTTGAACTTTCATTTACACAGAGCAGATTTGAAACACTCTTTTTGTGCAATTGGCAAGTGGAGATTTCAAGCACTTTAAGGTCAATGGCAGAAAAGGAAATATCTTCGTTTCAAAACTAGACAGAATCATTCCCACAAACTGCGTTGTGATGTGTCCGTTCATCTCACAGAGTTTAACCTTTCTTTTCATAGAGCAGTTAGGAAACAGTCTGTTTGTAAATTCTGTAAGTGGATATTCTGACATCTTGTGGCCTTCGTTGGAAACGGGATTTCTTCATATTCTGCTAGACAGAATAATTCTCAGTAACTTCCTTGTGTTGTGTGTATTCAACTCACAGAGTTGAACGATCCTTTACAGAGAGCAGACTTGAAACACTCTTTTTGTGGAATTTGCAAGTGGAGATTTCAGCCGCTTTGAGGTCAACGGTAGAATAGGAAATATCTTCCTATAGAAACTAGACAGAATGATTCTCAGAAAATCCTTTGTGATGTGTGCGTTCAACTCACAGAGTTTAACTTTTCTTTTCATAGAGCAGTTAGGAAACACTCTGTTTGTAAAGTCTGCAAGTGGATATTCAGACCTCTTTGAGGCCTTCGTTGGAAACGGGATTTCTTCATATTATGCGAGACAGAAGAATTCCCTGTAACTTCCTTGTGTTGTGTGTGTTCAACTCACAGAGTTGAACTTTCATTTACACAGAGCAGATTTGAAACACTCTTTTTGTGGAATTTGCAAATGGAGATTTCAGCCGCGTTGAGGTCAATGGTAGAAAAGGAAATATCTTCGTTTCAAAACTAGACAGAATCATTCTCAGAAACTGCTCTGCGATGTGTGCGTTCAACTCTCAGAGTTTAACTTTTCTTTTCATTCAGCAGTGTGGAAACACTCTGTTTGTAAAGTCTGCACGTGGATATTTTGACCACTTAGAGGCCTTCGTTGGAAACGGGTTTTTTTCCTGTAAGGCTAGACAGAAGAATTCCCAGTAACTTCCTTGTGTTGTGTACATTCAACTCACAGAGTTGAAGGTTCCCTTAGACAGAGCAGACTTGTAACACTCTTTTTGTGGAATTTGCAAGTGGAGATTTCAGCCGCTTTGAAGTCAAAGGTAGAAAAGGAAATATCTTCCTATAAAAACTAGACAGAATGATTCTCAGAAACTCCTTTGTGATGTGTGCGTTCAACTCACAGAGTTTAACTTTTCTTTTCATAGAGCAGTTGGGAAACACTCTGTTTGTAAAGTCTGCAAGTGGATATTCAGACATCCTTGAGGCTTTCGTTGGAAACGGGATTTCTTCATATACTGCTAGAAAGAAGAATTCTCAGTAACTTCCTTGTGTTGTGTGTTTTCAACTCACAGAGTTGAACGATCCTTTACACAGAGCAGACTTGAAACACTCCTTTTGTGGAATTTGCAAGTGGAGATTTCAGCCGCTTTGAGGTCAATGGTAGAATAGGAAATATCTTCCTATAGAAACTAGACAGAATGATTGTCAGAAACTCCTTTGTGATGTGTGCGTTCAACTCACAGAATTTAACCTTTCTTTTCATAGAGAAGTTAGGAGACACTGGGTTGGTAAAGTCTAAAAGTGGATATTCAGACATCTTTGAGGGTTTCGTTGGAAAAGGGATTTATTCATATTCTGCTAGACAGAAGAATTCCCAGTAACTTCCTTGTGTTGTGTGTGTTCATCTCACAGAGTTGAACTTTCATTTACACAGAGCAGATTTGAAACACTCTTTTTGTGGAATTTGCAAATGGAGATTTCAAGCGCTTTGAGGCCAAAGGCAGAAAAGGAAATATCTTCGTATAAAAACTAGACAGAATCATTCTCAGAAACTGCTCTGCGATGTGTGCGTTCAACTCTCAGAGTTTAACTTTTCTTTTCATTCAGCAGTTTGGAAACACTCTGGTTGTAAAGTCTGCACGTGGATAACTTGACCACTTAGAGGCCTTCGTTGGAAACGGGTTTTTTTCCTGTAAGGCTAGACAGAAGAATTCTCAGTAACTTCCTTGTGTTGTGTGTATTCAACTCACAGAGTTGAACGATCCTTTACACAGAGCAGACTTGAAACACTCTTTTTGTGGAATTTGCAAGTGGAGATTTCAGCCGCTTTGAGGTCAATGGTAGAAAAGGAAACTATCGTCGTATAAAGACTAGACAGAATGATTCTCAGAAAATGCTTTGTGATGTGTGCGTTCAACTCACAGAGTTTAACTTTTCTTTTCATAGAGCAGTTAGGAAACACTCTGTTTGTAAAGTCTGCAAGTGGATATTCAGACCTCTTTGAGGCCTTCTTTGGAAACGGGATTTCTACATATTCTGCTAGACAGAAGAATTCTCAGTAACTTCCTTGTGTTCTGTGTATTCAACTCACAGAGTTGAATGATCCTTTACAGAGAGCAGACTTGAAACACTCTTTTTGTGGAATTTGCAAGTGGAGATTTCAGCCGCTTTGAGGTCAATGGTAGAATAGGAAATATCTTCGAAGAAAAACTAGACAGAATGATTCTCAGAAACTCCTTTGTGATGTGTGTGTTCAACTCACAGAGTTTAACCTTTGTTTTCATAGAGCAGTTAGTAAACACTCTGTTTATAAAGTCTGCAAGTGGATATTCAGACCCCTTTGAGGCCTTCGTTGGAAACGGGATTTCTTCATATTATGCTAGACAGAAGAATTCTCAGTAACTTCCTTTTGTTGTGTGTATTCAACTGACAGAGTTGAACTTTCATTTAGAGAGAGCAGATTTGAAACACTGTTTTTGTGGAATTTGCAAGTGGAGATTTCAAGCGCTTTGGGGCCAAAGGCAGAAAAGGAAATATCTTCGTATAAAAACTAGACAGAATCATTCTCAGAAACTGCTCTGTGATGTGTGCGTTCAACTCTCAGAGTTTAACTTTTCTTTTCATTCAGCAGTTTGGAAACACTCTGTTTGTAAAGTCTGCACGTGGATATTTTGACCACTTAGAGGCCTTCGTTGGAAACGGGTTTTTTTTTCACGTAAGGCTAGACAGAAGAATTCCCAGTAACTTCCTTGTGTTGTGTACATTCAACTCACAGAGTTGAAAGTTCCCTTAGACAGAGCAGACTTGTAACACTCTTTTTGTGGAATTTGCAAGTGGAGATTTCAGCCGCTTTGAAGTCAAAGGTAGAAAAGGAAATATCTTCCTATAAAAACTAGACAGAATCATTCCCACAAACTGCGTTGCGATGTGTTCGTTCAACTCACAGAGTTTAACATTTCTTTTCATAGAGCACTTAGGAAACAGTCTGTTTGTAAATTCTGTAAGTGGATATTCTGACATCTTGTGGCCTTCGTTGGAAACGGGATTTCTTCATATTCTGCTAGACAGAAGAATTCTCGGAAACTTCCTTGTGTTGTGTGTATTCAACTCACAGAGTTGAACGATCCTTTACACAGAGCAGACTGGAAACACTCTTTTTGTGAAATTTGCAAGTGGAGATTTCAGCCGCTTTAAGGTCAATGGTAAAATAGGAAATATCTTCCTATAGAAACTAGACAGAATGATTCTCAGAAACCCCTTTGTGATGTGTACGTTCAACTCACAGAGTTTAACCTTTCTTTTCATAGAGCAGTTAGGAAACACTCTGTTTGTAAAGTCTGCAAGTGGATATTCAGACCTCCTTGAGGCCTTCGTTGGAAACTGCATTTCTTCATATTATGCTAGACAGAAGAATTCTCAGTAACTTCCTTGTGTTGTGTGTATTCAACTGACAGAGTTGAACTTTCATTTAGAGAGAGCAGATTTGAAATACTGTTTTTGTGGAATTTGCAAGTGGAGATTTCAAACGCTTTGGGGCCAAAGGCAGAAAAGGAAATATCTTCGTATAAAAACTAGACAGAATCATTCTCAGAAACTGCTGCGTGATGTGTGCGTTCAACTCTCAGAGTTTAACTTTTCTTTTCATTCAGCGGTTTGGAAACACTCTGTTTGTAAAGTCTGCACGTGGATATTTTGACCACTTAGAGGCCTTCGTTGGAAACGGGTTTTCTTCATGTAAGGCTAGACAGAAGAATTCCCAGTAACTTACCTTGTGTTGTGTACATTCAACTCACAGAGTTGAACGTTCCCTTAGACAGAGCAGATTTGAAACACTCTTTTTGTGCAATTGGCAAGTGGAGATTTCAAGCGCTTTAAGGTCAATGGCAGAAAAGGAAATATCTTCGTTTCAAAACTAGACAGAATCATTCCCACAAACTGCGTTGTAATGTGTTCGTTCAACTCACAGAGTTTAACCTTTCTGTTCATAGAGCAGTTAGGAAACACTCTGTTTGTAAAGTCTGTAAGTGGATATTCTGACATCTTGTGGCCTTCGTTGGAAACGGGATTTCTTCATATTCTGCTAGACAGAAGAATTCTCAGTAACTTCCTTGTGTTGTGTGTATTCAACTCACAGAGTTGAACGATCCTTTACACAGAGCAGACTTGAAACACTCTTTTTGTGGAATTTGCAAGTGGAGATTTCAGCCGCTTTGAGGTCAATGGTATAATAGGAAATATCTTCCTATAGAAACTAGACAGAATGATTGTCAGAAACTCCTTGGTGCTGTGTGCGTTCAACTCACAGAGTTTAAACTTTCTTTTCATAGAGCAGTTAGGAAACACTCTGTTTGTAAAGTCTGCAGGTGGATTTTCAGACATCATTGAGGCTTTCGTTGGAAACGGGATTTCTTCATATTCTGCTAGACAGAAGAATTCCCAGTAACTTCCTTGTGTTGTGTGTGTTCAACTCACAGAGTTGAACTTTCATTTACACAGAGCAGATTTGAAACACTCTTTTTGTGGAATTTGCAAATGGAGATTTCAAGGGCTTTGAGGCCAAAGGCAGAAAAGGAAATGTCTTCGTTTCAAAACTAGACAGAATCATTCTCAGAAACTGCTTCTGGCGATGTGTGCGTTCAACTCTCAGAGTTTAACTTTTCTTTTCATTCAGCAGTTTGGAAACACTCTGTTTGTAAAGTCTGCACGTGGATATTTTGACGACTTAGAGGCCTTCGTTGGAAACGGGTTTTTTTCCTGTAAGGCTAGACAGAAGAATTCCCAGTAACTTCCTTGTGTTGTGTACATTCAACTCACAGAGTTGAACGTTCCCTTAGACAGAGCAGATTTGAAACACTCTTTTTGTGCAATTGGCAAATGGAGATTTCAAGCGCTTTAAGTTCAATGGCAGAAAAGGAAATATCTTCGTTTCAAAACTGGACAGAATCATTCCCACAAACTGCGTTGTGATGTGTTCGTTCAACTCACAGAGTTTAACCTTTCTTTTCATAGAGCAGTTAGGAAACAGTCTGTTTGAAAATTCTGTAAGTGGATATTCTGACATCTTGTGGCCTTCGTTGGAAACGGGATTTCTTCATATTCTGCTAGACAGAAGAATTCTCAGTAACTTCCTTGTGTTGTGTGTATTCAACTCACAGAGTTGAACGATCCTTTACACAGAGCAGACTTGAAACACTCTTTTTGCGGAATTTGTAAGTGGAGATTTCAGCCGCTTTGAGGTCAATGGTAGAAAAGGAATTATCTTCGTATAAAAACTAGACAGAATCATTCTCAGAAACTCCTTTGTGATGTGTGCGTTCAACTCACAGAGTTTAACCTTTCTTTTCATAGAGCAGTTAGGAAACACTCTGTTTGTAAAGTCTGCAAGTGGATATTCAGACCTCCTTGAGGCCTTCGTTGGAAACGGGATTTCTTCATATTATGCTAGACAGAATAATTCTCAGTAACTTCCTTGTGTTGTGTGTATTCAACTCACAGAGTTGAAGGATCCTTTACAGAGAGCAGGCTTGAAACACTCTTTTTGTGGAATTTGCAAGTGGAGATTTCAGCCGCTTTGAGGTCAATGGTAGAATAGGAAATATCTTCTTATACAAACTAGACAGAATCATTCTCAGAAACTGCTGTGTGATGTGTGCGTTCAACTCTCAGAGTTTAACTTTTCTTTTCATTCAGCGGTTTGGAAACACTCTGTTTGTAAAGTCTGCACGTGGATATTTTGACCACTTAGAGGCCTTCGTTGGAAACGGGTTTTTTTCATGTAAGGCTAGACAGAAGAATTCCCAGTAACTTCCTTGTGTTGTGTACATTCAACTCACAGTGTTGAACGTTCCCTTAGACAGAGCAGATTTGAAACACTCTTTTTGTGCAACTGGCAAGTGGAGATTTCAAGCGCTTTAAGGTCCATGGCAGAAAAGGAAATATCTTCGTTTCAAAACTAGACAGAATCATTCCCACAAACTGCGTTGTGATGTGTTCGTTCAACTCACAGAGTTTAACCTTTCTTTTCATAGAGCAGTTAGGAAACACTCTGTTGGTAAATTCTGTAAGTGGATATTCTGACATCTTGTGGCCTTCGTTGGAAACGGGATTTCTACATATTCTGCCAGACAGAATAATTCTCATTAACTTCCTTGTGTTGTGTGTATTCCACTCACAGAGTTGAACGATCCTTTACAGAGAGCAGACTTGAAACACTCTTTTTGTGGAATTTGCAAGTGGAGATTTCAGCCGCTTTGAGGTCAATGGTAGAATAGGAAATATCTTCCTATGGAAACTAGACAGAATGATTCTCAGAAACTCCTTTGTGATGTGTGTGTTCAACTCACAGAGTTTAACCTTTCTTTTCATAGAGCAGTTAGTAAAAAGTCTGTTTATAAAGTCTGCAGGTGGATATTCAGACCCCTTTGAGGCCTTCGTTGGAAACGGGATTTCTTCATATTATGCTAGACAGAAGAATTCCCAGTAACTTCCTTGTGTTGTGTGTGTTCAACTCACAGAGTTGAACTTTGATTTACACAGAGCAGATTTGAAACACTCTTTTTGTGGAATTTGCAAGTGGAGATTTCAAGCGCTTTGAGGCCAAAGGCAGAAAAGGAAATATCTTCGTTTCAAAACTAGACAGAATCATTCTCAGAAACTGCTGCGTGATGTGTGCGTTCAACTCTCAGAGTTTAACTTTTCTTTTCATTCAGCGGTTTGGAAACACTCTGTGTGTAAAGTCTGCACGTGGATATTTTGACCACTTAGAGACCTTCGTTGGAAACGGGATTTTTTCATGTAAGGCTAGACAGAAGAATTCCCAGTAACTTCCTTGTGTTGTGTGCATTCAACTCACAGAGTTGAACGTTCCCTTAGACAGAGCAGATTTGAAACACTCTATTTGAGCAATTTGCAAGTGTAGATTTCAAGCGCTTTAAGGTCAATGGCAGAAAAGGTAATATCTTCGTTTCAAAACTAGACAGAATCATTCCCACAAACTGCGTTGTGATGTGTTCGTTCAACTCACAGAGTTTAACCTTTCTGTTCATAGAGCAGTTAGGAAACACTCTGTTTGTAAAGTCTGTAAGTGGATATTCTGACATCATGTGGCCTTCGTTGGAAACGGGATTTCTTCATATTCTGCTAGACAGAAGAATTCTCAGAAACTTCCTTGTGTTGTGTGTTTTCAACTCACAGAGTTGAACGATCCTTTACACAGAGCAGACTGGAAACACTCCTTTTGTGGAATTTGCAAGTGGAGATTTCAGCCGCTTTGAGGTCAATGGTAGAATAGGAAATATCTTCCTATAGAAAGTAGACAGAATGATTCTCAGAAACTCCTTTGTGATGTGTACGTTCAACTCACAGAGTTTAACCTTTCTTTTCATAGAGCAGTTGGGAAACACTCTGTTTGTAAAGTCTGCAAGTGGATATTCCGACATCCTTGAGGCTTTCGTTGGAAACGGGATTTCTTCATATTCTGCTAGAAAGAAGAATTCTCAGTAACTTCCTTGTGTTGTGTGTATTCAACTCACAGAGTTGAACGATCCTTTACACAGAGCAGACTTGAAACACTCTTTTTGTGGAATTTGCAAGTGGAGATTTCAGCCGCTTTGAGGTCAATGGTAGAATAGGAAATATCTTCCTATAGAAACTAGACATAATCATTCTCAGAAACTGCTGCGTGATGTGTGCCTTCAACTCTCAGAGTTTAACTTTTCTTTTCATTCAGCGGTTTGGAAACACTCTGTTTGTAAAGTCTGCACGTGGATATTTTGACCACTTAGAGGCCTTCGTTGGAAACGGGTTTTTTTCATGTAAGGCTAGACAGAAGAATTCCCAGTAACTTCCTTGTGTTGTGTGCATTCAACTCACAGAGTTGAACGTTCCCTTAGACAGAGCAGATTTGAAACACTCTATTTGTGCAATTTGCAAGTGTAGATTTCAAGCGCTTTAAGGTCAATGGCAGAAAAGGAAATATCTTCGTTTCAAAACTAGACAGAATGATTCTCAGAAACTCCTTTGTGATGTGTGCGTTCAACTCACAGAGTTTAACGTTTCTTTTCATAGAGCAGTTAGGAAACACTCTGTTTGTAAAGTCTGCAAGTGGATATTCAGACATCTTTGAGGCTTTCGTTGGAAACGGGATTTCTTCATATTCTGCTAGAAAGAAGAATTCTCAGTAACTTCCTTGTGTTGTGTGTATTCAACTCACAGAGTTGAATGATCCTTTACACAGAACAGTCTTGAAACACTCTTTTTGTGGAATTTGCAAGTGGAGATTTCAGCCGCTTTGAGGTCAATGGTAGAATAGGAAATATCTTCCTATAGAAACTAGACAGAATGATTCTCAGAAACTCCTTTGTGATGTGTGCGTTCAACTCACAGAGTTCAACCTTTCTTTTCATAGAGCAGTTGGAAAACACTCTGTTTGTAAAGTCTGCAAGTGGATATTCAAACTTCTTTGAGGCCTTCGTTGGAAGCGGGATTTCTTCATATTCTGCTAGACAGAAGGATTCCTAGTAACTTCCTTGTGTTGTGTGTGTTCAACTCACAGAGTTGAACTTTCATTTACAAAGAGCAGATTTGAAACACTCTTTTTGTGGAATTTGCAAGTGGAGATTTCAAGCGCTTTGAGGCCAAAGGCAGAAAAGGAAATATCTTCGTATAAAAACTAGACAGAATCATTCTCAGAAACTGCTGCGTGATGTGTGCGTTCAACTCTCAGAGTTTAACTTTTCTTTTCATTCAGCGGTTTGGAAACACTCTGTTTGTAAAGTCTGCACGTGGATGTTTTGACCACTTAGAGGCCTTCGTTAGAAACTGGTTTTTTTCATGTAAGGCTAGACAGAAGAATTCACAGTAACTTCCTTGTGTTGTGTGCATTCAACTCACATAGTTGAACGTTCCCTTAGACAGAGCAGATTTGAAACACTCTATTTGTGCAATTCGCAAGTGTAGATTTCAAGCGCTTTAAGGTCAATGGCAGAAAAGGAAATATCTTCGTTTCAAAACTAGACAGAATCATTCTCACAAACTGCGTTGTGATGTGTTCGTTCAACTCACAGAGATTAACCTTTCTGTTCATAGAGCAGTGAGGAAACACTCTGTTTGTAAAGTCTGTAAGTGGATATTCTGACATCTTGTGGCCTTCGTTGGAAACGGGATTTCTTCATATTCTGCTAGACAGAAGAATTCTCAGTAACTTCCTTGTGTTGTGTGTATTCAACTCACAGAGTTGAACGATCCTTTACACAGAGCAGACTTGAAACACTCTTTTTGCGGAATTTGCAAGTGGAGATTTCAGCCGCTTTGAGGTCAATGGTAGAATAGGAAATATCGTCCTATAGAAACTAGACAGAAATGATTCTCAGAAACTCCTTTGTGATGTGTGTGTTCAACTCACAGAGTTTAACATTTCTTTTCATAGAGCAGTTAGGAAACACTCTGTTTGTAAAGTCTGCAAGTGGATATTCAGACCTCTTTGAGGCCTTCGTTGGAAACGGGTTTTTTTCATATAAGGCTAGACAGAAGAATTCCCAGTAACTTCCTTGTGTTGTGTGTGTTCAACTCACAGAGTTGAACTTTCATTTACACAGAGCAGATTTGAAACACTCTTTTTGTGGAATTTACAAATGGAGATTTCAAGCGCTTTGAGGCCAAAGGCAGAAAAGGAAATATCTACGTATAAAAACTAGACAGAATCATTCTCAGAAACTGCTGCGTGATGTGTGCGTTCAACTCTCAGAGTTTAACTTTTCTTTACATTCAGCGGTTTGGAAACACTCTGTTTGTAAAGTCTGCACGTGGATATTTTGACCACTTAGAGGCCTTCGATGGAAACGGGATTTTTTCATGTAAGGCTAGACAGAAGAATTCCCAGTAACTTCCTTGTGTTGTGTGCATTCAACTCACAGAGTTGAACGTTCCCTTAGACAGAGCAGATTTGAAACACTCTATTTGTGCAATTTGCAAGTGTAGATTTCAAGCGCTTTAAGGTCAACGGCAGAAAAGGAAATATCTTCGTTTCAAAACTAGACAGAATCATTCCCACAAACTGCGTTGTGATGTGTTCGTTCAACTCACAGAGTTTAACCTTTCTTTTCATAGAGCAGTTAGGAAACAGTCTGTTTGAAAATTCTGTAAGTGGATATTCTGACATCTTGTGGCCTTCGTTGGAAACGGGATTTCTTCATATTCTGCTAGACAGAAGAATTCTCAGTAACTTCCTTGTGTTGTGTGTATTCAACTCACAGAGTTGAACGATCCTTTACAGAGAGCAGACTTGAAACACTCTTTTTGTGGAATTTGCAAGTGGAGATTTCAGCCGCTTTGAGGTCAATGGCAGAAAAGGAAATATCTTCGTATAAAGACTAGACAGAATGATTCTCAGAAACTCCTTTGTGATGTGTGCGTTCAACACACAGAGTTTAACTTTTCTTTTCATAGAGCAGTTAGGAAACACTCTGTTTGTAAAGTCTGCAAGTGGATATTCAGACCTCTTTGAGGCCTTCGTTGGAAACGGGATTTCTTCATATTATGCTAGACAGAATAATTCTCCGTAACTTCCTTGTGTTGTGTGTATTCAACTCACAGAGTTGAACGATCCTTTACAGAGAGCAGACTTGAAACACTCTTTTTGTGGAATTTGCAAGTGGAGATTTCAGCCGCTTTGAGGTCAATGGTAGAATGGGAAATATCTTCCTATAGAAACTAGACAGAATCTTTCTCAGAAACTGCTCTGCGATGTGTGCGTTCACCTCTCAGAGTTTAACTTTTCTTTTCATTCAGCAGTTTGGAAACACTCTGTTTGTAAAGTCTGCACGTGGATATTTTGACCACTTAGAGTCCTTCGTTGGAAACGGGTTTTTTTCATGTAAGGCTAGACAGAAGAATTCCCAGTAACTTCCTTGTGTTGTGTGCATTCAACTCACAGAGATGAACGTTCCCTTAGACAGAGCAGATGTGAAACACTCTATTTGTGCAATTTGCAAGTGTAGATTTCAAGCACTTTAAGGTCAATGGCATAAAAGGAAATATCTTCGTTTCAAAACTAGACAGAATCATTCCCACAAACTGCGTTGTGATGTGTTCGTTCAACTCACAGAGTTTAACCTTTCTTTTCATAGAGCAGTTAGGAAACAGTCTGTTTGTCAATTCTGTAAGTGGATATTCTGACATCTTGTGGCCTTCTTTGGAAACGGGATTTCTTCATATTCTCCTAGACAGAAGAATTCTCAGAATCTTCCTTGTGTTGTGTGTATTCAACTCACACAGTTGAACGATGGTTTACACAGAGCAGATTTGACACACTCTTTTTGTGGAATTTGCAATTGGAAATTTCAGCCGCTTTGAGGTCAATGGTAGAAAAGGAAATATCTTCGTATAAAAACTAGACAGAATGATTCTCAGAAACTCCTTTGTGATGTGTGCGTTCAACTCAAAGAGTTTAACTTTTCTTTTCATAGAGCAGTTAGGAAACACTCTGTTTGTAAAGTCTGCAAGTGGATATTCAGACCTCTTTGAGGCCTTCGTTGGAAACGGGATTTCTTCATATTATGCTAGACAGAAGAATTCTCAGTAACTTCCTTGTGTTGTGTGTAGTCAACTCACAGAGTTGAACGATCCTTTACACAGAGCAGACTTGAAACATTCTTTTTGTGGAATTTGCAAGTGGAGATTTCAGCCGCTTTGAGGTCAATAGTAGAAAAGGAAATATCTTCGTAGAAAAACTAGACAGAATCATTCTCAGAAACTGCTCTGCGATGTGTGCATTCAACTCTCAGAGTTTAATTTTTCTTTTCATTCAGCAGTTTGGAAACATTCTCTTTGTAAAGTCTGCACGTGGATATTTTGACCACTTAGAGGCCTTCGTTGGAAACGGGTTTTATTCTTGTAAGGCTAGACAGAAGAATTCCCAGTAACTTCCTTGTGTTGTGTACATTCAACTCACAGAGTTGAACGTTCCCTTAGACAGAGCAGATTTGAAACACTCTTTTTGTGCAATTGGCAAGTGGAGATTTCAAGCGCTTTGAGGTCAATGGCAGAAAAGGAAATATCTTCCTTTCAAAACTAGACAGAATCATTCCCACAAACTGCGTTGTGATGTGTTCGTTCAACTCACAGAGTTTAACCTTTCTGTTCATAGAGCAGTTAGGAAACACTCTGTTTGTAAAGTCTGTAAGTGGATATTCTGATATCTTGTGGCCTTCGTTGGAAACGGGATTTCTTCATATTCTGCTAGACAGAAGAATTCTCAGAATCTTCCTTGTGTTGTGTGTATTCAACTCACAGAGGTGAACGATCCTTTACACAGAGCAGACTTGAAACACTCTTTTTGTGGAATTTGCAAGTGGAGATTTCAGCCGCTTTGAGGTCCATGGTAGAAAAGGAAATATCTTCGTATAAAAACTAGACAGAATGATTCTCAGAAACTTCATTGTGACGTGTGCGTTCAACTCACAGAGTTTAACCTTTCTTTTCATAGAGCAGTTAGGAAACACTCTGTTTGTAAAGTCTGCAAGTGGATATTCGGACCTCTTTGAGGCCTTCGTTGGAAACGGGATTTCTTCATACTGTGCTAGACAGAAGAATTCTCAGTAACTTCCTTTTGTTGTGTGTATTCAACTGACAGAGTTGAACTTTCATTTAGAGAGAGCAGATTTGAAACACTGTTTTTGTGCAATTTGCAAGTGGAGATTTCAAGCGCTTTGGGGCCAAAGGCAGAAAAGGAAATATCTTCGTATAAAAACTAGACAGAATCATTCTCAGAAACTGCTGCGTGATGTGTGCGTTCAACTCTCAGAGTTTAACTTTTCTTTTCATTCAGCGGTTTGGAAACACTCTGTTTGTAAAGTCTGCACGTGGATATTTTGACCACTTAGAGGCCTTCGTTGGAAACGGTTTTTTTTCATGTAAGGCTAGACAGAAGAATTCCCAGTAACTTCCTTGTGTTGTGTGCATTCAACTCACAGAGTTGAACGTTCCCTTAGACAGAGCAGATTTGAAACACTCTATTTGTGCAATTTGCAAGTGTAGATTTGAAGCGCTTTAAGGTCAATGGCAGAAAAGGAAATATCTTCGTTTCAAAACTAGACAGAATCATTCCCACAAACTGCATTGTGATGTGTTCGTTCAACTCACAGAGTTTAACCTTTCTGTTCATAGAGCAGTTAGGAAACACTCTGTTTGTAAAGTCTGCAAGTGGATATTCAGACCTCCTTGAGGCCTTCGTTGGAAACGGGATTTCTTCATATTCTGCTAGACAGAAGAATTCTCAGTAACTTCCTTGTGTTGTGTGTATTCAACTCACAGAGTTGAACGATCCTTTACACAGAGCAGACTTGAAACACTCTATTTGTAGAATTTGCAAGTGGAGATTTCAGCCGCTTTGAGGTCAATAGTAGAAAAGGAAATATCTTCGTAGAAAAACTAGACAGAATGATTCTCAGAAACTCCTTTGTGATGTGTGTGTTCAACTCACAGAGTTTAACCTTTCTTTTCCTAGAGCAGTTAGTAAACACTCTGTTTATAAAGTCTGCAAGTGGATATTCAGACCCCTTTGAGGCCTTCGTTGGAAACGGGATTTCTTCATATTATGCTAGACAGAAGAATTCTCAGTAACTTCCTTGTGTTGTGTGTATTCAACTGACAGAGTTGTACTTTCATTTAGAGAGAGCAGATTTGAAACACTGTTTTTGTGGAATTTGCAAGTGGAGATTTCAAGCGCTTTGGGGCCAAAGGCAGAAAAGGAAATATCTTCGTATAAAAACTAGACAGAATGATTCTGAGAAACTCCTTTGTGATGTGTGCGTTCAACTCACCGAGTTTAACCTTTCTTTTCACAGAGCAGTTAGGAAACACTCTGTTTGTAAAGTCTGCAAGTGGATATTCAGACCTCCTTGAGGCCTTCGTTGGAAACGGGATTTCTTCATATTATGCTAGACAGAAGAATTCTCAGTAACTTCCTTGTGTTGTGTGTATTCAACTCACAGAGTTGAACGATCCTTTACACAGAGCAGACTTGAAACACTCTTTTTGTGAAATTTGCAAGTGGAGATTCCAGCCGCTTTGTGGTCAATGGTAGAATAGGAAATATCTTCCTATAGAAACTAGACAGAATGATTCTGAGAAACTCCTTTGTGATGTGTGCGTTCAACTCACAGAGTTTAACCTTTCTTTTCATAGAGCAGTTAGGAAACACTCTGTTTGTAAAGTCTGCAAGTGGATATTCAGACCTCCTTGAAGCCTTCGTTGGAAACGGGATTTCTTCATATTATGCTAGACAGAAGAATTCTCAGTAACTTCCTTGTGTTTTGTGTATTCAACTCACAGAGTTGAACGATCCTTTACACAGAGCAGACTTGAAACACTCTTTTTGTGGAATTTGCAAGTGGAGATTTCAGCCGCTTTGAGTTCAATGGTAGAATAGGAAATATCTTCCTATAGAAACTAGACAGAATTATTCTGAGAAACTCCTTTGTGATGTGTGCGTTCAACTCACAGAGTTTAACCTTTCTTTTCATAGAGCAGTTAGGAAACACTCTGTTTGTAAAGTCTGCAAGTGGATATTCAGACCTCCTTGAGGCCTTCGTTGGAAACGGGATTTCTTCATATTATGCTAGACAGAAGAATTCCCAGTAACTTCCTTGTGTTGTGTGTGATCAACTCACAGAGTTGAACTTTCATTTACACAGAGCAGATTTGAAACACTCTTTTTGTGGAATTTGCAGGTGGAGATTTCAAGCGCTTTGAGGCCAAAGGCAGTAAAGGAAATATCTTCGTATAAAAACTAGACAGAATCATTCTCAGAAACTGCTCTGCGATGTGTGCGTTCAACTCTCAGAGTTTAACTTTTCTTTTCATTCAGCAGTTTGGAAACACTCTGTTTGTAAAGTCTGCATGTGGATAACTTGACCACTTAGAGGACTTCGTTGGAAACGGGTTTTTTTCCTGTAAGGCTAGACAGAAGAATTCCCAGAAACTTCCTTGTGTTGTGTACATTCAACTCACAGAGTTGAACGTTCCCTTAGACAGAGCAGATTTGAAACACTCTTTTTGTGCAATTGGCAAGTGGTGATTTCAGCCGCTTTGAGGTCAATGGTAGAAAAGGGAATATCTTCGTATAAAAACTAGACAGAATCATTCCCACAAACTGCGTTGTGATGTGTTCGTTCAACTCACAGAGTTTAACCTTTCTGTTCATAGAGCAGTTAGGAAACACTCTGTTTGTAAAGTCTGTAAGTAGATATTCTGACATATTGTGGCCTTCGTTGGAAACGGGATTTCTTCATATTATGCTAGACAGAAGAATTCTCAGTAACTTCCTTGTGTTGTGTGTATTCAACTCACAGAGTTGAACGGTCCTTTACAGAGAGCAGACTTGAAACACTCTTTTTGTGGAATTTGCAAGTGGAGATTTCAGCCGCTTTGAGGTCAATGGTAAAATAGGAAATATCTTCGTATAGAAACTAGACAGAATGATTCTCAGAAACTCCTTTGTGATGTGTGTGTTCAACTCACAGAGTTTAACCTTTCTTTTCATAGAGCAGTTAGGAAACACTCTGTTTATAAAGTCTGCAAGTGGATATTCAGACCCCTTTGTGGCCTTCGTTGGAAACGGGATTTCTTCATATTATGCTAGACAGAAGAATTCTCAGTAACTTCCTTGTGTTGTGTGTATTCAACTGACAGAATTGAACTTTCATTTAGAGAGAGCAGATTTGAAACACTGTTTTTGTGGTATTTGCAAGTGGAGATTTCAAGCGCTTTGGGGCCAAAGGCAGAAAAGGAAATATCTTCGTATAAAAACTAGACAGAATCATTCTCAGAAACTGCTGCGTGATGTGTGCGTTCAACTCTCAGAGTTTAACTTTTCTTTTCATTCAGCGGTTTGGAAACACTCTGTTTGTAAAGTCTGCACGTGGAAATTTTGACCACTTAGAGGCCTTCGTTGGAAACGGGATTTTTTCATGTAAGGCTAGACAGAAGAATTCCCAGTAACTTCCTTGTGTTGTGTACGTTCAACTCACAGAGTTGAACGTTCCCTTAGACAGAGCAGATTTGAAACACTCTTTTTGTGCAATTGGCAAGTGGAGATTTCAAGCGCTTTAAGTTCAATGGCAGAAAAGGAAATATCTTCGTTTCAAAACTAGACAGAACGATTCTAAGAAACTCCTTTGTGATGTGTGCGTACAACTCACAGAGTTTAACCTTTCTTTTCATAGAGCAGTTAGGAAACACTCTGTTTGTAAAGTCTGCAAGTGGATATTCAGACCTCTTTGAGTCCTTCGTTGGAAACGGGATTTCTTCATATTCTGCTAGACAGAAGAATTCTCAGTAACTTCCTTGTGTTGTGTGTATTCAACTCACAGAGTTGTACGATCCTTTACACAGAGCAGACTTGAAACACTCTTTTTGTGGAATTTGCAAGTGGAGATTTCAGCCGCTTTGAGGTCAATAGTAGAAAAGGAAATATCTTCGTAGAAAAACTAGACAGAATGATTCTCATAAACTCCTTTGTGATGTGTGAGTTCAAATCACAGAGTTTAACTTTTCTTTTCATAGATCAGTTAGGAAACACTCTGTTTCTAAAGTCTGCAAGTGGATATTCAGATCTCTTTGAGGCCTTCGTTGGAAACGGGATTTCTTCATATTATGCTAGACAGAAGAATTCCCAGTAACTTCCTTGTGTTGTGTGTGTTCAACTCACAGAGTTGAACTTTCATTTACACAGAGCAGATTTGAAACACTCTTTTTGTGGAATTTGCAAACGGAGATTTCAAGCGCTTTGAGGCCAAAGGCAGAAAAGGAAATATCTTCGTTTCAAAACTAGACAGAATCATTCTCAGAAACTGCTCTGCGATGTGTGCGTTCAACTCTCAGAGTTTAACTTTTCTTTTCATTCAGCAGTTTGGAAACACTCTGTTTGTAAAGTCTGCACGTGGATATTTTGACCACTTAGAGGCCTTCTTTGGAAACGGGTTTTTTCCTGTAAGGCTAGACAGAAGAATTCCCAGTAACTTCCTTGTGTTGTGTACATTCAACTCACAGAGTTGAACGTTCCCTTAGACAGAGCAGATTTGAAACACTCTTTTTGTGCAATTGGCAAGTGCAAATTTCAAGCGCTTTAAGGTCAATGGCAGAAAAGGAAATATCTTCGTTTCAAAACTACACAGAATCATTCCCACAAACTGCGTTGTGATGTGTTCGTTCAACTCACAGAGTTTAACCTTTCCGTTCATAGAGCAGTTAGGAAACACTCTGTTTGTAAAGTCTGTAAGAGGATATTCTGACATCTTGTGGCCTTCGTTGGAAACGGGATTTCTTCATATTCTGCTAGACAGAAGAATTCTCAGTAACTTCCTTGTGTTGTGTGTATTCAACTCACAGAGTTGAACGATCCTTTACACAGAGCAGACTTGAAACACTCTTTTTGCGGAATTTGCAAGTGGAGATTTCAGCCGCTTTGAGGTCAATGGTAGAATAGGAAATATCTTCCTGTAGAAACTAGACAGAACGATTCTCAGAAACTCCTTTGTGATGTGTGCGTTCAACTCACAGAGTTTAACTTTTCTTTTCATAGAGCCGTTAGGAAACACTCTGTTTGTAAAGTCTGCAAGTGGATATTCAGACCTCTTTGAGGCCTTCGTTAGAAACGGGATTTCTTCCTATTCTGCTAGACAGAAGAATTCTCAGTAACTGCCTTGTGTTGTGTGTATACAACTCACAGAGTTGAACGATCCTTTACACACAGCAGACTTGAAACACTCTTTTTGTGGAATTTGCAAGTGGAGATTTCAGCCGCTTTGAGGTCAATGGTAGAATAGGAAATATCTTCCTATAGAAACTAGACAGAATCATTCTCAGAAACTGCTCTGCGATGTGTGCGTTGAACTCTCAGAGTTTAACTTTTCTTTTCATTCAGCAATTTGGAAACACTCTGTTTGTAAAGTCTGCACGTGGATATTTTGACCACTTAGAGGCCTTCGTTGGAAACGGGTTTTTTTCCTGTAAGGCTAGACAGAAGAATTCCCAGTAACTTCCTTGTGTTGTGTACATTCAACTCACAGAGTTGAACGTTCCCTTAGACAGAGCAGATTTGAAACACTCTTTTTGTGCAATTGGCAAATGGAGATTTCAAGCGCTTTAAGTTCAATGGCAGAAAAGGAAATATCTTCGTTTCAAAACTAGACAGAATCATTCTCAGAAACTGCTCTGCGATGTGTGCGTTCAACTCTCAGAGTTTAACTTTTCTTTTCATTCAGCAGTTTGGAAACACTCTGTTTGTAAAGTCTGCACGTGGATAATTTGACCACTTAGAGGCTTTCGTTGGAAACGGGTTTTTTTCATGTAAGGCTAGACAGAAGAGTTCTCAGTAACTTCCTTGTGTTGTGTGTATTCAACTCACAGAGTTGAACGATCCTTTACACAGAGCAGACTTGGAACACTCTTTTTGTGGAATTTGCAAGTGGAGATTTCAGCCGCGTTGAGGTCAATGGTAGAAAAGGAAATATCTTCGTATAAAAACTAGACAGAATGATTCTCAGAAACTCCTTTGTGATGTGTGTGTTCAACTCACAGAGTTTAACCTTTCTTTTCATAGAGCAGTTAGGAAACACTCTGTTTATAAAGTCTGCAAGTGGATATTCAGACCTCCTTGAGGCCTTCGTTGGAAACGGGATTTCTTCATATTCTGCTAGACAGAAGAATTCCCAGTAACTCCCTTGTGTTGTGTGTGTTCAACTCACAGAGTTGAACTTTCATTTACACAGAGCAGATTTGAAACACTCTTTTTGTGGAATTTGCAAGTGGAGATTTCAAGCGCTTTGAGGCCAAAGGCAGAAAAGGAAATATCTTCGTATAAAAACTACACAGAATTATTCTCAGAAACTGCTGCGTGATGTGTGCGTTCAACTCTCAGAGTTTAACTTTTCTTTTCATTCAGCGGTTTGGAAACACTCTGTTTGTAAAGTCTGCACGTGGATATTTTGACCACTTAGAGGCCTTCGTTGGAAACGGGTTTTTTTTCATGTAAGGCTAGACAGAAGAATTCCCAGTAACTTCCTTGTGTTGTGTACATTCAACTCACAGAGTTGAACGTTCCCTTAGACAGAGCAGATTTGAAACACTCTTTTTGTGCAATTGGCAAATGGAGATTTCAAGCGCTTTAAGGTCAATGGCAGAAAAGGAAATATCTTCGTTTCAAAACTAGACAGAATCATTCCCACAAACTGCGTTGTGATGTGTTCGTTCAACTCACAGAGTTTAACCTTTCTGTTCATAGAGCAGTTAGGAAACACTCTGTTTGTAAAGTCTGTAAGTGGATATTCTGACATCTTGTGGCCTTCGTTGGAAACGGGATTTCTTCATATTCTGCTGGACAGAAGAATTCCCAGTAACTTCCTTGTGTTGTGAGTGTTCAACTCACAGAGTTGAAATTTCATTTACACAGAGCAGATTTGAAACACTCTTTTTGTGGAATTTGCAAGTGGAGATTTCAGCCGCTTTGAGGTCCTTGGTAGAAAAGGAAATATCTTCGTATAAAAACTAGACAGAATGATTCTCAGAAACTCCTTTGTGATGTGTGTGTTCAACTCACAGAGTTTAACCTTTCTTTTCATAGAGAAGTTAGTAAACACTCTGTTTATAAAGTCTGCAAGTGGATATTCAGACCCCTTTGGGGCCTTCGTTGGAAACGGGATTTCTTCATATTATGCTAGACAGAAGAATTCTCAGAATCTTCCTTGTGTTGTGTGTATTCAACTCACACAGTTGAACGATTGTTTACACAGAGCAGATTTGAAACACTCTTTTTGTGGAATTTGCAAGTGGAGATTTCAAGCGCTTTGAGGCCAAAGGCAGAAAAGGAAATATCTTCGTATAAAAACTAGACAGAATCATTCTCAGAAACTGCTCTGCGATGTGTGCATTCAACTCTCAGAGTTTAACTTTTCTTTTCATTCAGCAGTTTGGAAACACTCTGTTTGTAAAGTCTGCACGTGGATATTTTGACCATTTAGAGGCCTTCGTTGGAAACGGGTTTTTTTCTTGTAAGGCTAGACAGAAGAATTCCCAGTAACTTCCTTGTGTTGTGTGCATTCAACTCACAGAGTTGAACGTTCCCTTAGACAGAGCAGATTTGAAACACTCTATTTGTGCAATTTGCAAGTGTGGATTTCAAGCGCTTTAAGGTCAACGGCAGAAAAGGAAATATCTTCGTTTCAAAACTAGACAGAATCATTCCCACAAACTGCGTTGTGATGTGTTCGTTCAACTCACAGAGTTTAACCTTTCTGTTCATAGAGCAGTTAGGAAACACTCTGTTTGTAAAGTCTGTAAGTGGATATTCTGACATCTTGTGGCCTTCGTTGGAAACGGGATTTCTTCCTATTCTGCTAGACAGAAGAATTCTCAGAAACTTCCCTTGTGTTGTGTGTTTTCAACTCACAGAGTTGAACGATCCTTTACACAGAGCAGACTTGAAACACTCCTTTTGTGGAATTTGCAAGTGGAGATTTCAGCCGCTTTGAGGTCAATGGTAGAATAGGAAATATCTTCCTATAGAAACTAGACAGAATGATTCTCAGAAACTTCTTTGTGATGTGTGCGTTCAACTCACAGACTTTAACTTTTCTTTTCATAGAGCAGTTAGTAAACACTCTGTTTGTAAAGTCTGCAAGTGGATATTCAGACCTCTTTGAGGCCTTCGTTGGAAACGGGATTTCTTCATATTCTGCTAGACAGAAGAATTCTCAGTAACTTCCTTGTGTTGTGTGTATTCAACTGACAGAGTTGAACTTTCATTTAGAGAGAGCAGATTTGAAACACTGTTTTTGTGGAATTTGCAAGTGGAGATTTCAAGCGCTTTGGGGCCAAAGGCAGAAAAGGAAATATCTTCGTATAAAAGCTAGACAGAATCATTCTCAGAAACTGCTGCGTGATGTGTGCGTTCAACTCACAGAGTTTAAGTTTTCTTTTCATTCAGCGGTTTGGAAACACTCTGTTTGTAAAGTCTGCACGTGGATATTTTGACCACTTAGAGGCCTTCGTTGGAAACGGGTTTTTATCATGTAAGGCTAGACAGAAGAATTCCCAGTAACTTTCCTTGTGTTGTGTGCAATCAAATCACAGAGTTGAACGTTCCCTTAGACAGAGTAGATTTGAAACACTCTATTTGTGCAATTTGCAAGTGTAGATTTCAAGCGCTTTAAGGTCAAAGGCAGAAAAGGAAATATCTTCGTTTCAAAACTAGACAGAATCATTCCCACAAACTGCGTTGTGATGTGTTCGTTCAACTCACAGAGTTTAACCTTTCTGTTCATAGAGCAGTTAGGAATCACTCTGTTTGTAAAGTCTGTAAGTGGATATTCTGACATCTTGTGGCCTTCGTTTGAAAAGGGATTTCTTCATATTCTGCTAGACAGAAGAATTCCCAGAAACTTCGTTGTGTTGTGTGTTTTCAACTCACAGAGTTCAACGATCCTTTACACAGAGTAGACTTGAAACACTCTTTTTGTGGAATTGGCAGGGTGGAGATTTCAGCCGCTTTGAGGTCAATGGTAGAAAAGGAAATATCTTCGTATAAAAACTAGACAGAGTGATTCTCAGAAACTCCTTTGTGATGTGTGCGTTCAACTCACAGAGTTAAACCTTTCTTTTCATAGAGCAGTTAGGAAACACTCTGTTTGTAAAGTCTGCAAGTGGGTATTCAGACATCCTTGAGGCTTTCGTTGGAAACGGGATTTCTTCATATTCTGCTAGAAAGAAGGATTCCCAGTAACTTCCTTGTGTTGTGTGTGTTCAACTCACAGAGTTGAACTTTCATTTACAAAGAGCAGATTTGAAACACTCTTTTTGTGGAATTTGCAATTGGAGATTTCAAGCGCTTTGAGACCAAAGGCAGAAAAGGAAATATCTTCGTATAAAAACTAGACAGAATCATTCTCAGAAACTGCTCTGCGATGTGTGCGTTCAACTCTCAGAGTTTAACTTTTCTTTTCATTCAGCAGTTTGGAAACACTCTGTTTGTAAAGTCTGCACGTGGATATTTTGACCACTTACAGGCCTTCGTTGGAAACGGGTTTTTTTCATGTAAGGCTAGACAGAAGAATTCCCAGTAACTTCCTTGCGTTGTGTGCATTCAACTCACAGAGTTGAACGTTCCCTTAGACAGAGCAGATTTGAAACACTGTTTTTGTGCAATTTGCAAGTGGAGATTTCAAGTGCTTTAAGGTCAATGGCAGAAAAGGAAATATCTTCGTTTCAAAACTAGACAGAATCATTCCCACAAACTGCGTTGTGATGTGTTCGTTCAACTCACAGATTTAAACTTTTCTTTTCATAGAGCAGTTAGGAAACACTCTGTTTGTAAAGTCTGTAAGTGGATATTCTGACATCTTGTGGCCTTATTGGAAACGGGATTTCTTCATATTCTGCTAGACAGAAGAATTCTCAGTAACTTCCTTGTGTTGTGAGGATTCAACTCACAGAGTTGAACGATCCTTTACACAGAGCAGACTTGAAACACTCTTTTTGTGGAATTTGCAAGTGGAGATTTCAGCCGCTTTGAGGTCAATGGTAGAAAAGGAAACTATCTTCATATAAAGACTAGACAGAATGATTCTCAGAAACTCCTTTGTGATGTGTGTGTTCAACTCACAGAGTTTAACCTTTCTTTTCATAGAGCAGTTAGTAAACACTCTGTTTATAAAGTCTGCAAGTGGATATTCAGACCCCTTGGAGGCCTTCGTTGGAAACGGGATTTCTTCATATTATGCTAGACAGAAGAATTCTCAGTAACTTCCTTGTGTTGTGTGTATTCAACTGACAGAGTTGAACTTTCATTTAGAGAGAGCAGATTTGAAACACTGTTTTTGTGGAATTTGCAATTGGAGATTTCAAGCGCTTTGGGGCCAAAGGCAGAAAAGGAAATATCTTCGTATAAAAACTAGACAGAATCATTCTCAGAAACTGCTCTGCGATGTGTGCGTTCAACTCTCAGAGTTTAATTTTTCTTTTCATTCAGCAGTTTGGAAACACTCTGTTTGTAAAGTCTGCACGTGGATAATTTGACCACTTAGAGGCCTTCGTTGGAAACGGGTTTTTTTCATGTAAGGCTAGACAGAAGAATTCTCAGTAACTTCCTTGTGTTGTGTGTATTCAACTCACAGAGTTGAACGATCCTTTACACAGAGCAGACTTGTAACACTCTTTTTGTGGAATTTGCAAGTGGAGATTTCAGCCTCTTTGAAGTCAAAGGTAGAAAAGGAAATATCTTCCTATAAAAACTAGACAGAATGATTCTCAGAAACTCCTTTGTGATGTGTGTGTTCAACTCACAGAGTTTAACCTTTTTTTTCATAGAGCAGTTAGTAAACACTCTGTTTATAAAGTCTGCAAGTGGATATTCAGACCCCTTTGAGGCCTTCGTTGGAAACGGGATTTCTTCATATTATGCTAGACAGAAGAATTCTCAGTAACTTCCTTGTGTTGTGTTTATTCAACTCACAGAGTTGAATGATCCTTTACACAGAGCAGACTTGAAACACTCTTTTTGTGGAATTTGCAAGTGGAGGTTTCAGCCGCTTTGAGGTCAATGGTAGAAAAGTAAATATCTTCGTATAAAGACTAGACAGAATGATTCTCAGAAACTCCTTTGTGATGTGTGCGTTCAACTCACAGAGTTTAACCTTTCTGTTCATAGAGCTGTTAGGAAACACTCTGTTTGTAAAGTCTGCAAGTGGATATTCAGACCTCCTTTAGGCCTTCGTTGGAAACGGGATTTCTTCATATTCTGCTAGACAGAAGAATTCTCAGTAACTTCCTTGTGTTGTGTGTATTCAACTCACAGAGTTGAACGATCCTTTACACAGAGCAGACTTGAAACACTCTTTTTGTGGAATTTGCAAGTGGAGATTTCAGCCGCTTTGAGGTCAATAGTAGAAAAGGAAATATCTTTGTAGAAAAACTAGACAGAATGATTCTCAGAAACTCCTTTGTGATGTGTGCGTTCAACTCACAGAGTTTAACCTTTCTTTTCATAGAGCAGTTAGGAAACACTCTGTTTGTAAAGTCTGCAAGTGGATATTCAGACCTCTTTGAGGCCTTCGTTGGAAACGGGTTTTTTTCCTATAAGGCTAGACAGAAGAATTCCCAGTAACTTCCTTGTGTTGTGTGCATTCAACTCACAGAGTTGAACGTTCCCTTAGACAGAGCAGATTTGAAACACTCTATTTGTGCAATTTGCAAGTGTAGATCTCAAGCGCTTTAAGGTCAATGGGAGAAAAGGAAATATCTTCGTTTCAAAACTAGACAGAATCATTCCCACAAACTGCGTTGTGATGTGTTCGTTCAACTCACAGAGTTTAACCTTTCTGTTCATAGAGCAGTTAGGAAACACTCTGTTTGTAAAGTCTGTAAGTGGATATTCTGACATCTTGTGGCCTTCGTTGGAAACGGTATTTCTTCCTATTCTGCTAGACAGAAGAATTCTCAGTAACTTCCTTGTGTTGTGTGTATTCAACTCACATAGTTGAACGATCCTTTACACAGAGCAGACTTGAAACACTCTTTTTGTGGAATTTGCAAGTGGAGATTTCAGCCGCTTTGAGGTCAATAGTAGAAAAGGAAATATCTTCGTAGAAAAACTAGACAGAATGATTCTCAGAAACTCCTTTCTGATGTGTGTGTTCAACTCACAGAGTTTAACCTTTCTTTTCATAGAGCAGTTAGTAAACACTCTGTTTATAAAGTCTGCAAGTGGATATTCAGACCCCTTGGAGGCCTTCGTTGGAAACGGGTTTTCTTCATATTATGCTAGACAGAAGAATTCCCAGTAACTTCCATGTGTTATGTGTGTTCAACTCACAGAGTTGAACTTTCATTTACACAGAGCAGATTTGAAACACTCTTTTTGTGGAATTTGCAAATGGAGATTTCAAGCGCTTTGAGGCCAGAGGCAGAAAAGGAAATATCTTCGTTTAAAAACTAGACAGAATGATTCTCAGAAACTCCTTTGTGATGTGTGCGTTCAACTCACAGTAGTTTAACCTTTCTTTTCATAGAGCAGTTAGGAAACACTCTGGTTGTAAAGACTACAAGTGGATATTCAGACCTCTTTGAGGCCTTCGTTGGAAACGGGTTTTTTTCCTGTAAGTCTAGACAGAAGAATTCCCAGTAACTTCCTTGTGTTGTGTACATTCAACTCACAGAGTTGAACGTTCCCTTAGACAGAGCAGATTTGAAACGCTCTTTTTGTGCAATTGGCAAGTGGAGATTTCAAGCGCTTTAAGGTCAATGGCAGAAAAGGAAATATCTTCGTTTCAAAACTAGACAGAATGATTCTCAGAAAATCTTTTGTGATGTGTGCGTTCAACTCACAGAGTTTAACTTTTCTTCTCATAGAGCAGTTAGGAAACACTCTGTAAAGTCTGCAAGTGGATATTCAGACCTCTTTGAGGCCTTCGTTGGAAACGGGATTTCTTCATATTATGCTAGACAGAATAATTCTCAGTAACTTCCTTGTGTTGTGTGTATTCAACTCACAGAGTTGAAGGATCCTTTACAGAGAGCAGGCTTCAAACACTCTTTTTGTCGAATTTGCAAGTGGAGATTTCAGCCGCTTTGAGGTCAATGGTAGAATAGGAAATATCTTCTTATAGAAACTAGACAGAATGATTCTCAGAAACTCCTTTGTGATGTGTGCGTTCAAATCACAGAGTTTAACTTTTCTTTTCATAGAGCAGTTAGGAAACACTCTGTTTGTAAAGTCTGCAAGTGGATATTCAGACCTCTTTGAGGCCTTCGTTGGAAACGGGATTTCTTCATATTATGCTAGACAGAAGAATTCTCAGTAACTTCCTTGTGTTGTGTGTATTCAACTCACAGAGTTGAATGATCCTTTACACAGTACAGTCTTGAAACACTCTTTTTGTGGAATTTGAAAGTGGAGATTTCAGCCGCTTTGAGGTCAATGGTAGAATAGGAAATACCTTCCTATAGAAACTAGACAGAATCATTCTCAGAAACTGCTCTGTGATGTGTGCGTTCAACTCTCAGAGTTTAACTTTTCTTTTCATTCAGCAGTTTGGAAACACTCTGTTTGTAAAGTCTGCACGTGGATATTTTGACCACTTAGAGGCCTTCGTTGGAAACGGGTTTTTTTTCATGTAAGGCTAGACGGTAGAATTCCCAGTAACTTCCTTGTGTTGTGTACATTCAACTCACAGAGTTGAACGTTCCCTTAGACAGAGCAGATTTGAAACACTCTTTTTGTGCAATTGGCAAGTGGAGATTTCAAGCGCTTTAAGGTCAATGGCAGAAAAGGAAATATCTTCGTTTCAAAACTAGACAGAATGATTCTCAGAAAATCTTTTGTGATGTGTGCGTTCAACTCACAGAGTTTAACTTTTCTTCTCATAGAGCAGTTAGGAAACACTCTGTTTGTAAAGTCTGCAAGTGGATATTCAGACCTCTTTGTGGCCTTCGTTGGAAACGGGATTTCTTCATATTATGCTAGACAGAATAATTCTCAGTAACTTCCTTGTGTTGTGTGTATTCAACTCACAGAGTTGAAGGATCCTTTACAGAGAGCAGGCTTGCAACACTCTTTTTGTCGAATTTGCAAGTGGAGATTTCAGCCGCTTTGAGGTCAATGGTAGAATAGGAAATATCTTCTTATAGAAACTAGACAGAATGATTCTCAGAAAGTCCTTTGTGATGTGTGTGTTCAACTCACAGAGTTTAACCTTTCTATTCATAGAGTAGTTAGGAAACACTCTGTTTGTAAAGTCTGCAAGTGGATATTTTGACCTCTTTGAGGCCTTCTTTGGAAACGGGTTTTTTTCATATAAGGCTAGACAGAAGAATTCCCAGTAACTTCCTTGTGTTTTGTGTGTTCAACTCACAGAGTTGAACTTTCATTTACACAGAGCAGATTTGAAACACTCTTTTTGTGGAATTTGCAAGTGGAGATTTCAAGCGCTTTGAGGCCAAAGGCAGAAAAGGAAATATCTTCGTATAAAAACTAGACAGAATCATTCTCAGAAACTGCTCTGCGATGTGTGCGTTCAACTCTCAGAGTTTAACTTTTCTTTTCATTCAGAAGTTTGGAAACACTCTGTTTGTAAAGTCTGCACGTGGATAACTTGACCACTTAGAGGTCTTCGTTGGAAACGGGTTTTTTTCATGTAAGGCTAGACAGAAGAATTCTCAGAATCTTCCTTGTGTTGTGTGTATTCAACTCACAGAGTTGAACGATGGTTTACACAGAGCAGATTTGAAACACTCTTTTGGTGGAATTTGCATGTGGAGATTTCAGCCGCCTTGAGGTCAATGGTAGAAAAGGAAATATCTTCGTATAAAAACTAGACAGAATGATTCTCAGAAACTTCTTTGTGATGTGTGCGTTCAACTCACAGAGTTTAACCTTTCTTTTCATAGAACAGTTAGGAAACACTCTGTTTGTAAACTCTGCAAGTGGATATTCAGACCTCTTTGAGGCCTTCGTTGGAAACGGGATTTCTTCATACTATGCTATATAGAAGAATTCTCAGTAACTTCCTTGTGTTGTGTGTATTCAACTCACAGAGTTGAACGATCCTTTACACAGAGCAGACCTGAAACACTCTTTTTGTGGAATTTGCAAGTGGAGATTTCAGCCGCTTTGAGGTCAATGGTAGAATAGGAAATATCTTCCTATAGAAACTAGACAGAATGATTCTCAGAAACTCCTTTGTGATGTGTGCGTTCAACTCACAGAGTTTAACCTTTCTTTTCATAGAGCAGTTAGGAAACACTCTGTTTGTAAAGTCTGCAAGTGGATATTCAGACATCTTTGAGGCCTTCGTTGGAAACGGGATTTCTTCATGTTCTGCTAGACAGAAGAATTCTCAGAAACTTTCCTTGTGTTGTGTGTTTTCAACTCACAGAGTTGAACGATGCTTTACACAGAGTAGACTTGAAACACTCTTTTTGTGTAATTTGCAAGTGGAGATTTCAGCCGCTTTGAAGTCAATGGTAGAAAAGGAAATATCTTCGTATAAAAACTAGACAGAATCATTCTCAGAAACTGCTGCGTGATGTGTGCGTTCAACTCTCAGAGTTTAACTTTTCTTTTCATTCAGCGGTTTGGAAACACTCTGTTTGTAAAGTCTGCACGTGGAAATTTTGACCACTTAGAGGCCTTCGTTGGAAACGGGTTTTTTTCATGTAAGGCTAGACAGAAGAATTCCCAGTAACTTCCTTGTGTTGTGTGCATTCAACTCACAGAGTTGAACGTTCCCTTAGACAGAGAAGATTTGAAACACTCTATTTGTGCAATTTCCAAGTGTAGATTTCAAGCGCTTTAAGGTCAACGGCAGAAAAGGAAATATCTTCGTTTCAAAACTAGACAGAATCATTCCCACAAACTGCGTTGTGATGTGTTAGTTCAACTCACAGAGTTTAACCTTTCTTTTCATAGAGCAGTTAGGAAACAGTCTGTTTGTCAATTCTGTAAGTGGATATTCTGACATCTTGTGGCCTTCGTTGGAAACGGGATTTCTTCATATTCTGCTAGACAGAAGAATTCTCAGAAACTTCCTTGTGTTCTGTGTATTCAACTCACAGAGTTGAACGATCCTTTACACAGAGCAGACTTGAAACACTCTTTTTGTGGAATTTGCAAGTGGAGATTTCAGTCGCTTTGAGGTCCATGGTAGAAAAGGAAATATCTTCGTATAAAAACTAGACAGAATGATTCTCAGAAACTGCTTTGTGATGTGTGCGTTCAACTCACAGAGTTTAACCTTTCTTTTCATAGAGCAGTTAGGAAACACTCTGTTTGTAAAGTCTGCAAGTGGATATTCAGACATCTTTGAGGCTTTCGTTGGAAACGGGATTTCTTCATATTCTGCTAGACAGAAGAATTCCCAGTAACTTCCTTGTGTTGTGTGTGTTCAACTCACAGAGTTGAACTTTCATTAACACAGAGCAGATTTGAAACACTCTTTTTGTGGAATTTGCAAGTGGAGATTTCAAGCGCTTTGAGGCCAAAGGCAGAAAAGGAAATGTCTTCGTTTCAAAACTAGACAGAATCATTCTCAGAAACTGCTCTGCGATGTGTGAGTTCAACTCTCAGAGTTTAACTTTTCTTTTCATTCAGCAGTTTGGAAACACTCTGTTTGTAAAGTCTCCACGTGGATATTTTGACCATTTAGAGGCTTTCGTTGGAAACGGGTTTTTTTCTTGTAAGGCTAGACAGAAGAATTCCCAGGAACTTCCTTGTGTTGTGTACATTCAACTCACAGAGTTGAACGTTCCCTTAGACAGAGCAGATTTGAAACACTCTTTTTGTGCAATTGGCAAGTGGTGATTTCAGCCGCTTTGAGGTCAATGGTAGAAAAGGAAATATCTTCGTATAAAAACTAGACAGAATTATTCTCATAAACTCCTTTGTGATGTGTGCGTTCAACTCACAGAGTTTAACCTTTCTTTTCATAGAGCAGTTAGGAAACACTCTGTTTGTAAAGTCTGCAAGTGGATATTCAGACCTCTTTGAGGCCTTCGTTGGAAACGGGATTTCTTCATATTCTGCTAGACAGAAGAATTCTCAGAATCTTCCTTGTGTTGTGTGTATTCAACTCACACAGTTGAACGATTGTTTATACAGAGCAGATTTGAAACACTCTTTTTGTGGAATTTGCAAGTGGAGATTTCAGCCGCTTTGAGGTCAATGGTAGAAAAGGAAATATCTTCGTATAAAAACTAGACAGAATGATTCTCAGAAACTTCTTTGTGATGTGTGCGTTCAACTCACAGAGTTTAACCTTTCTTTTCATAGAGCAGTTAGGAAACACTCTGTTTGTAAACTCTGCAAGTGGATATTCAGACCTCTTTGAGGCCTTCGTTGGAAACGGGATTTCTTCAAACTATGCTAGACAGAAGAATTCTCAGAATCTTCCTTGTGTTGTGTGTTTTCAACTCACAGAGTTGAACGATCCTTTACACAGAGCAGACTTGAAACACTCCTTTTGTGGAATTTGCAAGTGGAGATTTCAGCCGCTTTGAGGTCAATGGTAGAATAGGAAATATCTTCGTATAGAAAGTAGACAGAATCATTCTCAGAAACTGCTCTGCGATGTGTGCGTTCAACTCTCAGAGTTTAACTTTTCTTTTCATTCAGCAGTTTGGAAACACTCTGTTTGTAAAGTCTGCACGTGGATATTTTGACCACTTAGAGGCCTTCGTTGGAAACGGGTTTTTTTCCTGTAAGGCTGGACAGAAGAATTCCCAGTAACTTCCTTGTGTTGTGTACATTCAACTCACAGAGTTGAACGTTCCCTTAGACAGAGCAGATTTGAAACACTCTTTTTGTGCAATTGGCAAGTGGAGATTTCAAGCGCTTTAAGGTCAATGGCAGAAAAGGAAATATCTTCGTTTCAAAACTAGACAGAATCATTCCCACAAACTGCGTTGTGATGTGTTCGTTCAACTCACAGAGTTTAACCTTTCTTTTCATAGAGCAGTTAGGAAACACTCTGTTGGTAAATTCTGTAAGTGGATATTCTGACATCTTGTGGCCTCCGTTGGAAACGGGATTTCTTCATATTCTGCTAGACAGAAGAATTCTCAGAATCTTCCCTTGTGTTGTGTGTATTCAACTCACAGAGTTGAACGATCCTTTACACAGAGCAGACTTGAAACACTCTTTTTGTGGAATTTGCAAGTGGACATTTCAGCCGCTTTGAGGTCCATGGTAGAAAAGGAAATATCTTCGTACAAAAACTAGACAGAACGATTCTCAGAAACTCCTTTGTGATGTGTGCGTTGAACTCACAGAGTTTAACCTTTCTTTTCATAGAGCAGTTAGGAAACACTCTGTTTGTAAAGTCTGCAAGTGGATATTCAGACCTCTTTGAGGCCTTCGTTGGAAACGGGATTTCTTCATATTCTGCTAGACAGAAGAATTCTCAGTAACTTCCTTGTGTTGTGTGTATTCAACTGACAGAGTTGAACTTTCATTTAGAGAGAGCAGATTTGAAACACTGTTTTTGTGGAATTTGCAAATGGTGACTTCAAGCGCTTTGGGGCCAAACGCAGAAAAGGAAATATCTTCGTATAAAAACTAGACAGAATCATTCTCAGAAACTGCTCTGTGATGTGTGCGTTCAACTCTAAGAGTTTAACTTTTCTTTTCATTCAGCAGTTTGGAAACACTCTGTTTGTAAAGTCTGCACGTGGATATTTTGACCACTTAGAGGCCTTCTTTGGAAACGGGTTTTTTTTCATGTAAGGCTAGACAGAAGAATTCCCAGTAACTTCCTTGTGTTGTGTACATTCAACTCACAGAGTTGAACGTTCCCTTAGACAGAGCAGATTTGAAACACTCTTTTTGTGCAATTGGCAAATGGAGATTTCAAGCGCTTTAAGGTCAATGGCAGAAAAGGAAATATCTTCGTTTCAAAACTAGACAGAATCATTCCCACAAACTGCGTTGTGATGTGTTCGTTCAACTCACAGAGTTTAACCTTTCTGTTCATAGAGCAGTTAGGAAACACTCTGTTTGTAAAGTCTGTAAGTGGATATTCTGACATCTTGTAGCCTTCGTTGGAAACGGGATTTCTTCATATTCTGCTAGACAGAAGAATTCTCAGTAACTTCCTTGTGTTGTGTGCATTCAACTCACAGAGTTGAAAGATCCTTTACACAGAGCAGGTTAGAAACAATATTTTTGTGGATTTTGCAAGTGGAGATTTCAGCCACTTTGAGGTCAATGGTAGAAAAGGAAATATCTTCATAAAAAAACTACACAGAATGATTCTCAGAAACTCCTTTGTGATGTGTGTGTTCAACTCACAGAGTTTAACGTTTCTTTTCATAGAGCAGTTAGTAAACACTCTGTTTATAAATTCTGCAAGTGGATATTCAGACCTCTTTGAGGTCTTCGTTGGAAACGGGATTTCTTCATATTATGCTAGACAGAAGAATTCTCAGTAACTTCCTTGTGTTGTGTGTATTCAACTGACAGAGTTGAACTTTCATTTAGAGAGAGCAGATTTGAAACACTGTTTTTGTGCAATTTGCAAGTGGAGATTTCAAGCGCTTTGGGGCCAAAGGCAGAAAAGGAAATATCTTCGTATAAAAACTAGACAGAATCATTCTCAGAAACTGCTGCGTGATGTGTGCGTTCAACTCTCAGAGTTTAACTTTTCTTTTCATTCAGCGGTTTGGAAACACTCTGTTTATAAAGTCTGCACGTGGATATTTTGACCACTTAGAGGCCTTCCTTGGAAACGGGTTTTTTTCATGTAAGGCTAGACAGAAGAATTCCCAGTAACTTCCTTGTGTTGTGTGCATTCAACTCACAGAGTTGAACGTTCCCTTAGACAGAGCAGATTTGAAACACTCTATTTGTGCAATTTGCAAGTGTAGATTTCAAGCGCTTTAAGGTCAACGGCAGAAAAGGAAATATCTTCGTTTCAAAACTAGACAGAATGATTCTCAGAAACTCCTTTGTGATGTGTGCGTTCAACTCACAGAGTTTAACCTTTCTGTTCATAGAGCAGTTAGGAAACACTCTGTTTGTAAAGTCTGCAAGTGGATATTCAGACCTCCTTGAGGCCTTCGTTGGAAACGGGATTTCTTCATATTGTGCTAGACAGAAGAATTCTCAGAATCGTCCTTGTGTTGTGTGTATTCAACTCACAGAGTTGAACGATGGTTTACACAGAGCAGATTTGAAACACTCTTTTTGTGGAATTTGCAAGTGGAGATTTCAGCCGCTTTGAGGTCAATGGTAGAAAAGGAAATATCTTCGTATAAAAACTAGACAGAGTGATTCTCAGAAACTCCTTTGTGATGTCTGCGTTCAACTCACAGAGTTTAACCTTTCTTTTCATAGAGCAGTTAGGAAACACTCTGTTTGTAAAGTCTGCAAGTGGATATTCAGACCTCTTTGAGGCCTTCGTTGAAAACGGGATTTCTTCATATTCTGCTAGACAGAAGAATTCTCAGTAACTTCCTTGTGTTGTGTGTATTCAACTCACAGAGTTGAACGATCCTTTACACAGAGCAGACTTGAAACACTCTTTTTGTGGAATTTGCAAGTGGAGATTTCAAGCGCTTTGGGGCCAAAGGCAGAAAAGGACATATCTTCGTATAAAAACTAGACAGAATCATTCTCAGAAACTGCTGCGTGATGTGTGCGTTCAACTCTCAGAGTTTAACTTTTCTTTTCATTCAGCGGTTTGGAAACACTCTGTTTGTAAAGTCTGCACGTGGATATTTTGACCACTTAGAGGTCTTCGTTGGAAACGGGTTTTTTTCATGTAAGGCTAGACAGAAGAATTCTCAGTAACTTCCTTGTGTTGTGTGTATTCAACTCAGAGAGTTGAACGATCCTTTACACAGAGCAGACTTGAAACACTCTTTTTGTGGAATTTGCAAGTGGAGATTTCAGCCGCTTTGAGGTCAATGGTAGAATAGGAAATATTTTCCTATAGAAACTAGACAGAATGATTCTGAGAAACTCCTTTGTGATGTGTGCGTTCAACTCACAGAGTTTAACCTTTCTTTTCATAGAACAGTTAGGAAACACTCTGTTTGTAAAGTCTGCAAGTGGATATTCAGACCTCCTTGAGGCCTTCGTTGGAAACGGGATTTCTTCATATTATGCTAGACAGAAGAATTCTCAGTAACTTCCTTGTGTTGTGTGTATTCAACTCACAGAGTTGAACGATCCTTTACACAGAGTAGACTTGAAACACTCTTTTTGTGGAATTTGCAAGTGGAGATTTCAGCCGCTTTGAGGTCAATGGTAGAATAGGAAATATCTTCCTATAGAAAGTAGACAGAATGATTCTCAGAAACTCCTTTGTGATGTGTGCGTTCAACTCACAGAGTTTAACCTTTCTTTTCATAGAGCAGTTAGGAAACACTCTGTTTGTAAAGTCTGCAAGTGGATATTCAGACCTCCTTGAGGCCTTCGTTGGAAGCGGGATTTCTTCATGTTCTGCTAGACAGAAGAATTCTCAGTAACTTCCCTGTGTTGTGTGTATTCAACTGACAGAGTCGAACTTTCATTTAGAGAGAGCAGATTTGTAACACTGTTTTTGTGGAATTTGCAAGTGGAGATTTCAAGCGCTTTGGGGCCAAAGGCAGAAAAGGAAATATCTTCGTATAAAAACTAGACAGAATCATTCTCAGAAACTGCTCTGCGATGTGTGCGTTCAACTCTCAGAGTTTAACTTTTCTTTTCATTCAGCAGTTTGGAAACACTCTGTTTGTAAAGTCTGCACGTGGATATTTTGACCACTTAGAGGCCTTCGTTGGAAACGGGTTTTTTCCTGTAAGGCTAGACAGAAGAATTCACAGTAACTTCCTTGTGTTGTGTACATTCAACTCACAGAGTTGAACGTTCCCTTAGACAGAGCAGATTTGAAACACTCTTTTTGTGGAATTTGCAAGTGGAGATGTCAAGCGCTTTGAGGCCAAAGGCAGAAAAGGAAATATCTTCGTTTCAAAACTAGACAGAATGATTCTCAGAAACTCCTTTGTGATGTGTGCGTTCAACTCACAGAGTTTAACCTTTCTTTTCATAGAGCAGTTAGGAAACACTCTGTTTGTAATGTCTGCAAGTGGATATTCAGACATCCTTGAGGCTTTCGTTGGAAACGGGATTTCTTCATATTCTGCAAGAAAGAAGAATTCTCAGTAACTTCCTTGTGTTGTGTGTATTCAACTCACAGAGTTGAATGATCCTTTACACAGAACAGTCTTGAAACACTCTTTTTGTGGAATTTGCAAGTGGAGATTTCAGCCTCTTTGAGGTCTATGGTAGAATAGGAAATATCTTCCTATAGAAACTAGACAGAATGATTCTCAGAAACTCCTTTGTGATGTGTGCGTTCAACTCACAGAGTTTAACCTTTCTTTTCATAGAGCAGTTAGGAAACACTCTGTTTGTAATGTCTGCAAGTGGATATTCAGACCTCTTTGAGGCCTTCGTTGGAAACGGGTTTTTTTCATATAAGGCTAGACAGAAGAATTCCCAGTAACTTCCTTGTGTTGTGTGTGTTCAACTCACAGAGTTGAACTTTCATTTACACAGCGCAGATTTGAAACACTCTTTTTGTGGAATTTGCAAGTGGAGATTTCAAGCGCTTTGAGGCCAAAGGCAGAAAAGGAAATATCTTCGTTTCAAAACTAGACAGAATCATTCTCAGAAACTGCTCTGCGATGTGTGCATTCAACTCTCAGAGTTTAATTTTTCTTTTCATTCAGCAGTTTGGAAACACTCTCTTTGTAAAGTCTGCACGTGGATATTTTGACCACTTAGAGGCCTTCGTTGGAAACGGGTTTTATTCTTGTAAGGCTAGACAGAAGAATTCCCAGTAACTTCCTTGTGTTGTGTACATTCAACTCACAGAGTTGAACGTTCCCTTAGACAGAGCAGATTTGAAACACTCTTTTTGTGCAATTGGCAAGTGGAGATTTCAAGCGCTTTAAGGTCAATGGCAGAAAAGGAAATATCTTCGTTTCAAAACTAGACAGAATCATTCCCACAAACTGCGTTGTGATGTGTTCGTTCAACTCACAGAGTTTAACCTTCCTTTTCATAGAGCAGTTAGGAAACAGTCTGTTTGTAAATTCTGTAAGTGGATATTCTGACATCTTGTGGCCTTCGTTGGAAACGGGATTTCTTCATATTCTGCTAGACAGAAGAATTCTCAGTAACTGCCTTGTGTTGTGTGTATTCAAGTCACAGAGTTGAACGATCCTTTACACAGAGCAGACTTGAAACACTCTTTTTGTGGAATTTGCAAGTGGAGATTTCAGCCGCTTTGAGGTCAATGGTAGAATAGGAAATATCTTCCTATAGAAACTAGACAGAATGATTCTCAGAAACTCCTTTGTGATGTGTGCGTTCAACTCACACAGTTTAACCTTTCTTTTCATAGAGCAGTTGGGAAACACTCTGTTTGTAAAGTCTGCAAGTGGATATTCAGACCTCCTTGAGGCCTTCGTTGGAAACGGGATTTCTTCATATTATGCTAGGCAGAAGAATTCCCAGTAACTTCCTTGTGTTGTGTGTGTTCAACTCACAGAGTTGAACTTTTATTTACACAGAGCAGATTTGAAACTCTCTTTTTGTGGAATTTGCAATTGGAGATTTCAAGCGCTTTGAGGCCAAAGGCAGAAAAGGAAATATCTTCGTATAAAAACTAGACAGAATCACTCTCAGAAACTGCTCTGCGATGTGTGCGTTCAACTCTCAGAGTTTAACTTTTCTTTTCATTCAGCAGTTTGGAAACACTCTGTTTGTAAAGTCTGCACGTGGATATTTTGACCACTCAGAGGCCTTCGTTGGAAACGGTTTTTTTTCCTGTAAGGCTAGACAGAAGAATTCCCAGTAACTTCCTTGTGTTGTGTGCATTCAACTCACAGAGTTGAACGTTCCCTTAGACAGAGCAGATTTGAAACACTCTATTTGTGCAATTTGCAAATGTAGATTTCAAGCGCTTTAAGGTCAATGGCAGAAAAGGAAATATCTTCGTTTCAAAACTAGACAGAATCATTCCCACAAACTGCGTTGTCATGAGTTCGTTCAACTCACAGAGTTTAACCTTTCTTTTCATAGAGCAGTTAGGAAACAGTCTGTTTGTAAATTCTGTAAGTGGATATTCTGACATCTTGTGGCCTTCGTTGGAAACGGGATTTCTTCATATTCTGCTAGACAGAAGAATTCTCAGTAACTTCCTTGTGTTGTGTGTATTCAACTCACAGAGTTGAACGATCCTTTACACAGAGCAGACTTGAAACACTCTTTTTGTGGAATTTGCAAGTGGAGATTTCAGCCGCTTTGAGGTCAATGGTAGAAAAGGAAATATCTTCGTATGAAGACTAGACAGAATGATTCTCAGAAACTCCTTTGTGATGTGTGTGTTCAACTCACAGAGTTTAACCTTTCTTTTCATAGAGCAGTTAGTAAATACTCTGTTTATACAGTCTGCAAGTGGATATTCAGACCCCTTTGAGGCCTTCGTTGGAAACGGGATTTCTTCATATTATGCTAGACAGAAGAATTCCCAGTAACTTCCTTGTGTTGTGTGTGTTCAACTCACAGAGTTGAACTTTCATTTACACAGAGCAGATTTGAAACACTCTTTTTGTGGAATTTGCAAGTGGAGATTTCAAGCGCTGTGAGGCCAAAGGCAGAAAAGGAAATATCTTCGTATAAAAACTAGACAGAATCATTCTCAGAAACTGCTGCGTGATGTGTGCGTTCAACTCTCAGAGTTTAACTTTTCTTTTCATTCAGCGGTTTGGAAACACTCTGTTTGTAAAGTCTGCACGTGGATATTTTGACCACTTAGAGGCCTTCGTTGGAAACGGGTTTTTTTTCATGTAAGGCTACACAGAAGAATTCCCAGTAACTTCCTTGTGTTGTGTGCATTCAACTCACAGAGTTGAACGTTCCCTTAGACAGAGCAGATTTGAAACACTCTATTTGTGCAATTTGCAAGTGTAGATTTCAAGCGCTTTAAGGTCAATGGCAGAAAAGGAAATATCTTCGTTTCAAAACTAGACAGAATGATTCTCATAAACTCCTTTGTGATGTGTGCGTTCAACTCACCGAGTTTAACCTTTCTTTTCATAGAGCAGTTAGGAAACACTCTGTTTGTAAAGTCTGCAAGTGGATATTCAGACCTCCTTGGGGCCTTCGTTGGAAACGGGATTTCTTCATATTCTGCTAGACATAAGAATTCTCAGTAACTTCCTTGTGCTGTGTGTATTCAACTCACAGAGTTGAACGATCCTTTACACAGAGCATACTTGTAACACTCTTCTTGTGGAATTTGCAAGTGGAGATTTCAGCCGCTTTGAGGTCAATGGTAGAATAGGAAATATCTTCGTATAAAAACTAGACAGAATGATTCTCAGAAACTCCTTTGTGATGTGTGCGTTCAACTCACAGAGTTTAACCTTTCTTTTCATAGAGCAGTTAGGAAACACTCTGTTTGTAAAGTCTGCAAGTGGATATTCAGACCTCTTTGAGGCCTTCGTTGGAAACGGGTTTTTTACATATAAGGCTAAACAGAAGAATTCCCAGTAACTTCCTTGTGTTGTGTGTGTTCAACTCACAGAGTTGAACTTTCATTTACACAGAGCAGATTTGAAACACTCATTTTGTGGAATTTGCAAGTGGAGATTTCAAGCGCTTTGAGGCCAAAGGCAGAAAAGGAAATATCTTCGTTTCAAAACTAGACAGAATCATTCTCAGAAACTGCTCTGCGATGTGTGCGTTCAACTCTCAGAGTTTAACTTTTCTTTTCATTCAGCAGTTTGGAAACACTCTGTTTGTAAAGTCTGCACGTGGATAATTTGACCACTTAGAGGCCTTCGTTGGAAACGGGTTTTTTTCATGTAAGGCTAGACAGAAGAATTCCCAGTAACTTCCTTGTGTTGTGTGCATTCAACTCACAGAGTTGAACGTTCCTTTAGACAGAGCAGATTTGAAACACTCTATTTGTGCAATTTGCAAGTGTAGATTTCAAGCGCTTTAAGGTCAACGGCAGAAAAGGAAATATCTTCGTTTCAAAACTAGACAGAATCATTCCCACAAACTGCGTTGTGATGTGTTCGTTCAACTCACAGAGTTTAACCTTTCTTTTCATACAGCAGTTAGGAAACACTCTGTTTGTAAACTCTGCAAGTGGATATTCAGACCTCTTTGAGGCCTTCGATGGAAACGGGATTTCTCCATACTATGCTAGACAGAAGAATTCTCAGTAACTTCCTTGTGTTGTGTGTATTCAACTCACAGAGTTGAACGATCCTTTACACAGAGCAGACTTGAAACACTCTTTTTGTGGAATTTGCAAGAGGAGATTTCAGCCGCTTTGAGGTCAATAGTAGAAAAGGAAATATCTTCGTAGAAAAACTAGACAGAATGATTCTCAGAAACTCCTTTGTGATGTGTGCGTTCAACTCACAGAGTTTAACCTTTCTTTTCATAGAGCTGTTAGGAAACACTCTGTTTGTAAAGTCTGCAAGTGGATATTCAGAACTCTTTGAGGCCTTCGTTGGAAACGGGATTTCTTCTTATTCTGCTAGAGAGAAGAATTCCCAGTAACTTCCTTGTGTTGTGTGTGTTCAACTCACAGAGTTGAACTTTCATTTACACAGAGCAGATTTGAAACACTCTTTTTGTGGAATTTGCAAGTGGAGATTTCAAGCGCTTTGAGACCAAAGGCAGAAAAGGAAATATCTTCGTATAAAAACTAGACAGAATCATTCTAAGAAACTGCTCTGCGATGTGTGCGTTCAACTCTCAGAGTTTAACTTTTCTTTTCATTCAGCAGTTTGGAAACACTCTGTTTGTAAAGTCTGCACGTGGATAACTTGACCACTTAGAGGCCTTCGTTGGAAACGGGTTTTTTTCATGTAAGGCTAGACAGAAGAATTCCCAGTAACTTCCTTGTGTTGTGTGCATTCAACTCACAGAGTTGAACGTTCCCTTAGACAGAGCAGATTTGAAACACTCTATTTGTGCAATTTACAAGTGTAGTTTTCAAGCTCTTTAAGGTCAACGGCAGAAAAGGAAATATCTTCGTTTCAAAACTAGACAGAATCATTCCCACAAACTGCGTTGTGATGTGTTCGTTCAACTCAGAGAGTTTAACCTTTCTGTACATAGAGCAGTTAGGAAACACTCTGTTTGTAAAGTCTGTAAGTGGATATTCTGACATCTTGTGGCCTTCGTTGGAAACGGGATTTCTTCATATTCTGCTAGACAGAAGAATTCTCAGTAACTTCCTTGTGTTGTGTGTATTCAACTCACAGAGTCGAACGATCCTTTACACAGAGCGGACTTGAAACACTCGTTTTGTGGAATTTGCAAGTGGAGATTTCAGCCGATTTGAGGTCAATGGTAGAAAAGGAAATATCTTCGTATAAAAACTAGACAGAGTGATTCTCAGAAACTCCTTTGTGATGTCTGCGTTCAACTCACAGAGTTTAACCTTTCTTTTCATAGAGCAGTTAGGAAACACTCTGTTTGTAAAGTCTGCAAGTGGATATTCAGACCTCCTTGAGGCCTTCATTGGAAACGGGATTTCTTCATATTCTGCTATACAAAAGAATTCTCAGAAACTTCCTTGTGTTGTGTGTATTCAACTCACAGAGTTGAACGATCGTTTACACAGAGCAGACTTGAGACACTCTTTTTGTGGAATTTGTAAGTGGAGATTTCAGCCGCTTTGAGGTCAATGGTAGAAAAGGAAATATCTTCATATAAAAAGTAGACAGAATGATTCTCAGAATCTCCTTTGTGATGTGTGCGTTCAACTCACAGAGTTTAACCTTTCTTTTCATAGAGCAGTTAGGAAACACTCTGTTTGTAAAGTCTGCAAGTGGATATTCAGACCTCTTTGAGGCCTTCGTTCGAAACGGGTTTTCTTCATATTATGCTAGACAGAAGAATTCCCAGTAACTTCCTTGTGTTGTGTGCATTCAACTCACAGAGTTGAACGTTCCCTTAGACAGAGCAGATTTGAAACACTCTATTTGTGCAATTTGCAAGTGTAGATTTCAAGCGCTTTAAGGTCAACGGCAGAAAAGGAAATATCTTCGTTTCAAAACTAGACAGAATGATTCTCAGAAACTTCATTGTGACGTGTTCGTTCAACTCACAGAGTTTAACCTTTCTTTTCATAGAGCAGTTAGGAAACACTCTGTTTGTAAAGTCTGCAAGTGGATATTCAGACCTCTTTGAGGCCTTCGTTGGAAACGGGATTTCTTCATACTGTGCTAGACAGAAGAATTCTCAGTAACTTCCTTGTGTTGTGTGTATTCAACTCACAGAGTTGAACGATCCTTTACACAGAGCGGACATGAAACACACTTTTTGTGGAATTTGCAAGTGGAGATTTCAGCCGCGTTGAGGTCAATGGTAGAAAAGGAAATATCTTCGTATAAAAACTAGACAGAATGATTCTCAGAAACTCCTTTGTGATGTGTGTGTCCAACTCACAGAGTTTAACCTTTCTTTTCATAGAGCAGTTAGGAAACACTCTGTTTGTAAAGTCTGCAAGAGGATATTCAGACCTCTTTGAGGCCTTCGTTGGAAACGGGTTTTTTTCATATAAGGCTAGACAGAAGAATTCCCAGTAACTTCCTTGTGTTGTGTGTGTTCAACTCACAGAGTTGAACTTTCATTTACACAGAGCAGATTTGAAACCCTCTTTTTGTGGAATTTGCAAATGGAGATTTCTGCCGCGTTGAGGTCAATGGTAGAAAAGGAAATATCTTCGTTTCAAAACTAGACAGAATCATTCTCAGAAACTGCTCTGCGATGTGTGCGTTCAACTCTTAGAGTTTAACTTTTCTTTTCAGTCAGCAGTTTGGAAACACTCTGTTTGTAAAGTCTGCACGTGGATATTTTGACCACTTAGAGGCCTTCGTTGGAAACGGGTTTTTTTCCTGTAACGCTAGACAGAAGAATTCCCAGTAACTTCCTTGTGTTGTGTGCATTCAACTCACAGAGTTGAACGTTCCCTTAGACAGAGCAGATTTGAAACACTCTATTTGTGCAATTTGCAAGTGTAGATTTCAAGCGCTTTAAGGTCAATGGCAGAAAAGGAAATTTCTTCGTTTCAAAACTAGACAGAATGATTCTCAGAAACTCCTTTGTGATGAGTGTGTTCAACTCACAGAGTTTAACCTTTCTTTTCATAGAGCAGTTAGGAAACACTCTGTTTGTAAACTCTGCAAGTGGATATTCAGACCTCTTTGAGGCCTTCGTTGGAAACGGGATTTCTTCATACTGTGCTAGACAGAAGAATTCTCAGTAACTTCCTTGTGTTGTGTGTATTCAACTCACAGAGTTGAACGATCCTTTACACAGAGCGGACTTGAAACACTCTTTTTGTGGAATTTGCAAGTGGAGATTTCAGCCGCGTTGAGGTCAATGGTAGAAAAGGAAATATCTTCGTATAAAAACTAGACAGAATGATTCTCAGAAACTCCTTTGTGATGTGTGCCGTTCAACTCACAGAGTTTAACCTTTCTTTACATAGAGCAGTTAGGAAACACTCTGTTTGTAAAGTCTGCAAGTGGATATTCAGACCTCTTTGAGGCCTTCGTTGGAAACGGGTTTTTTTCATATAAGGCTAGACAGAAGAATTCTCAGTAACTTCCTTGTGTTGTGTGTATTCAACTGACAGAGTTGAACTTTGATTTAGAGAGAGCAGATTTGAAACACTGTTTTTGTGGAATTTGCAGGTGGAGATTTCAAGCGATTTGGGGCCAAATGCAGAAAAGGAAATATCTTCGTATAAAAACTAGACAGAATCATTCTCAGAAACTGCTGCTTGATGTGTGCGTTCAACTCACAGAGTTTAACTTTTCTTTTCATTCAGCGGTTTGGAAACACTCTGTTTGTAAAGTCTGCACGTGGATATTTTGACCACTTAGAGGCCTTCGTTGGAAACGGGATTTTTTCATGTAAGGCTAGACAGAAGAATTCCCAGTAACTTCCTTGTGTTGTGTGCATTCCACTCACAGAGTTGAACGTTCCCTTAGACAGAGCAGATTTGAAACACTCTATTTGTGCAATTTGCAAATGTAGATTTCAAGCGCTTTAAGGTCAATGGCAGGAAAGGAAATATCTTCGTTTCAAAACTAGACAGAATGATTCTCAGAAACTTCTTTGTGATGTGTGCGTTCAACTCACAGAGTTTAACCTTTCTTTTCATAGAGCAGTTAGGAAACAGTCTGTTTGTCAATTCTGTAAGTGGATATTCTGACATCTTGTGGCCTTCGTTGGAAACGGGATTTCTTCATACTATGCTAGACAGAAGAATTCTCAGTAACTTCCTTGTGTTGTGTGTATTCAACTCACAGAGTTGCACGATCCTTTACACAGAGCAGACTTGAAACACTCTTTTTGTGGAATTTGCAAGTGGAGATTTCAGCCGCTTTGAGGTCAATGGTAGAATAGGAAATATCTTCCTATAGAAACTAGACAGAATGATTCTCAGAAACTCCTTTGCGATGTGTGCGTTCAACTCACAGAGTTTAACCTTTCTTTTCATAGAGCAGTTAGGAAACACTCTGTTTGTAAAGTCTGCAAGGGGATATTCAGACCTCTTTGAAGCCTTCGTTGGAAACGGGATTTCTTCATGTTATGCTAGACAGAAGAATTCCCAGTAACTTCCTTGTGTTGTGTGTGTTCAACTCACAGAGTTGAACTTTCATTTACACAGAGCAGATTTGAAACACTCTTTTTGTGGAATTTGCAAATGGAGATTTCAAGCGCTTTGAGGCCAAAGGCAGAAAAGGAAATGTCTTCGTTTCAAAACTAGACAGAATCATTCTCAGAAACTGCTGCGTGATGTGCGCGTTCAACTCTCAGAATTTAACTTTTCTTTTCATTCAGCGGTTTGGAAACACTCTGTTTGTAAAGTCTGCACGTGGATATTTTGACCACTTAGAGGCCTTCGTTGGAAACGGGTTTTTTGCATGTAAGGCTAGACAGAAGAATTCTCAGTAACTTCCCTTGTGTTGTGTGCATTCAACTCACAGAGTTGAACGTTCCCTTAGACAGAGCAGATTTGAAACAGCCTATTTTTGCAATTTGCAAGTGTAGATTTCAAGCGCTTTAAGGTCAACGGCTGAAAAGGAAATATCTTCCTTTCAAAACTAGACAGAACGATTCTCAGAAACTCCTTTGTGATGTGTGCGTTCAACTCATAGAGTTTAACCTTTCTTTTCATAGAGCAGTTAGGAAACACTCTGTTTGTAAAGTCTGCAAGTGGATATTCAGACCTCTTTGAGGCCTTCGTTGGAAACGGGATTTCTTCATATTCTGCTAGACAGAAGAATTCTCAGTAACTTCCTTGTGTTGTGTGTATTCAACTCACAGAGTTGAACGATCCTTTACACAGAGCAGACTTGAAACACTCTTTTTGTGGAAATTGCAATTGGAGGTTTCAGCCGCTTTGAGGTCAATGGTAGAAAAGGAAATATCTTCGTATAAAAACTAGACAGAATGATTCTCAGAAACTCCTTTGTGATGTGTGCGTTCAACTCACAGAGTTTAACCTTTCTGTTCATAGAGCAGTTAGGAAACACTCTGTTTGTAAAGTCTGGAAGTGGATATTCAGACCTCCTTGAGGCCTTCGTTGGAAACGGTATTTCTTCATATTCTGCTAGACAGAAGAATTCTCAGTAACTTCCTTGTGTTGTGTGTATTCAACTGACAGAGTTGAACTTTCATTTAGACAGAGCAGATTTGAAACACTCTTTTTGTGGAATTTGCAAAGGTAGATTTCATGCGCTTTGAGGCCAAAGGCAGAAAAGGAAATATCTTCGTATAAAAACTAGACAGAATCATTCTCAGAAACTGCTCTGCGATGTGTGCGTTCAACTCTCAGAGTTTAACTTTTCTTTTCATTCAGCAGTTTGGAAACACTCTGTTTGTAAAGTCTGCAAGTGGATGTTTTGACCACTTAGAGGCCTTCGTTGGAAACGGGTTTTTTTCATGTAAGGCTAGACAGAAGAATTCCCAGTAACTTCCTTGTGTTGTGTGCATTCAACTCACAGATTTGAACGTTCCCTTAGACAGAGCAGATTTGAAACACTCTTTTTGTGCAATTGGCAAGTGGAGATTTCAAGCGCTTTAAGGTCAATGGAAGAAAAGGAAATATCTTCGTTTCAAAACTAGACAGAATCATTCCCACAAACTGCGTTGTGATGTGTTCGTTCAACTCACAGAGTTTAACCTTTCTTTTCATAGAGCAGTTAGGAAACAGTCTGTTTGTAAATTCTGTAAGTGGATATTCTGACATCTTGTGGCCTTCGTTGGAAACGGGATTTCTTCATATTCTGCTAGACAGAAGAATTCTCAGAAACTTCCTTGTGTTGTGTGTTTTCAACTCACAGAGTTGAACGATGCTTTACACAGAGTAGACTTGAAACACTCTTTTTGTGTAATTTGCAAGTGGAGATTTCAGCCGCTTTGAGGTCAATGGTAGAAAAGGAAATATCTTAATATAGAAACTAGATAGAATGATTCTCAGAAACTCCTTTGTGATGTGTGCGTTCAACTCACAGAGTTTGACCTTTCTTTTCATAGAGCAGTTAGGAAACACTCTGTTTGTAAAGTCTGCAACTGGATATTCAGACCTCTTTGAGGCCTTCGTTGGAAACGGGTTTTTTTCATATAAGGCTAGACAGAAGAATTCCCAGTAACTTCCTTGTGTTGTGTGTGTTCAACTCACAGAGTTGAACTTTCATGTACACAGAGCAGATTTGAAACACTCTTTTTGTGGAATTTGCAAGTGGAGATTTCAAGCGCTTTGAGGCCAAAGGCAGAAAAGGAAATAACTCCGTTTCAAAACTAGACAGAATCATTCTCAGAAACTGCTCTGCGATGTGTGCGTTCAACTCTTAGAGTTTAACTTTTCTTTTCATTCAGCAGTTTGGAAACACTCTGTTTGTAAAGTCTGCACGTGGATAATTTGACCACTTAGAGGCCTTCGTTGGAAACGGGTTTTTTTCATGTAAGGCTAGACAGAAGAATTCCCAGTAACTTCCTTGTGTTGTGTACATTCAACTCACAGAGTTGAACGTTCCCTTAGACAGAGCAGATTTGAAACACTCTTTTTGTGCAATTGGCAAATGGAGATTTCAAGCGCTTTAAGGTCAATGGCAGAAAAGGAAATATCTTCGTTTCAAAACCAGACAGAATGATTCTCAGAAACTCCTTAGTGATGTGTGTGTCCAACTCACAGGGTTTAAACTTTCTTTTCATAGAGCAGTTAGCAAACACTCTGTTTGTAAAGTCTGCAAGAGGATATTCAGACCTCTTTGAGGCCTTCGTTGGAAACGGGTTTTTTTCATATAAGGCTAGACAGAAGAATTCCCAGTAACTTCCTTGTGTTGTGTGTGTTCAACTCACAGAGTTGAACTTTCATTTACACAGAGCAGATTTGAAACACTCTTTTTGTGGAATTTGCAAATGGAGATTTCAGCCGCGTTGAGGTCAACGGTAGAAAAGGAAATATCTTCGTTTCAAAACTAGACAGAATCATTCTCAGAAACTGCTCTGCGATGTGTGCGTTCAACTCTCAGAGTTTAACTTTTCTTTTCATTCAGCAGTGTGGAAACACTGTGTTTGTAAAGTCTGCACGTGGATATTTTGACCACTTACAGGCCTTCGTTGGAAACGGGTTTTTTTCCTGTAAGGCTAGACAGAAGAATTCCCAGTAACTTCCTTGTGTTGTGTGCATTCAACTCACAGAGTTGAACGTTCCCTTAGTCAGAGCAGATTTGAAACACTCTATTTGTGCAATTTGCAAGTGTAGATTTCAAGCGCTTTAAGGTCAATGGCAGAAAAGGAAATATCTTCGTTTCAAAACTAGACAGAATGATTCTCAGAAACTCCTTTGTGATGTGTGCGTTCAACTCACAGAGTTTAACCTTTCTTTTCATAGAGCAGTTAGGAAACACTCTGGTTGTAAAGTCTGCAAGTGGATATTCAGACCTGCTTGAGGCCTTCGTTGGAAACGGGATTTCTTCATATTATGCTAGACAGAAGAATTCTCAGTAACTTCCTTGTGTTGTGTGTACTCAACTCACAGAGTTCAACGATCCTTTACACAGAGCAGACTTCAAACACTCTTTTTGTGGAATTTGCAAGTGGAGATTTCAGCCGCTTTGAGGTCAATGGTAGAATAGGAAATATCTTCCTATAGAAACTAGACAGAATGATTCTCAGAAACTCCTTTGTGACGTGTGTGCCCAACTCACAGAGTTTAACCTTTCTTTTCATAGAGCTGTTAGGAAACACTCTGTTTGTAAAGTCTGCAAGAGGATATTCAGACCTCTTTGAGGCCTTCGTTGGAAACGGGTTTTTTTCATATAAGGCTAGACAGAAGAATTCCCAGTAACTTCCTTGTGTTGTGTGTGTTCAACTCACAGAGTTGAACTTTCATTTAAACAGAGCAGATTTGAAACACTCTTTTTGTGGAATTTGCAAATGGAGATTTCAGCCGCGTTGAGGTCAATGGTAGAAAAGGAAATATCTTCGTTTCAAAACTAGACAGAATCATTCTCAGAAACTGCTCTGCGATGTGTGCGTTCAACTCTCAGAGTTTAACTTTTCTTTTCATTCAGCAGTGTGGAAACACTCTGTTTGTAAAGTCTGCACGTGGATATTTTGACCACTTAGAGGCCTTCGTTGGAAACGGGTTTTTTTCCTGTAAGGCTAGACAGAAGAATTCCCAGTAACTTCTTTGTGTTGTGTGCATTCAACTCACAGAGTTGAACGTTCCCTTAGAGAGAGCAGATTTGAAACACTCTATTTGTGCAATTTGCAAGTGTAGATTTCAAGCGCTTTAAGGTCAATGACAGAAAAGGAAATATCTTCGTTTCAAAACTAGACAGAATCATTCCCACAAACTGCGTTGTGATGTGTTCGTTCAACTCACAGAGTTTAACCTTTCTTTTCATAGAGCAGTTAGGAAACACTCTGTTGGTAAATTCTGTAAGTGGATATTCTGACATCTTGTGGCCTTCGTTGGAAACAGGATTTCTTCATATTCTGCTACACAGAAGAATTCTCAGTAACTTCCTTGTGTTGTGTGTATTCAACTCACAGAGTTGAACGATCCTTTACACAGAGCGGACTTGAAACACACTTTTTGTGGAATTTGCAAGTGGAGATTTCAGCCGCTTTGAGGTCCATGGTAGAAAAGGAAATATCTTCGTATAAAAACTAGACAGAGTGATTCTCAGAAACTCCTTTGTGATGTCTGCGTTCAACTCACAGAGTTTAACGTTTCTTTTCATAGAGCAGTTAGGAAACACTCTGTTTGTAAAGTCTGCAAGTGGATATTCAGACCTCCTTGAGGCCTTCGTTGGAAACGGGATTTCTTCATATTCTGCTATACAGAAGAATTCTCAGTAACTTCCTTGTGTTGTGTGTATTCAACTGACAGAGTTGAACTTTCATTTAGAGAGAGCAGATTTGAAACACTGTTTTGGTGGAATTTGCAAGTGGAGATTTCAAGCGATTTGGGGCCAAAGGCAGAAAAGGAAATATCTTCGTATAAAAACTAGACAGAAATCATTCTCAGAAACTGCTCTGCGATGTGTGCGTTCAACTCTCAGGAGTTTAACTTTTCTTTTCATTCAGCAGTTTGGAAACACTCTGTTTGTAAAGTCTGCACGTGGATATTTTGACCACTTAGAGGCCTTCGTTGGAAACGGGTTTTTTTCCTGTAAGGCTAGACAGAAGAATTCTCAGTAACTTTCCTTGTGTTGTGTGTATTCAACTGACAGAGTTGAACTTTCATTTAGAGAGAGCTGATTTGAAACACTGTTTTTGTGGAATTTGCAAGTGGAGATTTCAAGCGCTTTGGGGCCAAAGGCAGAAAAGGAAATATCTTCGTATAAAAACTAGACAGAATCATTCTCAGAAACTGCTCTGCGATGTGTGCGTTCAACTCTCAGTGTTTAACTTTTCTTTTCATTCAGCAGTTTGGAAACACTCTGTTTGTAAAGTCTGCACGTGGATAATTTGACCACTTAGAGGTCTTCGTTGGAAACGGGTTTTTTTCATGTAAGGCTAGACAGAAGAATTCTCAGAATCTTCCTTGTGTTGTGTGTATTCAACTCACAGAGTTGAACGATGGTGTACACAGAGCAGATTTGAAACACTCTTTTTGTGGAATTTGCAAGTGGAGATTTCAGCCGCTTTGAGGTAAATGGTAGAAAAAGAAATATCTTCGTATAAAAACTAGACAGAATGATTCTCAGAAACTTCTTTGTGATGTGTGCGTTCAACTCACAGAGTTTAACCTTTCTTTTCATAGAGCAGTTAGGAAACACTCTGTTTGTAAACTCTGCAAGTGGATATTCAGACCTCTTTGAGGCCTTCGTTGGAAACGGGTTTTTTTCATGTAAGGCTAGACAGAAGAATTCTCAGTAACTTCCTTGTGTTGTGTGTATTCAACTTACAGAGTTGAACTTTCATTTACACAGAGCAGATTTGAAACACTCTTTTTGTGGAATTTGCAAATGGAGATTTCAAGCGCTTTGAAGCCAAAGGCAGAAAAGGAAATATCTTCCTATAAAAACTAGACAGAATGATTCTCAGAAACTCCTTTGTGATGTGTGCGTTCAACTCACAGAGTTTAACCTTTCTTTTCATAGAGCAGTTAGGAAACACTCTGCTTGTAAAGTCTGCAAGTGGATATTCAGCCCTCTTTGAGGCCTTTGTTGGAAACGGGTTTTTTTCATATAAGGCTAGACAGAAGAATTCCCAGTAACTTCCTTGTGTTGTGTACATTCAACTCACAGAGTTGAACGTTCCCTTAGACAGAGCAGATTTGAAACACTCTTTTTGTGCAATTGGCAAGTGGAGATTTCAAGCGCTTTAAGGTCAATGGCAGAAAAGGAAATATCTTCGTTTCAAAACTAGACAGAATGATTCTCAGAAACTCCTTTGTGATGTGTGCGTTCAACTCACAGAGTTTAACCTTTCTTTTCATAGAGCAGTTAGGAAACACTCTGTTTGTACTGTCTGCAAGTGGATATTCAGACATCCTTGAGGCTTTCGTTGGAAACGGGATTTCTTCATATTCTGCTAGAAAGAAGAATTCTCAGTAACTTCCTTGTGTTGTGTGTATTCAACTCACAGAGTTGAACGATCCTTTACACAGAGCAGACTTGAAACACTCTTTTTGTGGAATTTGCAAGTGGAGATTTCAGCCGCTGTGAGGTCAATGGTAGAATAGGAAATATCTTCCTATAGAAACTAGACAGAATGATACTCAGAAACTCCTTTGTGATGTGTGTGTTCAACTCACAGAGTTTAACCTTTCTTTTCATAGAGCAGTTAGTAAACACTCTGTTTATAAAGTCTGCAAGTGGATATTCAGACCCCTTTGAGGCCTTCGTTGGAAACGGGATTTCTTCATATTATGCTAGAAAGAAGAATTCTCAGTAACTTCCTTGTGTTGTGTGTATTCAACTGACAGAGTTGAACTTTCATTTAGAGAGAGCAGATTTGAAACACTGTTTTTGTGGAATTTGCAAGTGGAGATTTCAAGAGCTTTGGGTCCAAAGGCAGAAAAGGAAATATCTTCGTACAAAAACTAGACAGAATCATTCTCAGAAACTGCTGCGTGATGTGTGGGTTCAACTCTCAGAGTTTAACTTTTCTTTTCATTCAGCGGTTTGGAAACACTCTGTTTGTAAAGTCTGCACGTGGATATTTTGACCACTTAGAGGCCTTCGTTGGAAAAGGGTTTTTTTCATGTAAGGCTAGACAGAAGAATTCCCAGTAACTTCCTTGTGTTGTGTGCATTCAACTCACAGAGTTGAACGTTCCCTTAGACAGAGCAGATTTGAAACACTCTATTTGTGCAATTTGCAAGTGTAGATTTCAAGCGCTTTAAGGTCAACGGCAGAGAAGGAAATATCTTCGTTTCAAAACTAGACAGAACGATTCTCAGAAACTCCTTTGTGATGTGTGCTTTCAACTCACAGAGTTTAACCTTTCTTTTCATAGAGCAGTTAGGAAACACTCTGTTTGTAAAGTCTGCAAGTGGATATTCAGACCTCCTTGAGGCCTTCGTTGGAAACGGGATTTCTTCATATTCTGCTAGACAGAAGAATTCTCAGTAACTTCCTTGTGTTGTGTGTATTCAACTCACAGAGTTGAATGATCCTTTACACAGAGCAGACTTGAAACACTCTTTTTGTGGAATTTGCAAGTGGAGATTTCAGCCGCTTTGAGGTCAATGGTAGAAAAGTAAATATCTTCGTATAAAGACTAGACAGAAATGATTCTCAGAAACTTCTTTGTGATGTGTGCGTTCAACTCACAGAAGTTTAACCTTTCTTTTCATAGAGCAGTTGGGAAACACTCTGTTTTTAAAGTCTGCAAGTGGATATTCAGACCTCTTTGAGGCCTTCGTTGGAAACGGGTTTTTTTCATGTAAGGCTAGACAGAAGAATTCTCAGTAACTTCCTTGTATTGTGTGTATTCAACTCACAGAGTTGAACGATCCTTTACACAGAACAGACTTGAAACACTCTTTTTGTGGAATTTGCAAGTGGAGATTTCAGCCGCTTTGAGGTCAATGGTAGAATAGGAAATATCTTCCTATAGAAACTAGACAGAATGATTCTCAGAAACTCCTTTGTGATGTGTGCATTCAACTCACAGAGTTTAACCTTTCTTTTCATTGAGCAGTTAGGAAACACTCTGTTTGTAAAGTCTGCAAGTTGATATTCAGACCTCTTTGAGGCCTTCGTTGGAAACGGGATTTCTTCATATTATGCTAGACAGAAGAATTCCCAGTAACTTCCTTGTGTTGTGCACATTCAACTCACAGAGTTGAACGTTCCCTTAGACAGAGCAGATTTGAAACACTCTTTTTGTGCAATTGGCAAGTGGTGATTTCAGCCTCTTTGAGGTCAATGGTAGAAAAGGAAATATCTTCGTATAAAAACTAGACAGAATGATTCTCAGAAACTTCTTTGTGATGTGTGCGTTCAACTCACAGAGTTTAACCTTTCTTTTCATAGAGCAGTTAGGAAACACTCTGTTTGTAAACTCTGCAAGTGGATATTCAGACCTGTTTGAGGCCTTCTTTGGAAACGGGATTTCTTCATACTATGCTAGACAGAAGAATTCTCAGTAACTTCCTTGTGTTGTGTGTATTCAACTCACAGAGTTGAACAATCCTTTACACAGAGCAGACTTGTAACACTCTTTTTGTGGAATTTGCAAGTGGAGATTTCAGCCGCTTTGAAGTCAAAGGTAGAAAAGGAAATATCTTCCTATAAAAACTAGACAGAATGATTCTCAGAAACTCCTTTGAGATGTGTGCGCTCAACTCACAGAGTTTAACCTTTCTTTTCATAGAGCAGTTAGGAAACACTCTGTTTGTAAAGTCTGAAGGTGGATATTCAGACCTCTTTGAGGCCTTCGTTGGAAATGGGTTTTTTCATATAAGGCTAGACAGAAGAATTCCCAGTAACTTCCTTGTGTTGTGTGTGTTCAACTCACAGAGTTGAACTTTCATGTACACAGAGCAGATTTGAAACACTCTTTTTGTGGAATTTGCAAATGGAGATTTCAAGCGCTTTGAGGCCAAAGGCAGAAAAAGAAATATCTTCGTATAAAAACTAGACAGAAATCATTCTCAGAAACTGCTCTGCGATGTGTGCGTTCAACTCTCAGGAGTTTAACTTTTCTTTTCATTCAGCAGTTTGGAAACACTCTGTTTGTAAAGTCTGCACGTGGATATTTTGACCACTTAGAGGCCTTCGTTGGAAACGGGTTTTTTTCCTGTAAGGCTAGACAGAAGAATTCCCAGTAACTTCCTTGTGTTGTGTGCATTCAACTCACAGAGTTGAACGTTCCCTTAGACAGAGCAGATTTGAAACACTCTATTTGTGCAATTTGCAAGTGTAGATTTCAAGCGCTTTAAGGTCAACGGCAGAAAAGGAAATATCTTCGTTTCAAAACTAGACAGAATGATTCTCAGAAACTCCTTTGTGATGTGTGCGTTCAACTCACAGAGTTCAACCTTTCTTTTCATAGAGCAGTTGGGAAACACTCTGTTTGTAAAGTCTGCAAGTGGATATTCAGTCTTCTTTGAGGCCTTCGTTGGAAGCGGGATTTCTTCATATTCTGCTAGACAGAAGAATTCTCAGTAACTGCCTTGTGTTGTGTGTATTCAACTCACAGAGTTGAACGATCCTTTACACAGAGCAGACTTGAAACACTCTTTTTGTGGAATTTGCAAGTGGAGATTTCAGCCGCTTTGAGGTCAATGGTAGAATAGGAAATATCTTCCTATAGAAACTAGACAGAATGATTCTTAGAAACTCCTTTGTGATGTGTGCGTTCAACTCACAGAGTTTAACCTTTCTGTTCATAGAGCTGTTAGGAAACACTCTGTTTGTAAAGTCTGCAAGTGGATATTCAGACCTCCTTTAGGCCTTCGTTGGAAACGGGATTTCTTCATATTCTGCTAGACAGAAGAATTCCCAGTAACTTCCTTGTGTTGTGTGTGTTCAACTCACAGAGTTGAACTTTGATTTACACAGAGCAGATTTGAAACACTCTTTTTGTGGAATTTGCAAGTGGAGATTTCAAGCGCTTTGAGGCCAAAGGCAGAAAAGGGAATATCTTCGTATAAAAACTAGACAGAACGATTCTCAGAAACTTCTTTGTGATGTGTGCGTTCAACTCACAGAGTTAAAACTTTCTTTTCATAGAGCAGTTAGGAAACACTCTGTTTGTAAAGACTGCACGTGGATATTCAGACCTCTTTGAGGCCTTCGTTGGAAACGGGTTTTTTTCCTGTAAGCCTAGACAGAAGAATTCCCAGTAACTTCCTTGTGTTGTGTACATTCAACTCACAGAGTTGAACGTTCCCTTAGACAGAGCAGATTTCAAACACTCTTTTTGTGCAATTGGCAAGTGGAGATTTCAAGCGCTTTAAGGTCAATGGCAGAAAAGGAAATATCTTCGTTTCAAAACTAGACAGAATTATTCCCACAAACTGCGTTGTGATGTGTTCGTTCAACTCACAGAGTTTAACCTTTCTTTTCATAGAGCAGTTAGGAAACACTCTGTTTGTAAATTCTGTAAGTGGATATTCTGACATCTTGTGGCCTTCGTTGGAAACGGGATTTCTTCATATTCTGCTAGACAGAAGAATTCTCAGAATCTTCCTTGTGTTGTGTGTATTCAACTCACAGAGTTGAACGATCCTTTAAACAGAGCGGACTTGAAACACTCTTTTTGTGGAATTTGCAAGTGGAGATTTCAGCCGCTTTGAGGTCAATGGCAGAAAAGGAAATATCTTCGAATAAAAACTAGACAGAATGATTCTCAGAAACTCCTTTGTGATGTGTGCGTTCAACTCACAGAGTTTAACTTTTCTTTTCATAGAGCAGTTAGGAAACACTCTGTTTGTAAAGTCTGCAAGTGGATATTCAGACCTCTTGAGGCCTTCGTTGGAAACGGGATTTCTTCATATTATGCTAGACAGAATAATTCTCAGTAACTTCCTTGTGTTCTCTGTATTCAACTCACAGAGTTGAACGATCCTTTACAGAGAGCAGACTTGAAACACTCTTTTTGTGGAATTTGCAAGTGGAGATTTCAGCCGCTTTGAGGTCAATGGTAGAAAAGGCAATATCTTCGTATAAAGACTAGACAGAATGATTCTCATAAACTCCTTTGTGATGTGTGCGTTCAACTCACAGAGTTTAACTTTTCTTTTCATAGAGCAGTTAGGAAACACTCTGTTTGTAAAGTCTGCAAGTGGATATTCAGACCTCTTTGAGGCCTTCGTTGGAAATGGGATTTCTTCATATTATGCTAGACAGAAGAATTCCCAGTAACTTCCTTGTGTTGTGTGCATTCAACTCACAGAGTTGAACGTTCCCTTAGACAGAGCAGATTTGAAACACTCTATTTGTGCAATTTGCAAGTGTAGATTTCAAGCGCTTTAAGGTCAATGGCAGAAAAGGAAATATCTTCGTTTCAAAACTAGACAGAATCATTCCCACAAACTGCGTTGTGATGTGTTTCTTCAACTCACAGAGTTTAACCTTTCTGTTCATAGAGCAGTTAGGAAACGCTCTGTTTGTAAAGTCTGTAAGTGGATATTCTGACATCTTGTGGCCTTCGTTGGAAACGGGATTTCTTCCTATTCTGCTAGACAGAAGAAATCTCAGTAACTTCCTTGTGTTGTGTGTATTCAACTCACAGAGTTGAACGATCCTTTACACAGAGCAGATTTGAAACAATGTTTTTGTGGAATTTGCAAGTGGAGATTTCAGCCGCTTTGAGGTCAATGGCAGAAAAGGAAATATCTTCTTATAGAAACTAGACAGAATGATTCTCAGAAACTCCTTTGTGATGTGTGTGTTCAACTCACAGAGTTTAACCTTTCTTTTCATAGAGCAGTTAGTAAACACTCTGTTTATAAAGTCTGCAAGTGGATATTCAGACCCCTTGAGGCCTTCGTTGGAAACGGGATTTCTTCATATTATGCTAGACAGAAGAATTCTCAGTAACTTCCTTGTGTTGTGTGTATTCAACTGACAGAGTTGAACTTTCATTTAGAGAGAGCAGATTTGAAACACTGTTTTTGTGGAATTTGCAAGTGGAGATTTCAAGCGCTTTGGGGCCAAAGGCAGAAAAGGAAATATCTTCGTTTAAAAACTAGACAGAATCATTCTCAGAAACTGCTGCGTGATGTGTGCGTTCAACTCTCAGAGTTTAACTTTTCTTTTCATTCAGCGGTTTGGAAACACTCTGTTTGTAAAGTCTGCACGTGGAAATTTTGACCACTTAGAGGCCTTCGTTGGAAACGGGTTTTTTTCATGTAAGGCAAGACAGAAGAATTCCCAGGAACTTCCTTGTGTTGTGTACATTCAACTCACAGAGTTGAACGTTCCCTTAGACAGAGCAGATTTGAAACACCCTTTTTGTGCAATTGGCAAGTGGTGATTTCAGCCGCTTTGAGGTCAATGGTAGAAAAGGAAATATCTTCGTATAAAAACTAGACAGAATCATTCCCACAAACTGCGTTGTGATGTGTTCGTTCAACTCACAGAGTTTAACCTTTCTGTTCACAGAGCAGTTAGGAAACACTCTGTTTGTAAAGTCTGTAAGTGGATATTCTGACATCTTGTGGCCTTCGTTGGAAACGGGATTTCTTCATATTCTGCTAGACAGAGAAGATTCTCAGAAACTTCCTTGTGTTGTGTGTTTTCAACTCACAGAGTTGAACGATGCTTTACACAGAGTAGACTTGAAACACTCTTTTTGTGTAATTTGCAAGTGGAGATTTCAGCCGCTTTGAAGTCAATGGTAGAAAAGGAAATATCTTCGTATAAAAACTAGACAGATGATTCTCAGAAACTCCTTTGTGATGTGTGCGTTCAACTCACAGAGTTTAACCTTTCTTTTCATAGAGCAGTTAGGAAACACTCTGTTTGTAAAGTCTGCAAGTGGATATTCAGACCTCCTTGAGGCCTTCGTTGGAAACGGGATTTCTTCATATTCTGCTAGACAGAAGAATTCTCAGTAACTTCCTTGTGTTGTGTGTGTTCAACTCACAGAGTTGAACTTTCATTTACACAGAGCAGATTTGAAACACTCTTTTTGTGGAATTTGCAAATGGAGATTTCAAGCGCTTTGAGGCCAAAGGCAGAAAAGGAAATCTCTTCGTATAAAAACTAGACAGAATCATTCTCAGAAACTGCTGCGTGATGTGTGCGTTCAACTCTCAGAGTTTAACTTTTGTTTTCATTCAGCGGTTTGGAAACACTCTGTTTGTAAAGTCTGCACGTGGATATTTTGACCACTTAGAGGCCTTCGTTGGAAACGGGTTTTTTTCATGTAAGGCTAGACAGAAGAATTCCCAGTAACTTCCTTGTGTTGTGTGCATTCAACTCACAGAGTTGAACGTTCCCTTAGACAGAGCAGATTTGAAACACTCTATTTGTGCAATTTGCAAGTGTAGATTTCAAGCGCTTTAAGGTCAATGGCAGAAAAGGAAATATCTTCGTTTCAAAACTAGACAGAATCATTCCCACAAACTGCGTTGTGATGTGTTCGTTCAACTCACAGAGTTTAACCTTTCTTTTCATAGACCAGTTAGGAAACAGTCTGTTTGTCAATTCTGTAAGTGGATATTCTGACATCTTGTGGCCTTCGTTGGAAACGGGATTTCTTCATATTCTGCTAGACAGAAGAATTCTCAGAATCTTCCTTGTGTTGTGTGTATTCAACTCACACAGTTGAACGATTGTTTACACAGAGCAGATTTGAAACACTCTTTTTGTGGAATTTGCAAGTGGAGATTTCAGCCGCATTGAGGTCAATGGTAGAAAAGGAAATATCTTCGTATAAAAACTAGACAGAATGATTCTCAGAAACTCCTTTGTGATGTGTGCGTTCAACTCATAGAGTTTAACCTTTCTTTTCATAGAGCAGTTAGGAAACACTCTGTTTGTAAAGTCTGCAAGTGGATATTCAGACCTCTTTGAGGCCTTCGTTGGAAACGGGATTTCTTCATATTCTGTTAGACAGAAGAATTCTCAGTAACTTCCTTGTGTTGTGTGTATTCAACTCACAGAGTTGAACGATCCTTTACACAGAGCAGACTTGAAACACTCTTTTTGTGGAATTTGCAAGTGGAGATTTCAGCCGCTTTGAGGTCAATAGTAGAAAAGGAAAACTATCTTCATATAAAGACTAGACAGAATCATTCTCAGAAACTGCTCTGTGATGTGTGCGTTCAGCTCTCAGAGTTTAACTTTTCTTTTCATTCAGCAGTTTGGAAACACTCTGTTTGTAAAGTCTGCACGTGGATATTTTGACCACTTAGAGGCCTTCGTTGGAAACGGGTTTTTTTCCTGTAAGGCTAGACAGAAGAATTCTCAGTAACTTCCTTGTGTTGTGTGTATTCAACTCACAGAGTTGAATGATCCTTTACACAGAGCAGACTTGAAACACTCTTTTTGTGGAATTTGCAAGTGGAGATTTCAGCCGCTTTAAGTTCAATGGTAGAATAGGAAATATCTTCCTATAGAAACTAGACAGAATGATTCTCAGAAACTCCTTTGTGATGTGTGCGTTCAACTCACAGAGTTCAACCTTTCTTTTCATAGAGCAGTTGGGAAACACTCTGTTTGTAAAGTCTGCAAGTGGATATTCAGACTTCTTTGAGACCTTCGTTGGAAGCGGGATTTTTACATATTCTGCTACACAGAAGAATTCTCAGTAACTTCCTTGTTTTGTGTGTATTCAACTCACAGAGTTGAACGATCCTTTACACAGAGCAGACTTGAAACACTCTTTTTGTGGAATTTGCAAGTGGAGATTTCAGCCGCTTTGAGGTCAATGGTAGAATAAGAAATATCTTCCTATAGAAACTAGACAGAGTGATTCTCAGAAACTCCTTTGTGATGTCTGCGTTTAACTCACAGAGTTTAACCTTTCTTTTCATAGAGCAGTTAGGAAACACTCTGTTTGTAAAGTGTGCAAGTGGATATTCAGACCTCCTTGAGGCCTTCGTTGGAAACGGGATTTCTTCATATTATGCTAGACAGAAGAATTCCCAGTAACTTCGTTGTGTTGTGTACATTCAACTCACAGAGTTGAACGTTCCCTTAGAGAGAGCAGATTTGAAATACTCTTTTTGTGCAATTGGCAAGTGGAGATTTCAAGCGCTTTAAGGTCAATGGCAGAAAAGGAAATATCTTCGTTTCAAAACTAGACAGAATCATTCTCAGAAACTGCTGCGTGATGTGTGCGTTCAACTCTCAGAGTTTAACTTTTCTTTTCATTCAGCGGTTTGGAAACACTCTGTTTGTAAAGTCTGCACGTGGATATTTTGACCACTTAGAGGCCTTCGTTGGAAACGGGTTTTTTTCATGTAAGGCTAGACAGAAGAATTCCCAGTAACTTCCTTGTGTTGTGTGCATTCAACTCACAGAGTTGAACGTTCCCTTAGACAGAGCAGATTTGAAACACTCCATTTGTGCAATTTGCAAGTGTAGATTTCAAGCGCTTTAAGGTCAATGGCAGAAAAGGAAATATCTTCGTTTCAATACTAGACAGAATGATTCTCAGAAACTCCTTTGTGATGTGTGCATTCAACTCACAGAGTTTAACCTTTCTTTTCACAGAGCAGTTAGGAAACACACTGTTTGTAAAGTCTGCAAGTGGATATTCAGACCTCCTTGAGGCCTTCGTTGGAAACGGGATTTCATCATATTATGCTAGACAGAAGAATTCTCAGTAACTTCCTTGTGTTGTGTGTATTCAACTCACAGAGTTGAACGATCCTTTACACAGAGCAGACTTGAAACACTCTTTTTGTGGAATTTGCAAGTGGAGATTTCAGCCGCTTTGAGGTCAATGGTAGAATAGGAAATATCTTTCTATAGAAACTAGACAGAATGATTCTCAGAAAATCCTTTGTGATGTGTGCGTTCAACTCACAGAGTTTAACCTTTCTTTTCATAGAGCAGTTAGGAAACACTCTGTTTGTAAAGTCTGCAAGTGGATATTCAGACCCCCTTGAGGCCTTCGTTGGAAACGGGATTTCTACATATTATGCTAGACAGAAGAATTCTCAGTAACTTCCTTGTGTTGTGTGTATTCAACTCACAGAGTTGAACGATCCTTTACACAGAGCAGACTTGAAACACTCTTTTTGTGGAATTTGCAAGTGGAGATTTCAGCCGCTTTGAGGTCAATGGTAGAATAGGAAATATCTTCCTATAGAATCTAGACACAACGATTCTCAGAAACTCCTTTGTGATGTGTGCGTTCAACTCACAGAGTTTAACCTTTCTTTTCATAGAGCAGTTAGGAAACACTCTGTTTGTAAAGTCTGCAAGTGGATATTCAGACCTCTTTGAGGCCTTCGTTGGAAACGGGTTTTTTTCATATAAGGCTAGACAGAAGAATTCCCAGTAACTTCCTTGTGTTGTGTGCATTCAACTCACAGAGTTGAACGTTCCCTTAGACAGAGCAGATTTGAAACACTCTATTTGTGCAATTTGCAAGTGTAGATTTCAAGCGCTTTAAGGTCAATGGCAGAAAAGGAAATATCTTCGTTTCAAAACTAGACAGAATCATTCCCACAAACTGCGTTGTGATGTGCTCGTTCAACTCACAGAGTTTAACATTTCTGTTCATAGAGCAGTTAGGAAACACTCTGTTTGTAAAGTCTGTAAGTGGATATTCAGACATCTTGTGGCCTTCGTTGGAAACGGGATTTCTTCCTATTCTGCTAGACAGAAGAATTCTCAGTAACTTCCTTGTGTTGTGTGTATTCAACTCACAGAGTTGAACGATCCTTTACAGAGAGCAGACTTGAAACACTCTTTTTGTGGAATTTGCAAGTGGAGATTTCAGCCGCTTTGAGGTCAATGGTAGAATAGGAAATATCTTCCTATAGAAACTAGACAGAATGATTCTCAGAAACTTCTTTGTGATGTGTGCGTTGAACTCACAGAGTTTAACCTTTCTTTTCATAGAGCAGTTAGGAAACACTCTGTTTGTAAACTCTGCAAGTGGATATTCAGACCTCTTTGAGGCCTTCGTTGGAAACGGGATTTCTTCATATTATGCCTGAGAGAAGAATTCCCAGTAACTTCCTTGTGTTGTGTGTGTTCAACTCACAGAGTTGAACTTTCATTTACACAGAGCAGATTTGAAACACTCTTTTTGTGGAATTTGCAAATGGAGGTTTCAAGCCCTTTGAGGCCAAAGGCAGAAAAGGAAATATCTTCGTATAAAAACTAGACAGAATCATTCTCAGAGACTGCTCTGTGATGTGTGCGTTCAACTCTCAGAGTTTAACTTTTCTTTTCATTCAGCAGTTTGGAAACACTCTGTTTGTAAAGTCTGCACGTGGATAATTTGACCACTTAGAGACCTTCGTTGGAAACGGGTTTTTTTCATGTAAGGCTAGACAGAAGAGTTCTCAGTAACTTCCTTGTGTTGTGTGTATTCAACTCACACAGTTGAACGATCCTTTACAGAGAGCAGACTTGTAACACTCTTTTTGTGGAATTTGCAAGTGGAGATTTCAGCCGCTTTGAAGTCAAAGTAGAAAAGGAAATATCTTCCTATAGAAACTAGACAGAATCATTCCCACAAACTGCGTTGTGATGTGTTCGTTCAACTCACAGAGTTTAACCTTTCTTTTCATAGAGCAGTTAGGAAACAGTCTGTTTGTAAATTCTGTAAGTGGATACTCTGACATCATGTGGCCTTCGTTGGAAACGGGATTTCTTCATATTCTGCTAGACAGAAGAATTCTCAGAATCTTCCTTGTGTTGTGTGTATTCAACTCACAGAGTTGAACGATGGTTTACACAGAGCAGATTTGAAACACTCTTTTTGTGGAATTTGCAAGTGGAGATTTCAGCCGCTTTGAGGTCAATGGTAGAAAAGGAAATATCTTCGGTATAAAAACTAGACAGAATGATTCTCAGAAACTCCTTTGTGATGTGTGCGTTCAACTCACAGAGATTAACTTTTCTTTTCATAGAGCAGTTAGGAAACACTCTGTTTGTAAAGTCTGCAAGTGGATATTCAGACCTCTTTGTGGCCTTCGTTGGAAACGGGATTTCTTCATATTATGCTACACAGAAGAATTCAAGTAACTTCCTTGTGTTGTGTGTGTTCAACTCACAGAGTTGAACTTTGATTTACACAGAGCAGATTTGAAACACTCTTTTTGTGGAATTTGCAAGTGGAGATTTCAAGCGCTTTGAGGCCAAAGGCAGAAAAGGAAATACCTTCGTATAAAAACTAGACAGAATCATTCTCAGAAACTGCTGCGTGATGTGTGCGTTCAACTCTCAGAGTTTAACTTTTCTTTTCATTCAGCGGTTTGGAAACACTCTGTTTGTAAAGTCTGCACGTGGATATTTTCACCACTTAGAGGCCTTCGTTGGAAACGGGTTTTTTCATGTAAGGCTAGACAGAAGAATTCCCAGTAACTTCCTTGTGTTGTGTGCATTCAACTCACAGAGTTGAACGTTCCCTTAGACAGAGCAGATTTGAAACACTCTATTTGTGCAATTTGCAAGTGTAGATTTCAAGCGCTTTAAGGTCAACGGCAGAAAAGGAAATATCTTCGTTTCAAAACTAGACAGAATCATTCCCACAAACTGCGTTGTGATGTGTTCGTTCATCTCACAGAGTTTAACCTTTCTTTTCGTAGAGCAGTTAGGAAACAGTCTGTTTGTAAATTCTGTAAGTGGATATTCTGACATCTTGTGGCCTTCGTTGGAAACGGGATTTCTTCATATTCTGCTAGACAGAAGAATTCTCAGTAACTTTCCTTGTGTTGTGTGTATTCAACTCACAGAGTTGAACGATCCTTTACACAGAGCAGACTTGAAACACTCTTTTTGTGGAATTTGCAAGTGGAGATTTCAGCCGCTTTGAGGTCAATGGTAGAAAAGGAAATATCTTCGTATAAAGACTAGACAGAATGATTCTCATAAACTCCTTTGTGATGTGTATGTTCAACTCACAGAGTTTAACTTTTCTATTCATAGAGTAGTTAGGAAACACTCTGTTTGTAAAGTCTGCAAGTGGATATTTTGACCTCTTTGAGGCCTTCGTTGGAAACGGGTTTTTTTCATGTAAGGCTAGACAGAAGAATTCCCAGTAACTTCCTTGTGTTGTGTGTGTTCAACTCACAGAGTTGAACTTTCATTTACACAGAGCAGATTTGAAACACTCTTTTTGTGGAATTTGCAAGTGGAGATTTCAAGCGCTTTGAGGCCAAAGGCAGAAAAGGAAATATCTTCGTATAAAAACTTGACAGAATCATTCTCAGAAACTGCTGCGTGATGTGTGCGTTCCACTCTCAGAGTTTAACTTTTCTTTTCATTCAGCGGTTTGGAAACACTCTGTTTGTAAAGTCTGCACGTGGATATTTTGACCACTTAGAGGCCTTCGTTGGAAACGGGTTTTTTTTCATGTAAGGCTAGACAGAAGAATTCCCAGTAACTTCCTTGTGTTGTGTGCATTCAACTCACAGAGTTGAACGTTCCCTTAGACAGAGCAGATTTGAAACACTCTATTTGTGCAATTTGCAAGTGTAGATTTCAAGCGCTTTAAGGTCAACGGCAGAAGAGGAAATATCTTCGTTTCAAAACTAGACAGAATCGTTCTCAGAAACTGCTCTGCGATGTGTGCGTTCAACTCTCAGAGTTTAACTTTTCTTTTCATTCAGCAGTTTGGAAACACTCTGTTTGTATAGTCTGCACGTGGATAATTTGACCACTTAGAGGCCTTCGTTGGAAACGGGTTTTTTTCATGTAAGGCTAGACAGAAGAATTCTCAGTAACTTCCTTGTGTTGTGTGTATTCAACTCACACAGTTGAACGATCCTTTACACATAGCAGACTTGTAACACTCTTTTTGTGGAATTTGCAAGTGGAGATTCCAGCCGCTTTGAAGTCAAATGTAGAAAAGGAAATATCTTCCTATAAAAACTAGACAGAATGATTCTCAGAAACTCCTTTGTGATGTGTGCGTTCAACTCACAGAGTTTAACCTTTCTTTTCATAGAGCAGTTAGGAAACACGCTGTTTGTAAAGTCTGCAAGTGGATATTCAGACCTGTTTGAGGCCTTCGTTGGAAACGGGTTTTTTTCATATAAGGCTAGACAGAAGAATTCTCAGTAACTTCCTTGTGTGGTGTGTATTCAACTGACAGAGTTGAACTTTCATTTAGAGAGAGCAGATTTGAAACACTGTTTTTGTGGAATTTGCAAGTGGAGATTTCAAGCGCTTTGGGGCCAAAGGCAGAAAAGGAAATATCTTCGTATAAAAACTAGACAGAAACATTCTCAGAAACTGATGCGTGATGTGTGCGTTCAACTCTCAGAGTTTAACTTTTCTTTTCATTCAGCGGTTTGGAAACACTCTGTTTGTAAAGTCTGCACGTGGAAATTTTGACCACTTAGAGGCCTTCGTTGGAAACGGGTTTTTTTCATGTAAGGCTAGACAGAAGAATTCCCAGTAACTTCCTTGTGTTGTGTACATTCAACTCACAGAGTTGAACGTTCCCTTAGACAGAGCAGATTTGAAACACTCTTTTTGTGCAATTGGCAAGTGGTGATTTCAGCCGCTTTGAGGTCAATGGTAGAAAAGGAAATATCTTCGTATAAAAACTAGACAGAACGATTCACAGAAACTCCTTTGTGATGTGTGCGTTCAACTCACAGAGTTTAACCTTTCTTTTCATAGAGCAGTTAGGAAACACTCTGTTTGTAAAGTCTGCAAGTGGATATTCAGACCTCTTTGAGGCCTTCGTTGGAAACGGGATTTCTTCATATTCTGCTAGACAGAAGAATTCTCAGTAACTTCCTTGTGTTGTGTGTATTCAACTCACAGAGTTGAACGATCCTTTACACAGAGCAGACTTGAAACACTCTTTTTGGGGAATTTGCAAGTGGAGATTTCAGCCGCTTTGAGGTCAATGGTAGAAAAGGAAACTATCTTCATATAAAGACTAGACAGAATGATTCTCAGAAACTCCTTTGTGATGTGTGCGTTCAACTCACAGAGTTTAACCTTTCTGTTCATAGAGCAGTTAGGAAACACTCTGTTTGTAAAGTCTGCAAGTGGATATTCAGACCTCCTTGAGGCCTTCGTTGGAAACGGGATTTCTTCATATTCTGCTAGACAGAAGAATTCCCAGTAACTTCCTTGTGTTGTGTGTGTTCAACTCACAGAGTTGAACTTTCATTTACACAGAGCAGATTTGAAACACTCTTTTTGTGGAATTTGCAAGTGGAGATTTCAAGCGCTTTGAGGCCAAAGGCAGAAAAGGAAATATCTTCGTTCCAAAACTAGACAGAATCATTCTCAGAAACTGCTCTGCGATGTGTGCCTTCAACTCTCAGAGTTTAACTTTTGTTTTCATTCAGCAGTTTGGAAACACTCTGTTTGTAAAGTCTGCACGTGGATATTTTGACCACTTAGAGGCCTTCGTTGGAAATGGGTTTTTTTCCTGTAAGGCTAGACAGAAGAATTCCCAGTAACTTCCTTGTGTTGTGTACATTCAACTCACAGAGTTGAACGTTCCCTTAGACAGAGCAGATTTGAAACACTCTTTTTGTGCAATTGGCAAATGGAGATTTCAAGCGCTTTAAGGTCAATGGCAGAAAAGGAAATATCTTCGTTTCAAAACTAGACAGAATCATTCCCACAGACTGCGTTGTGATGTGTTCGTTCAACTCACAGAGTTTAACCTTTCTTTTCATAGAGCAGTTAGGAAACAGTCTGTTTGTCAATTCTGTAAGTGGATATTCTGACATCTTGTGGCCTTCGTTGGAAACGGGATTTCTTCATATTCTGCTAGACAGAACAATTCTCAGTAACTTCCTTGTGTTGTGTGTATTCAACTCACAGAGTTGAACGATCCTTTACACAGAGCGGACTTGAAACACTCTTTTTGTGGAATTTGCAATTGGAGATTTCAGCCGCGTTGAGGTCAATGGTAGAAAAGGAAATATCTTCGTATAAAAACTAGACAGAATGATTCTCAGAAACTCCTTTGTGATGTGTGTGTTCAACTCACAGAGTTTAACCTTTCTTTTCATAGAGCAGTTAGGAAACACTCTGTTTGTAAAGTTTGCAAGTGGATATTCAGACCTCTTTGAGGCCTTCTTTGGAAACGGGTTTTTTTCATGTAAGGCTAGACAGAAGAATTCTCATTAACTTCCTTGTGTTGTGTTTATTCAACTCACAGAGTTGAATGATCCTTTACACAGAGCAGACTTGAAACACTCTTTTTGTGGAATTTGCAAGTGGAGATTTCAGCCGCTTTGAGGTCAATAGTAGAAAAGGAAATATCTTCGTAGAAAAACTAGACAGAATCATTCTCAGAAACCGCTCTGTGATGTGTGCGTTCAACTCTCAGAGTTTAACCTTTCTTTTCATAGAGCAGTTAGGAAACACTCTGTTTGTAAAGTCTGCACGTGGATATTTTGACCACTTAGAGGCCTTCGTTGGAAACGGGTTTTTTTCATGTAAGGCTAGACAGAAGAATTCCCAGTAACTTCCTTGTGTTGTGTACATTCAACTCACAGAGTTGAACGTTCCCTTAGACAGAGCAGACTTGTAACACTCTTTTTGTGGAATTTGCAAGTGGAGATTTCAGCCGCTTTGAAGTCAAAGGTAGAAAAGGAAATATCTTCATATAAAAACTAGACAGAATCATTCCCACAAACTGCGTTGTGATGTGTTCGTTCAACTCACAGAGTTTAACCTTTCTGTTCATAGAGCAGTTAGGAAACACTCTGTTTGTAAAGTCTGCAAGTGGATATTCAGACCTCCTAGAGGCCTTCGTTGGAAACGGGATTTCTCCATATTCTGCTAGACAGAAGAATTCTCAGTAACTTCCTTGTGTTGTGTGTATTCAACTCACAGAGTTGAACGATCCTTTACACAGAGCGGACTTGAAACACTCTTTTTGTGTAATTTGCAAGTGGAGATTTCAGCCGCGTTGAGGTCAATGGTAGAAAAGAAAATATCTTCGTATAAAAACTAGACAGAATGATTCTCAGAAACTCCTTTGTGATGTGTGCGTTCAACTCACAGAGTTTAACCTTTCTTTTCATAGAGCAGTTAGGAAACACCTCTGTTTGTAAAGTCTGCAAGTGGATATTCAGACCTCCTTGAGGCCTTCGTTGGAAACGGGATTTTTTCATATTATGCTAGACAGAAGAATTCCCTGTAACTTCCTTGTGTTGTGTGTGTTCGACTCACAGAGTTGAACTTTCATTTACACAGAGCAGATTTGAAACACTCTTTTTGTGGAATTTGCAAGTGGAGATTTCAAGCGCTTTGAGGCCAAAGGCAGAAAAGGAAATATCTTCGTTTCAAAACTAGACAGAATCATTCTCAGAAACTGCTCTGCGATGTGTGCGTTCAACTCTCAGAGTTTAACTTTTCTTTTCATTCAGCAGTTTGGAAACACTCTGTTTGTAAAGTCTGCACGTGGATATTTTCACCACTTAGAGGCCTTCGTTGGAAACGGGTTTTTTTCCTGTAAGGCTAGACAGAAGAATTCCCAGTAACTTCATTGTGTTGTGTACATTCAACTCACAGAGTTGAACGTTCCCTTAGACAGAGCAGATTTGAAACACTCTTTTTGTGCAATTGGCAAGTGGAGATTTCAAGCGCTTTAAGGTCAATGGCAGAAAAGGAAATATGCTTCGTTTCAAAACTAGACAGAATCATTCCCACAAACTGCGTTGTGATGTGTTCGTTCAACTCACAGAGTTTAACCTTTCTTTTCATAGAGCAGTTAGGAAACAGTCTGTTTGAAAATTCTGTAAGTGGATATTCTGACATCTTGTGGCCTTCGTTGGAAACGGGAATTCTTCATATTCTGCTAGACAGAAGAATTCTCAGTAACTTCCTTGTGTTGTGTGTATTCAACTCACGGAGTTGAACTATCCTTTACACAGAGCAGACTTGAAACACTCTTTTTGTGGAATTTGCAAGTGGAGATTTCAGCCGCTTTGTGGTCTATAGTAGAAAAGGAAATATCTTCGTAGAAAAACTAGACAGAATGATTCTCAGAAACTCCTTTGTGATGTGTGTGTTCAACTCACAGAGTTTAACCTTTCTTTTCATAGAGCAGTTAGTAAACACTCTGTTTATAAAGTCTGCAAGTGGATATTGAGACCCCTTTGAGGCCTTCGTTGGAAACGGGATTTCTTCATATTATGCTAGACAGAAGAATTCTCAGTAACTTCCCTTGTGTTGTGTGTATTCAACTGACAGAGTTGAACTTTCATTTAGAGAGAGCAGATTTGAAACACTGTTTTTGTGGAATTTGCAAGTGGAGATTTCAAGCGCTTTGGGGCCAAAGGCAGAAAAGGAAATATCTTCGTATAAAAACTAGGCAGAATCATTCTCAGAAACTGCTCTGCGATGTGTGCGTTCAACTCTCAGAGTTTAACTTTTCTTTTCATTCAGCAGTTTGGAAACACTCTGTTTGTAAAGTCTGCACGTGGATATTTTGGCCACTTAGAGGCCTTCGTTGGAAACGGGTTTTTTTCCTGTAAGGCTAGACAGAAGAATTCCCAGTAACTTCCTTCCGTTGTGTACATTCAACTCACAGAGTTGAACGTTCCCTTAGACAGAGCAGATTTGAAACACTCTTTTTGTGCAATTGGCAAGTGGAGATTTCAAGCGCTTTGAGGTCAATGGCAGAAAAGGAAATATCTTCGTTTCAAAACTAGACAGAATCATTCCCACAAACTGCGTTGTGATGTGTTCGTTCAACTCACAGACTTTAACCTTTCTTTTCATAGAGCAGTTAGGAAACAGTCTGTTTGTAAATAATGTAAGTGGATATTCTGACATCTTGTGGCCTTCGTTGGAAACGGGATTTCTTCATATTCTGCTAGACAGAAGAATTCTCAGTAACTTCCTTGTGTTGTGTGTATTCAACTCACAGAGTTGAACGATCCTTTACAGAGAGCAGACTTGAAACACTCTTTTTGTGGAATTTGCAAGTGGAGATTTCAGCCGCTTTGAGGTCAATGGTAGAAAAGGAAATATCTTCGTATAAAGACTAGACAGAATGATTCTCAGAAACTCCTTTGTGATGTGTGTGTTCAACTCACAGAGTTTAACGTTTCTTTTCATAGAGCAGTTAGTAAACACTCTGTTTATAAAGTCTGCAAGTGGATATTCAGACCTCTTTGAGGTCTTCGTTGGAAACGGGATTTCTTCATATTATGCTAGACAGAAGAATTCCCAGTAACTTCCTTGTGTTGTGTGTGTTCAACTCACAGAGTTGAACTTTCATTTACACATAGCAGATTTGAAACACTCTTTTTGTGGAATTTGCAAGTGGAGATATCAAACGCTTTGAGGCCAAAGGCAGAAAAGGAAATATCTTCGCATAAAAACTAGACAGAATCATTCTCAGAAACTGCTCTGCGATGTGTGCGTTCAACTCTCAGAGTTTAACTTTTCTTTTCATTCAGCAGTTTGGAAACACTCTGTTTGTAAAGTCTGCACGTGGATAATTTGACCACTTAGAGGCCTTCGTTGGAAACGGGTTTTTTTCATGTAAGGCTAGACAGAAGAATTCTCAGTAACTTCCTTGTGTTGTGTGTATTCAACTCACAGAGTTGAACGATCCTTTACACACAGCAGACTTGTAACACTCTTTTTGTGGAATTCGCAAGTGGAGATTTCAGCCGCTTTGAAGTCAAAGGTAGAAAAGGAAATATCTTCCTATAAAAACTAGACAGAATCATTCCCACAAACTGCCTTGTGATGTGTTCGTTCAACTCACAGAGTTTAACCTTTCTGTTCATAGAGCAGTTAGGAAACACTCTGTTTGTAAAGTCTGTAAGTGGATATTCTGACATCTTGTGGCCTTCGTTGGAAACGGGATTTCTTCATATTCTGCTAGACAGAAGAATTCTCAGTAACTTCTTTGTGTTGTGTGTATTCAACTCACAGAGTTGAGCGATCCTTTACACAGAGCAGACTTGAAACACTCGTTTTGTGGAATTTGCAAGTGGAGATTTCAGCCGCTTTAAGGTCAATGGTAGAAAAGGAAATATCTTCGTATAAAAACTAGACAGAATGATTCTCAGAAAATCATTTGTGATGTGTGCGTTCAACTCACAGAGTTTAACTTTTCTTCTCATAGAGCAGTTAGGAAACACTGTTTGTAAAGTCTGCAAGTGGATATTCAGACCTCTTTGAGGCCTTCGTTGGAAACGGGATTTCTTCATATTCTGCTAGACAGAAGAATTCTCAGTAACTTCCTTGTGTTGTGTGTATTCAACTCACAGAGTTGAACGATCCTTTACACAGAGCAGACTTGAAACACTCTTTTTGTGGAATTTGCAAGAGGAGATTTCAGCCGCTTTGAGGTCAATGGTAGAATAGGAAATATCTTCATATAGAAACTAGACAGAATCATTCTCAGAAACTGCTGTGTGATGTGTGCGTTCAACTCTCAGAGTTTAACTTTTCTTTTCATTCAGCGGTTTGGAAACACTCTGTTTGTAAAGTCTGCACGTGGATATTTTGACCACTTAGAGGCCTTCGTTGGAAACGGGATTTTTTCATGTAAGGCTAGACAGAAGATTTCCCAGTAACTTCCTTGTGTTGTGTACATTCAACTCACAGAGTTGAACGTTCCCTTAGACAGAGCAGATTTGAAACACTCTTTTTGTGCAATTGGCAAGTGGAGATTTCAAGCACTTTAAGGTCAATGGCAGAAAAGGAAATATCTTCGTTTCAAAACTAGACAGAATCATTCCCACAAACTGCGTTGTGATGTGTTCGTTCAACTCACAGAGTTTAACCTTTCTGTTCATAGAGCAGTTAGGAAACACTCTGTTTGTAAAGTCTGTAAGTGGATATTCTGACATCTTGTGGCCTTCGTTGGAAACGGGATTTCTTCATATTCTGCTAGACAGAAGAATTCTCAGTAACTTCCTTGTGTTGTGTGTATTCAACTCACAGAGTTGAACGATCCTTTACACAGAGCAGACTTGAAACACTCTTTTTGTGGAATTTGCAAGTGGAGATTTAAGCCGCTTTGAGGTCAATAGTAGAAAGGAAATATCTTCGTAGAAAAACTAGACAGAACGATTCTCAGAAACTCCTTTGTGATGTGTGCGTTCAACTCACAGAGTTTAACCTTTCTTTTCATAGAGCAGTTAGGAAACACTCTGTTTGTAAAGTCTGCAAGTGGATATTCAGACCTCTTTGAGGCCTTCGTTGGAAACGGGATTTCTTCATATTCTGCTAGACAGAAGAATTCTCAGTAACTTCCTTGTGTTGTGTGTATTCAACTCACAGAGTTGAACGATCCTTTACACAGAGCAGACTTGAAACACTCTTTTTGTGGAATTTGCAAGTGGAGATTTCAGCCGCTTTGAGGTCAATAGTAGAAAAGGAAATATCTTCGTAGAAAAAGTAGACAGAATCATTCTCAGAAAATCCTCTGTGATGTGTGCGTTCAACTCTCAGAGTTTAACTTTTCTTTTCATTCAGCAGTTTGGAAACACTCTGTTTGTAAAGTCTGCACGTGGATATTTTGACCACTTAGAGGCCTTCGTTGGAAACGGGTTTTTTTCATGTAAGGGTAGACAGAAGAATTCCCAGTAACTTCCTTGTGTTGTGTGCATTCAACTCACAGAGTTGAACTTTCCTTTAGACAGAGCAGATTTGAAACACTCTATTTGTGCAATTTGCAAGTGTAGATTTCAAGCGCTTTAAGGTCAATGGCAGAAAAGGAAATATCTTCGTTTCAAAACTAGACAGAATGATACTCAGAAACTCCTTTGTGATGTGGGCGTTCAACTCACAGAGTTTAACCTTTCTTTTCATAGGAGCAGTTAGGAAACACTCTGTTTGTAAAGTCTGCAAGTGGATATTCAGACCTCTTTGAGGCCTTCGTTGGAAACGGGATTTCTTCATATTATGCTAGACAGAAGATTTCTCAGTAACTTTCCTTGTGTTGTGTGTATTCAACTCACAGAGTTGAACGATCCTTTACACAGAGCAGACTTGAAACACTCTTTTTGTGGAATTTGCAAGTGGAGATTTCAGCCGCTTTGAGTTCAATGGTAGAATAGGAAATATCTTCCAATAGAAACTAGACAGAATGATTCTCAGAAACTCCTTTGTGATGTGTGCGTTCAACTCACAGAGTTTAACCTTTCTTTTCATAGAGCAGTTAGGAAACACTCTGTTTGTAAAGTCTGCAAGTGGATATACAGACCTCTTTGAGGCCTTCGTTGGAAACGGGATTTCTTCATATTCTGCTAGAGAGAAGAATTCCCAGTAACTTCCTTGTGTTGTGTGTGTTCAACTCACAGAGTTGAACTTTCATTTACACAGAGCAGATTTGAAACACTCTTTTTGTGGAATTTGCAAGTGGAGATTTCAAGCGCTTTGAGGCCAAAGGCAGAAAAGGAAATATCTTCGGTATAAAAACTAGACAGAATCATTCTCAGAAACTGCTGCGTGATGTGTGCGTTCAACTGTCAGAGTTTAACTTTTCTTTTCATTCAGCGGTTTGGAAACACTCTGTTTGTAAAGTCTGCACGTGGATATTTTGACCACTTAGAGGCCTTCGTTGGAAACGGGTTTTTTTCATGTAAGGCTAGACAGAAGAATTCTCAGTAGCTTCCTTGTGTTGTGTGCATTCAACTCACAGAGTTGAACGTTCCCTTAGACAGAGCAGATTTGAAACAGCCTATTTGTGCAATTTGCAAGTGTAGATTTCAAGCGCTTTAAGGTCAACGGCAGAAAAGGAAATATCTTCCTTTCAAAACTAGACAGAATCATTCCCACAAACTGGGTTGTGATGTGTTCGTTCAACTCACAGAGTTTAACCTTTCTGTTCATAGAGCAGTTAGGAAACACTCTGTTTGTAAAGTCTGTAAGTGGATATTCTGACATCTTGTGGCCTTCGTTGGAAACGGGATTTCTTCATATTCTGCTAGACAGAAGAATTCTCAGTAACTTCCTTGTGTTGTGTGTATTCAACTCACAGAGTTGAACGATCCTTTACACAGAGCAGTCTTGAAACACTCTTTTTGTGTAATTTGCAAGTGGAGATTTCAGCCGCTTTGAGGTCAATAGTAGAAAAGGAAATATCTTCGTAGAAAAACTAGACAGAATGATTCTCAGAAACTCCTTTGTGATGTGTGCGTTCAACTCAGAGTTTAACCTTTCTTTTCATAGAGCAGTTAGGAAACACTCTGTTTGTAAAGTCTGCAAGTGGATATTCAGACCTCTTTGAGGCCTTCGTTGGAAACGGGTTTTTTTCATATAAGGCTAGACAGAAGAATTCCCAGTAACTTCCTTGTGTTGTGTGTGTTCAACTCACAGAGTTGAACTTTCATTTACACAGAGCAGATTTGAAACACTCTTTTTGTGGAATTTGCAAGTGGAGATTTCAAGCGCTTTGAGGCCAAAGGCAGAAAAGGAAATATCTTCGTTTCAAAACTAGAGAGAATCATTCTCAGAAACTGCTCTGCGATGTGTGCGTTCAACTCTCAGAGTTTAACTTTGCTTTTCATTCAGCAGTTTGGAAACACTCTGTTAGTAAAGTCTGCACGTGGATAATTTGACCACTTAGAGGCCTTCGTTGGAAACGGGTTTTTTTCATGTAAGGCTAGACAGAAGAATTCCCAGTAACTTCCTTGTGTTGTGTACATTCAACTCACAGAGTTGAACGTTCCCTTAGACAGAGCAGATTTGAAACACTCTTTTTGTGCAATTGGCAAATGGAGATTTCAAGCGCTTTAAGGTCAATGGCAGAAAAGGAAATATCTTCGTTTCAAAACTAGACAGAATCATTCCCACAAACTGCGTTGTGATGTGTTCGTTCATCTCACAGAGTTTAACCTTTCTTTTCGTAGAGCAGTTAGGAAACAGTCTGTTTGTAAATTCTGTAAGTGGATATCCTGACATCTTGTGGCCTTCGTTGGAAACGGGATTTCTTCATATTCTGCTAGACAGAAGAATTCTCAGAATCTTCCTTGTGTTGTGTGTATTCAACTCACACAGTTGAACGATTGTTTACACAGAGCAGATTTGAAACACTCTTTTTGTGGAATTTGCAAGTGGAGATTTCAGCCGCTTTGAGGTCAATGGTAGAAAAGGAAATATCTTCGTATAAAAACTAGACAGAATGATTCTCAGAAACTCCTTTGTGATGTGTGTGTTCAACTCACAGATTTTAACCTTTCTTTTCCTAGAGCAGTTAGTAAACACTCTGTTTATAAAGTCTGCAAGTGGATATTCAGACCCCTTTGAGGCCTTCGTTGGAAACGGGATTTCTTCATATTATGCTAGACAGAGAATTCCCAGTAACTTCCTTGTGTTGTGTGTGTTCAACTCACAGAGTTGAACTTTCATTTACACAGAACAGATTTGAAACACTCTTTTTGTGGAATTTGCAAGTGGAGATTTCAAGCGCTTTGAGGCCAAAGGCAGAAAAGGAAATATCTTCGTTTCAAAACTAGACAGAATCATTCTCAGAAACTGCTCTGCGATGTGTGCGTTCAACTCTCAAAGTTTAACTTTTCTTTTCATTCAGCAGTTTGGAAACACTCTGTTTGTAAAGTCTGCACGTGGATAACTTGACCACTTAGAGGCCTTCGTTGGAAACGGGTTTTTTTCATTTAAGGCTAGACAGAAGAATTCCCAGTAACTTCCTTGTGTTGTGTACATTCAACTCACAGAGTTGAACGTTCCCTTAGACAGAGCAGATTTGAAACACTCTTTTTGTGCAATTGGCAAGTGGAGATTTCAAGCGCTTTAAGGTCAATGGCAGAAAAGGAAATATCTTCGTTTCAAAACTAGACGGAATCATTCCCACAAACTGCGTTGTGATGTGTTCGTTCATCTCACAGAGTTTAACCTTTCTTTTCATAGAGCAGTTAGGAAACACTCTGTTTGTAAATTCTGTAAGTGGATATTCTGACATCTTGTGGCCTTCGTTGGAAACGGGATTTCTTCATATTCTGCTAGACAGAGAAGATTCTCAGTAACTTCCTTGTGTTGTGTGTATTCAACTCACAGAGTTGAACGATCCTTTACACAGAGCAGACTTGAAACATTCTTTTTGTCGAATTTGCAAGTGGAGATTTCAGCCGCTTTGAGGTCAATGGTAGAATAGGAAATATCTTCCTATAGAAACTAGACAGACGATTCTCAGAAACTCCTTTGTGATGTGTGCGTTCAACTCACAGAGTTTAACCTTTCTTTTCATAGAGCAGTTAGGAAACACTCTGTTTGTAAAGTCTGCAAGTGGATATTCAGACCTCTTTGAGGCCTTCGTTGGAAACGGGATTTCTTCCTATTCTGCTAGACAGAAGAATTCTCAGTAACTTCCTTGTGTTGTGTGTATTCAACTCACAGAGTTGAAGGATCCTTTACACTGAGCAGACTTGAAACACTCTTTTTGTGGAATTTGCAAGTGGAGATTTCAGCCGCTTTGAGGTCAATGGTAGAAAAGGAAACTATCTTCATATAAAGACTAGACAGAATCATTCTCAGAAACTGCTCTGCGATGTGTGCGTTCAACTCTCAGAGTTTAACTTTTCTTTTCATTCAGCAGTTTGGAAACACTCTGTTTGTAAAGTCTGCACGTGGATATTTTGACCACTCAGAGGCCTTCGTTGGAAACGGGTTTTTTTCCTGTAAGGCTAGACAGAAGAATTCCCAGTAACTTCCTTGTGTTGTGTGCATTCAACTCACAGAGTTGAACGTTCCCTTAGACAGAGCAGATTTGAAACACTCTATTTGTGCAATTTGCAAGTGTAGTTTTCAAGCTCTTTAAGGTCAACGGCAGAAAAGGAAATATCTTCGTTTCAAAACTAGACAGAATCATTCCCACAAACTGCGTTGTGATGTGTTCGTTCAACTCACAGAGTTTAACCTTTCTGTTCATAGAGCAGTTAGGAAACACTCTGTTTGTAAAGTCTGTAAGTGGATATTCTGACATATTGTGGCCTTCGTTGGAAACGGGATTTCTTCATATTCTGGGCCTAGACAGAAGAATTGTCAGTAACTTCCTTGTGTTGTGTGTATTCAACTCACAGAGTTGAACGATCCTTTACACAGAGCAGACTTGAAACACTCTTTTTGTGGAATTTGCAAGTGTAGTTTTCAGCCGCTTTGAGGTCAATGGTAGAATAGGAAATATCTTCCTATAGAAACTAGACAGAATGATTCTCAGAAACTCCTTTGTGATGTGTGCGTTCAACTCACAGAGTTTAACCTTTCTTTTCATAGAGCAGTTAGGAAACACTCTGCTTGTAAAGTCTGCAAGTGGATATTCAGCCCTCTTTGAGGCCTTCGTTGGAAACGGGTTTTTTTCATATAAGGCTAGACAGAAGAATTCCCAGTAACTTCCCTTGTGTTGTGTGTATTCAACTCACAGAGTTGAACTTTCATTTACACAGAGCAGATTTGAAACACTCTTTTTGTGGAATTTGCAAGTGGAGATTTCAAGCGCTTTAAGGCCAAAGGCAGAAAAGGAAATATCTTCGTATAAAAACTAGACAGAATCATTCTCAGAAACTGCTCTGCGATGTGTGCGTTCAACTCTCAGAGTTTAACTTTTCTTTTCATTCAGAAGTTTGGAAACACTCTGTTTGTAAAGTCTGCACGTGGATAACTTGACCACTTAGAGGCCTTCGTTGGAAACGGGTTTTTTTCATGTAAGGCTAGACAGAAGAATTCCCAGTAACTTGCCTTGTGTTGTGTACATTCAACTCACAGAGTTGAACGTTCCCTTAGACAGAGCAGATTTGAAACACTCTTTTTGTGCAATTGGCAAATGGAGATTTCAAGCGCTTTAAGGTCAATGGCAGAAAAGGAAATTGTTCGTTTCAAAACTAGACAGAATGATTCTCAGAAACTTCTTTGTGATGTGTGCGTTCAACTCACAGAGTTTAACCTTTCTTTTCATAGAGCAGTTAGGAAACACTCTGTTTGTAAACTCTGCAAGTGGATATTAAGACCTCTTTGAGGTCTTCGTTGGAAACGGGATTTCTTCATACTGTGCTAGACAGAAGAATTCTCAGTAACTTCCTTGTGTTGTGTGTATTCAACTCACAGAGTTGAACGATCCTTTACACAGAGCGGACTTGAAACACTCTTTTTGTGGAATTTGCAAGTGGAGATTTCAGCCGCGTTGAGGTCAATGGTAGAAAAGGAAATCTCTTCGTATAAAAACTAGACAGAATGATTCTCAGAAACTCCTTTGTGATGTGTGCGTTCAACTCACAGAGTTTAACCTTTCTGTTCATAGAGCAGTTAGGAAACACTCTGTTTGTAAAGTCTGCAAGTGGATATTCAGACCTCCTTGAGGCCTTCGTTGGAAACGGGATTTCTTCATCTTCTGCTAGACAGAAGAATTCTCAGTAACTTCCCTTGTGTTGTGTGTATTCAACTGACAGAGTTGAACTTTCATTTAGAGAGAGCAGATTTCAAACACTGTTTTTGTGGAATTTGCAAGTGGAGATTTCAAGCGCTTTGGGGTCAAAGGCAGAAAAGGAAATATCTTCGTATAAAAACTAGACAGAATCATTCTCAGAAACTGCTCTGTGATATGTCCGTTCAACTCTCAGAGTTTAACTTTTCTTTTCATTCAGCAGTTTGGAAACACTCTGTTTGTAAAGTCTGCACGTGGATAATTTGACCACTTAGAGGCCTTCGTTGGAAATGGGTTTTTTTCATGTAAGGCTAGACAGAAGAATTCCCAGTAACTTCCTTGTGTTGTGTACATTCAACTCACAGAGTTGAACGTTCCCTTAGACAGAGCAGATTTGAAACACTCTTTTTGTGCAATTGGCAAGTGGAGATTTCAAGCGCTTTAAGGTCAATGGCAGAAAAGGAAATATCTTCGTTTCAAAACTAGACAGAATGATTCTCAGAAAGTCCTTTGTGATGTGTGCGTTCAACTCACAGAGTTTACCCTTTCTGTTCATAGAGCAGTTAGGAAACACTCTGTTTGTAAATTCTGCAAGTGGATATTCAGACCTACTTGAGGTCTTCGGTGGAAACGGGACTTCTTCATATTCTGTTAGACAGAAGAATTCTCAGTAACTTCCTTGTGTTGTGTGTATTCAACTCACAGAGTTGAACGATCCTTTACACAGAGCAGACTTGAAACACTCTTTTTGTGGAATTTGCAAGTGGAGATTTCATCCGCTTTGAGGTCAATGGTAGAAAAGGAGACTATCTTCATATAAAGACTAGACAGAATGATTCTCAGAAACTCCTTTGTGATGTGTGCGTTCAACTCACAGAGTTGAACCTTTCTTTTCATAGAGCAGTTGGGAAACACTCTGTTTGTAAAGTCTGCAAGTGGATATTCAGACTTCTTTGAGGCCTTCGTTGGAAGCGGGATTTCTTCATATTCTGCTAGACAGAAGAATTCTCAGAAACTTCCTTGTGTTGTGTGTATTCAACTGACAGAGTTGAACTTTCATTTAGAGAGAGCAGATTTGCAACACTGTTTTTGTGGAATTTGCAAGTGGAGATTTCAAGCGCTTTGGGGCCAAAGGCAGAAAAGGAAATATCTTCGGATAAAAACTAGACAGAGAATCATTCTCAGAAACTGCTCTGCGATGTGTGCGTTCAACTCTCAGAGTTTAACTTTTCTTTTCATTCAGCAGTTTGGAAACACTCTGTTTGTAAAGTCTGCACGTGGATATTTTGACCACTTAGAGGCCTTCGTTGGAAACGGGTTTTTTTCCTGTAAGGCTAGACAGTAGAATTCCCAGTAACTTCCTTGTGTTGTGTACATTCAACTCACAGAGTTGAACGTTCCCTTAGACAGAGCAGATTTGAAACACACTTTTTGTGCAATTGGCAAGTGGAGATTTCAAGCGCTTTAAGGTCAATGGCAGAAAAGGAAATATCTTCGTTTCAAAACTAGACAGAATCATTCCCACAAACTGCGTTGTGATGTGTTCGTTCATCTCACAGAGTTTAACCTTTCTTTTCATAGTGCAGTTAGGAAACACTCTGTTTGTAAATTCTGTAAGTGGATATTCTGACATCTTGTGGCCTTCGTTGGAAACGGGAATTCTTCATATTCTGCTAGACAGAATAATTCTCAGTAACTTCCTTGTGTTGTGTGTATTCAACTCAGAGAGTTGAACGATCCTTTACAGAGAGCTGACTTGAAACACTCTTTTTGTGGAATTTGCAAGTGGTGATCTCAGCCGCTTTGAGGTCAATGGTAGAATAGGAAATATCTTCCTATAGAAAGTAGACAGAATGATTCTCAGAAACTCCTTTGTGATGTGTGCGTTCAACTCACAGAGTTTAACCTTTCTTTTCATAGAGCAGTTAGGAAACACTCTGTTTGTAAAGTCTGCAAGTGGATATTCAGACCTCCTTGAGGCCTTCGTTGGAAACGGGTTTTTTTCATATAAGGCTAGACAGAAGAATTCCCAGTAACTTCCTTGTGTTGTGTGTGTTCAACTCACAGAGTTGAACTTTCATTTACACAGAGCAGATTTGAAACACTCTTTTTGTGGAATTTGCAAGTGGAGATTTCAAGCGCTTTGAGGCCAAAGGCAGAAAAGGAAATATCTTCGTTTCAAAGCTAGACAGAATCATTCTCAGAAACTGCTGCATGATGTGTGCGTTCAACTGTCAGAGTTTAACTTTTCTTTTCATTCAGCGGTTTGGAAACACTCTGTTTGTAAAGTCTGCACGTGGATATTTTGACCACTTAGAAGCCTTCGTTGGAAAAGGGTTTTTTTCATGTAAGGCTAGACAGAAGAATTCCCAGTAACTTCCTTGTGTTGTGTGCATTCAACTCACAGAGTTGAACGTTCCCTTAGACAGAGCAGATTTGAAACACTCTATTTGTGCAATTTGCAAGTGTAGATTTCAAGCGCTTTAAGGTCAATGGCAGAAAAGGAAATATCTTCGTTTCAAAACTAGACAGAATCATTCCCACAAACTGCGTTGTGATGTGTTCGTTCAACTCACAGAGTTTAACCTTTCTGTTCATAGAGCAGTTAGGAAACACTCTGTTTGTAAAGTCTGAAAGTGGATATTCTGACATCTTGTGGCCTTCGTTGGGAACGGGATTTCTTCATATTCTGCTAGACAGAAGAATTCTCAGAATCTTCCTTGTGTTGTGTGTATTCAACTCACAGAGTTGAACGATGGTTTACACAGAGCAGATTTGAAACACTCTTTTTGTGGAATTTGCAAGTGGAGATTTCAGCCGCTTTGAGGTCAATGGTAGAAAATGAAATATCTTCGTATAAAAACTAGACAGAATGATTCTGAGAAACTCCTTTGTGATGTGTGCGTTCAACTCACACAGTTTAACCTTTCTTTTCATAGAGCAGTTAGGAAACACTCTGTTTGTAAAGTCTGCAAGTGGATATTCAGACCTCCTTGAGGCCTTCGTTGGAAACGGGATTTCTTCATATTATGCTAGACAGAAGAATTCTCAGTAACTTCCTTGTGTTGTGTGTATTCAACTGACAGAGTTGAACTATCATTTAGAGAGAGCAGATTTGAAACACTGTTTTTGTGGAATTTGCAAGTGGAGATTTCAAGCGCTTTGGTGCCAAAGGCAGAAAAGGAAATATCTTCGTATAAAAACTAGACAGAATCATTCTCAGAAACTGCTCTCCGATGTGTGCGTTCAACTCTCAGAGTTTAACTTTTCTTTTCATTCAGCAGTTTGGAAACACTCTGTTTGTAAAGTCTGCACGTGGATAATTTGACCACTTAGAGGCCTTCGTTGGAAACGGGTTTTTTTTCATGTAAGGCTAGACAGAAGAATTCCCAGTAACTTCCTTGTGTTGTGTGCATTCAACTCACAGAGTTGAACGTTCCCTTAGACAGAGCAGATTTGAAACACTCTATTTGTGCAATTGGCAAGTGTAGATTTCAAGCGCTTTAAGGTCAATGGCAGAAAAGGAAATATCTTCGTTTCAAAACTAGACAGAATCATTCCCACAAACTGCGTTGTGATGTGTTCGTTCAACTCACAGAGTTTAACCTTTCTGTTCATAGAGCAGTTAGGAAACACTCTGTTTGTAAAGTCTGTAAGTGGATATTCTGACATCTTGTGGCCTTCGTTGGAAACGGGATTTCTTCATATTCTGCTAGACAGAAGAATTCTCAGAAACTTCCTTGTGTTGTGTGTATTGAACTCACAGAGTTGAACGATCGTTTACACAGAGCAGACTTGAGACACTCTGTTTGTGTAATTTGTAAGTGGAGATTTCAGCCGCTATGAGGTCAATGGTAGAAAAGGAAATATCTTCATATAAAAACTAGACAGAATGATTCTCAGAAACTCCTTTGTGATGTGTGCGTTCAACTCACAGAGTTTAACCTTTCTTTTCATAGAGCAGTTAGTAAACACTCTGTTTGTAAAGTCTGCAAGTGGATATTCAGACCCCTTTGAGGCCTTCTTTGGAAACGGGATTTCTTCATATTCTGCTAGACAGAAGAATTCTCAGTAACTTCCTTGTGTTGTGTGCATTCAACTGACAGAGTTGAACTTTCATTTAGAGAGAGCAGATTTGAAACACTGTTTTTGTGGAATTTGCAAGTGGAGATTTCAAGCGCTTTGGGGCCAAAGGCAGAAAAGGAAATATCTTCGTATAAAAACTAGACAGAATGATTCTCAGAAACTCCTTTGTGATGTGTGCGTTCAACTCACAGAGTTTAACCTTTCTTTTCATAGAGCAGTTAGGAAACACTCTCCTTGTAAAGTCTGCAAGTGGATATTTTGACCACTTAGAGGCCTTCGTTGGAAACGGGTTTTTTTCATATAAGGCTAGACAGAAGAATTCCCAGTAACTTCCTTGTGTTGTGTACATTCAACTCACAGAGTTGAACGTTCCCTTAGACAGAGCAGATTTGAAACACTATTTTTGTGCAATTGGCAAGTGGAGATTTCAAGCGCTTTGAGGTCAATGGCAGAAAAGGAAATATCTTCGTTTCAAAACTAGACAGAATCATTCCCACAAAACTGCGTTGTGATGTGTTCGTTCAACTCACAGAGTTTAACCTTTCTGTTCATAGAGCAGTTAGGAAACACTCTGTTTGTAAAGTCTGTAAGTGGATATTCTGACATCTTGTGGCCTTCGTTGGAAACGGGATTTCTTCATATTCTGCTAGACAGAAGAATTCTCAGTAACTTCCTTGTGTTGTGTGTATTCAACTCACAGAGTTGAATGATCCTTTACACAGAACAGTCTTGAAACACTCTTTTTGTGGAATTTGCAAGTGGAGATTTCATCCGCTTTGAGGTCAATGGTAGAATAGGGAATATCTTCCTATAGAAACTAGACAGAATGATTCTCAGAAACTCCTTTGTGATGTGTGCGTTCAACTCACAGAGTTTAACCTTTCTTTTCATAGAGCAGTTAGGAAACACTCTGTTTGTAAAGTCTGCAAGTGGATATTCAGACATCTTTGAGGCTTTCGTTGGAAACGGGATTTCTTCATATTCTGCTAGGCAGAAGAATTCTCAGAAACTTCGATGTGTTGTGTGTTTTCAACTCACAGAGTTCAACGATCATTTACACAGAGTAGACTTGAAACACTCTTTTTGTGGAATTGGCAGGGTGGAGATTTCAGCCGCTTTGAGGTCAAAGGTAGAAAAGGAAATATCTTCGTATAAAAACTAGACAGAATGATTCTAAGAAACTCCTTTGTGATGTGTGCGTTCAACTCACAGAGTTTAACCTTTCTTTTCATAGAGCAGTTGGGAAACACTCTGTTTGTAAAGTCTGCAAGTGGATATTCAGACATCCTTGAGGCTTTCGTTGGAAACGGGATTTCTTCATATTCTGCTAGAAAGAAGAATTCTCAGTAACTTCCTTGTGTTGTGTGTATGCAACTCACAGAGTTGAATGATCCTTTACACAGAGCAGACTTGAAACACTCTTTTTGTGGAATTTGCAAGTGGAGATTTCAGCCGCTTTGAGGTCAATGGTAGAAAAGTAAATATCTTCGTATAAAGACTAGACAGAATGATTCTCAGAAACTCCTTTGTGATGTGTGCGTTCAACTCACAGAGTTTAACCTTTCTGTTCATAGAGCAGTTAGGAAACACTCTGTTTGTATAGTCTGCAAGTGGATATTCAGACCTCCTTGAGGCCTTCGTTGGAAACGGGATTTCTTCAATATTCTGCTAGACAGAAGAATTCTCAGTAACTTCCTTGTGTTGTGTGTATTCAACTCACAGAGTTGAACGATCCTTTACACAGAGCAGACTTGAAACACTCTTTTTGTGGAATTTGCAAGTGGAGATTTCAGCCGCTTTCAGGTCAATAGTAGAAAAGGAAATATCTTCGTAGAAAAACTAGACAGAATGATTCTCAGAAACTCCTTTGTGATGTGTGCGTTCAACTCACAGAGTTTAACTTTTCTTTTCATAGAGCCGTTAGGAAACACTCTGTTTGTAAAGTCTGCAAGTGGATATTCAGACCTCTTTGAGGCCTTCGTTGGAAACGGGATTTCTTCATATTATGCTAGACAGAAGAATTCTCAGTAACTTCCTTGTGTTGTGTGTATTGAACTCACAGAGTTGAACGATCCTTTACACAGAGCAGACTTGAAACATTCTTTTTGTGGAATTTGCAAGTGGAGATTTCAGCCGCTTTGAGGTCAATGGTAGAATAGGAAATATCTTCCTATAGAAACTAGACAGAATCATTCTCAGAAACTGCTGCGTGATGTGTGCGTTCAACTCTCAGAGTTTAACTTTTCTTTTCATTCAGCGGTTTGGAAACACTCTCGTTTGTAAAGCCTGCACGTGGATATTTTGACCACTTAGAGGCCTTCGTTGGAAACGGGTTTTTTTCATGTAAGGCTAGACAGAAGAATTCTCAGTAACTTCCTTGTGTTGTGTGTATTCAACTCACAGAGTTGAACGATCCTTTACACAGAGCAGACTTGAAACACTCTTTTTGTGGAATTTGCAACTGTAGATTTCAAGCGCTTTAAGGTCAATGGCAGAAAAGGAAATATCTTCGTTTCAAAACTAGACAGAATGATTCTCAGAAACTCCTTTGTGATGTGTGCGTTCAACTCACAGAGTTTAACCTTTCTGTTCATACAGCAGTTAGGAAACACTCTGTTTGTAAAGTCTGCAAGTGGATATTCAGACCTCCTTGAGGCCTTCGTTGGAAACGGGATTTCTTCATATTCTGCTAGACAGAAGAATTCTCAGAAACTTCCTTGTGTTGTGTGTTTTCAACTCACAGAGTTGAACGATCCTTTACACAGAGCAGACTTGAAACACTCCTTTTGTGGAATTTGCAAGTGGAGATTTCAGCCGCTTTGAGTTCAATGGTAGAATAGGAAATATCTTCCTATAGAAACTAGACAGAATGATTCTCAGAAACTCCTTTGTGATGTGTGCGTTCAACTCACAGAGTTTAACCTTTCTTTTCATAGAGCAGTTAGGAAACACTCTGTTTGTAAAGTCTGCAAGTGGATATTCAGACATCCTTGAGGCTTTCGTTGGAAACGGGATTTCTTCATATTCTGCTAGAAAGAAGAATTCTCAGTAACTTCCTTGTGTTGTGTGTATTCAACTCACAGAGTTGAACGATCCTTTACACAGAGCAGACTTGAAACACTCTTTTTGTGGAATTTGCAAGTGGAGATTTCAGCCTCTTTGAGGTCAATGGTAGAATAGGAAATATCTTCCTATAGAAAGTAGACAGAATCATTCTCAGAAACTGCTGCGTGATGTGTGCGTTCAACTCTCAGAGTTTAACTTTTCTTTTCATTCAGCGGTTTGGAAACACTCTGTTTGTAAAGTCTGCACGTGGAAATTTTGACCACTTAGAGGCCTTCGTTGGAAACGGGTTTTTTTCATGTAAGGCTAGACAGAAGAATTCCCAGTAACTTCCTTGTGTTGTGTACATTCAACTCACAGAGTTGAACGTTCCCTTAGACAGAGCAGATTTGAAACACTCTTTTTGTGCAATTGGCAAGTGGAGATTTCAAGCACTTTAAGGTCAATGGCAGAAAAGGAAATATCTTCGTTTCAAAACTAGACAGAATCATTCCCACAAACTGCGTTGTGATGTGTTCGTTCAACTCACAGAGTTTAAACTTTCTTTTCATAGAGCAGTTAGGAAACAGTCTGTTTGTAAATTCTGTAAGTGGATATTCTGACATCTTGTGGCCTTCGTTGGAAACGGGATTTCTTCATATTTTGCTAGACAGAAGAATTCTCAGTAACTTCCTTGTGTTGTGTGTATTCAACTCACAGAGTTGAATGATCCTTTACACAGAGCAGACTTGAAACACTCTTTTTGTGGAATTTGCAAGTGGAGATTTCAGCCGCTTTGAGGTCAATGGTAGAAAAGGAAACTATCTTCATATAAAGACTAGACAGAATGATTCTCAGAAACTCCTTTGTGATGTGTGCGTTCAACTCACAGAGTTTAACCTTTCTTTTCATAGAGCAGTTAGGAAACACTCTCTAAAGTCTGCAAGTGGATATTCAGACCTCCTTGAGGTCTTCGTTGGAAACGGGATTTCTTCATATTCTGCCAGACAGAAGAATTCTCAGTAACTTCCTTGTGTTGTGTTTATTCAACTCACAGAGTTGAATGATCCTTTACAGAGAGCAGACTTGAAACACTCTTTTTGTGGAATTTGCAAGTGGAGATTTCAGCCGCTTTGAGGTCAATGGTAGAAAAGTAAATATCTTCCTATAAAGACTAGACAGAATGATTCTCAGAAACTCCTTTGTGATGTGGGCGTTCAACTCACAGTGTTTAACCTTTCTTTTCATAGAGCAGTTGGGAAACACTCTGTTTGTAAAGTCTGCATGTGGATATTTGGACTTCTTTGAGGCTTTCGTTGGAAACGGGTTTTTTTCATGTAAGGCTAGACAGAAGAATTCCCAGTAACTTTCCTTGTGTTGTGTACGTTCAACTCACAGAGTTGAACGTTCCCTTAGACAGAGCAGATTTGAAACACTCTTTTTGTGCAATTGGCAAGTGGAGATTTCAAGCGCTTTAAGTTCAATGGCAGAAAAGGAAATATCTTCGTTTCAAAACTAGACAGAATCATTCCCACAAACTGCGTTGTGATGTGTTCGTTCATCTCACAGAGTTTAACCTTTCTTTTCATAGAGCAGTTAGGAAACAGTCTGTTTGTCAATTCTGTAAGTGGATATTCTGACATCTTGTGGCCTTCGTTGGAAACGGGATTTCTTCATATTCTGCTAGACAGAAGAATTCTCAGTAACTTACCTTGTGTTGTGTGTATTGAACTCGCAGAGTTGAACGATCCTTTACACAGAGCAGACTTGAAACACTCTTTTTGTGGAATTTGCAAGTGGAGATTTCAGCCGCTTTGAGGTCAATAGTAGAAAAGGAAATATCTTCGTAGAAAAACTAGACAGAATGATTCTCAGAAACTCCTTTGTGATGTGTGTGTTCAACTCACGAAGTTTAACCTTTCTTTTCATAGAGCAGTTAGTAAATACTCTGTTTATAAAGTCTGCAAGTGGATATTCAGACCCCTTTGAGGCCTTCGTTGGAAACGGGATTTCTTCATATTATGCTAGACAGAAGAATTCCCAGTAACTTCCTTGTGTTGTGTGTGTTCAACTCACAGAGTTGAACTTTCATTTACACAGAGCAGATTTGAAACCCTCTTTTTGTGGAATTTGCAAGTGGAGATTTCAAGGGCTTTGAGGCCAAAGGCAGAAAAGGAAATGTCTTCGTTTCAAAACTAGACAGAATCATTCTCAGAAACTGCTGCGTGATGTGTGCGTTCAACTCTCAGAGTTTAACTTTTCTTTTCATTCAGCGGTTTGGAAACACTCTGTTTGTAAAGTCTGCACGTGGATATTTTGACCACTTAGAGGCCTTCGTTGGAAACGGAATTTTTTCATGTAAGGCTAGACAGAAGAATTCCCAGTAACTTCCTTGTGTTGTGTACATTCAACTCACAGAGTTGAACGTTCCTTTAGACAGAGCAGATTTGAAACACTCTTTTTGTGCAATTGGCAAGTGGAGATTTCAAGCGCTTTAAGGTCAATGGCAGAAAAGGAAATATCTTCGTTTCAAAACTAGACAGAATCATTCCCACAAACTGCGTTGTGATGTGTTCGTTCAACTCACAGAGTTTAACCTTTCTTTTCATAGAGCAGTTAGGAAACAGTCTGTTTGTAAATTCTGTAAGTGGATATTCTGACATCTTGTGGCATTCGTTGGAAACGGGATTTCTTCATATTCTGCTAGACAGAAGAATTCTCAGTAACTTCCTTGTGTTGTGTGTATTCAACTCACAGAGTTGCACGATCCTTTACACAGAGCAGACTTGAAACACTCTTTTTGTGGAATTTGCAAGTGGAGATTTCAGCCGCTTTGAGGTCAATAGTAGAAAAGGAAATATCTTCGTAGAAAAACTACACAGAATGATTCTCAGAAAATCTTTTGTGATGTGTGCGTTCAACTCACAGAGTTTAACTTTTCTTCTCATAGAGCAGTTAGGAAACACTCTGTTTGTAAAGTCTGCAAGTGGATATTAAGACCTCTTTGAGGCCTTCGTTGGAAACGGGATTTCTTCATATTATGCTAGACAGAAGAATTCTCAGTAACTTCCTTGTGTTGTGTGTATTCAACTGACAGAGTTGAACTTTCATTTAGAGAGAGCAGATTTGAAACACTGTTTTTGTGGAATTTGCAAGTGGAGATTTCAAGCGCTTTCGGGCCAAAGGCAGAAAACGAAATATCTTCGTATAAAAACTAGACAGAATCATTCTTAGAAACTGCTGCGTGATGTGTGCGTTCAACTCTCAGAGTTTAACTTTTCTTTTCATTCAGCGGTTTGGAAACACTCTGTTTGTAATGTCTGCACGTGGATATTTTGACCACTTAGAGGCCTTCGTTGGAAACGGGTTTTTTGCATGTAAGGCTAGACAGAAGAATTCTCAGTAACTTCCTTGTGTTGTGTGCATTCAACTCACAGAGTTGAACGTTCCCTTAGACAGAGCAGATTTGAAACAGCCTATTTTTGCAATTTGCAAGTGTAGATTTCAAGCGCTTTAAGGTCAACGGCTGAAAAGGAAATATCTTCCTTTCAAAACTAGACAGAATGATTCTCAGAAACTCCTTTGTGATGTGTGCGTTCAACTCACACAGTTTAACCTTTCTTTTCATAGAGCAGTTAGGAAACACTCTGTTTGTAAAGTCTGCAAGTGGATATTCAGACCTCCTTGAGGCCTTCATTGGAAACGGGATTTCTTCATATTATGCTAGACAGAAGAATTCTCAGTAACTTCCTTGTGTTGTGTGTATTCAACTCACAGAGTTGAACGATCCTTTACACAGAGCAGACTTGAAACACTCCTTTTGTGGAATTTGCAAGTGGAGATTTCAGCCGCTTTGAGGTCAATGGTAGAATAGGAAATATCTTCCTATAGAAAGTAGACAGAATGATTCTCAGAAACTCCTTTGTGATGTGTGCGTTCAACTCACAGAGTTTAACCTTTCTTTTCATAGAGCAGTTAGGAAACACTCTGTTTGTAAAGTCTGCAAGTGGATATTCAGACCTCTTTGAGGCCTTCGTTGGAAACTGGGTTTTTTTCATATAAGGCTAGACAGAAGAATTCCCAGTAACTTCCTTGTGTTGTGTGTGTTCAACTCACAGAGTTGAACTTTCATTTACACAGAGCAGATTTGAAACACTCTTTTTGTGGAATTTGCAAGTGGATATTTCAAGCGCTTTGAGGCCAAAGGCAGAAAAGGAAATATCTTCGTTTCAAAACTAGACAGAATCATTCTCAGAAACTGCTGCGTGATGTGTGCGTTCAACTCTCAGAGTTTAACTTTTCTTTTCATTCAGCGGTTTGGAAACACTCTGTTTGTAAAGTCTGCACGTGGAAATTTTGACCACTTAGAGGCCTTCGTTGGAAACGGGTTTTTTTCATGTAAGGATAGACAGAAGAATTCCCAGTAACTTCCTTGTGTTGTGTGCATTCAACTCACAGAGTTGAACGTTCCCTTAGACAGAGCAGATTTGAAACACTCTATTTGTGCAATTTGCAAGTGTAGATTTCAAGCGCTTTAAGGTCAACGGCAGAAAAGGAAATATCTTCGTTTCAAAACTAGACAGAATGATTCTCAGAAACTCCTTTGTGATGTGTGCGTTCAACTCACAGAGTTTAACTTTTCTTTTCATAGAGCAGTTAGGAAACACTCTGTTTGTAAAGTCTGCAAGTGGATATTCAGACCTCTTTGAACTCTTCGTTGGAAAAGGGATTTCTTCATATTATGCTAGACAGAATACTTCTCAGTAACTTCCTTGTGTTGTGTGTATTCAACTCACAGAGTTGAACGATCCTTTACAGAGAGCCGACTTGAAACACTCTTTTTGTGGAATTTGCAAGTGGAGATTTCAGCCGCTTTGAGGTCAATGGTAGAAAAGGAAATATTTTCGTATAAAGACTAGACAGAATGATTCTCAGAAAATCCTTTGTGATGTGTGCGTTCAACTCACAGAGCTTAACCTTTCTTTTCATAGAGCAGTTAGGAAACACTCTGTTTGTAAAGTCTGCAAGTGGATATTCAGACACCTTTGAGGCCTTCGTTGGAAACGGGATTTCTTCATGTTCTGCTAGACACAAGAATTCTCAGTAACTTCCTTGTGTTGTGTGTATTCAACTGACAGAGTTGAACGATCCTTTACACAGAGCAGACTTGAAACACTCTTTTTGTGGAATTTGCAAGTGGAGATTTCAAGCGCTTCGGGGCCAAAGGCAGAAAAGGAAATATCTTCGTATAAAAACTAGACAGAATCATTCTCAGAAACTGCTGCGTGATGTGTGCGTTCAACTCTCAGAGTTTAACTTTTCTTTTCATTCAGCGGTTTGGAAACACTCTGTTTGTAAAGTCTGCACGTGGAAATTTTGACCACTTAGAGGCCTTCGTTGGAAACGGGATTTTTTCATGTAAGGCTAGACAGAAGAATTCCCAGTAACTTCCTTGTGTTGTGTACATTCAACTCACAGAGTTGAACGTTCCCTTAGACAGAGCAGATTTGAAACACTCTTTTTGTGCAATTGGCAAATGGAGATTTCAAGCGCTTTAAGGTCAATGGCAGAAAAGGAAATATCTTCGTTTCAAAACTAGACAGAATCATTCCCACAAACTGCGTTGTGATGTGTTCGTTCAACTCACAGAGTTTAACCTTTCTGTTCATAGAGCAGTTAGGAAACACTCTGTTTGTAAAGTCTGAAAGTGGATATTCTGACATCTTGTGGCCTTCGTTGGAAACGGGATTTCTTCATATTCTGCTAGACAGAAGAATTCTCAGTAACTTCCTTGTGTTGTGTGTATTCAACTCACAGAGTTGAACGATCCTTTACACAGAGCAGACTTGAAACACTCTTTTTGTGGAATTTGCATGTGGAGATTTCAGCCGCTTTGAGTTCAATGGTAGAATAGAAAATATCTTCCTATAGAAACTAGACAGAATGATTCTCATAAACTCCTTTGTGATGTGTGCGTTCAACTCACAGAGTTTAACCTTTCTTTTCATAGAGCAGTTAGGAAACACTCTGTTTGAAAAGTCTGCAAGTGGATATTCAGACCTCCTTGAGGCCTTCGTTGGAAACGGGATTTCTTCATATTCTGCTAGACAGAAGAATTCTCAGTAACTTCCTTGTGTTGTGTTTATTCAACTCACAGAGTTGAATGATCCTTTACACAGAGCAGACTTGAAACACTCTTTTTGTGGAATTTGCAAGTGGCGATTTCAGCCGCTTTGAGGTCAATGATAGAAAAGTAAATATCTTCGTATAAAGACTAGACAGAATCATTCTCAGAAACTGCTCTGCGATGTGTGCGTTCAACTCTCAGAGTTTAACTTTTCTTTTCATTCAGCAGTTTGGAAACACTCTGTTTGTAAAGTCTGCACGTGGATATTTTGACCACTTAGAGGCCTTCGTTGGAAACGGGTTTTTTTCCTGTAAGGCTAAAAAGAAGAATTCACAGTAACTTCCTTGTGTTGTGTACATTCAACTCACAGAGTTGAACGTTCCCTTAGACAGAGCAGATTTGAAACACTCTTTTTGTGCAATTGGCAAGTGGAGATTTCAAGCGCTTTAAGGTCAATGGCAGAAAAGGAAATATCTTCCTTTCAAAACTAGACAGAATCATTCCCACAAACTGCGTTGTGATGTGTTCGTTCATCTCACAGAGTTTAACCTTTCTTTTCGTAGAGCAGTTAGGAAACAGTCTGTTTGTAAATTCTGTAAGTGGATATTCTGACATCTTGTGGCCTTCGTTGGAAACGGGATTTCTTCATATTCTGCTAGACAGAAGAATTCTCAGTAACTTCCTTGTGTTGTGTGTATTCAACTCACAGAGTTGAACGATCCTTTACAGAGAGCAGACTTTAAGCACTCTTTTTGTGGAATTTGCAAGTGGAGATTTCAGCCGCTTTGAGGTCAATGGTAGAAAAGGAAATATCTTCGTATAAAGACTAGACAGAATGATTCTCAGAAACTCCTTTGAGATGTGTGTGTTCAACTCACAGAGTTTAACCTTTCTTTTCATAGAGCAGTTAGGAATCACTCTGTTTGTAAAGTCTGCAAGAGGATATTCAGACCTCTTTGAGGCCTTTGTTGGAAACGGGTTTTTTTCATATAAGGCTAGACAGAAGAATTCTCAGAAACTTCCTTGTGTTGTGTGTATTCAACTCACAGAGTTGAACGATGCTTTACACAGAGTAGACTTGAAACACTCTTTTTCTGGAATTTGCAAGTGGAGATTTCAGGCGCTTTGAGGTCAATGGTAGAAAAGGAAATATCTTCGTATAAAAACTAGACAGAATCATTCTCAGAAACTGCTCTGCGATGTGTGCGTTCAACTCTCAGAGTTTAACATTTCTTTTCATTCAGCAGTTTGGAAACACTCTGTTTGTAAAGTCTGCACGTGGATAACTTGACCACTTAGAGGCCTTCGTTGGAAACGGGTTTTTTTCATGTAAGGCTAGACAGAAGAATTCCCAGTAACTTCCTTGTGTTGTGTGCATTCAACTCACAGAGTTGAACGTTCCCTTAGACAGAGCAGGATTTGAAACACTCTATTTGTGCAATTTGCAAGTGTAGATTTCAAGCGCTTTAAGGTCAATGGCAGAAAAGGAAATATCTTCGTTTCAAAACTAGACAGAATCATTCCCACAAACTGCGTTGTGATGTGTTCGTTCAACTCACAGACTTTAACCTTTCTGTTCATAGAGCAGTTAGGAAACACTCTGTTTGTAAAGTCTGCAAGTGGATATTCAGACCTCCTTGAGGCCTTCGTTGGAAACGGGATTTCTTCATATTCTGCTAGACAGAAGAATTCTCAGAAACTTCCTTGTGTTGTGTGTTTTCAACTCACAGAGTTGAACGATCCTTTACACAGAGCAGACTTGAAACACTCTTTTTGTGGAATTTGCAAGTGGAGATTTCAGCCGCTTTGAGGTCAATGGTAAAATAGGAAATATCTTCCTATAGAAACTAGACAGAATGATTCTCAGAAACTTCTTTGTGATGTGTGCGTTCAACTCACAGAGTTTAACCTTTCTGTTCATAGAGCAGTTAGGAAACACTCTGTTTGTAAACTCTGCAAGTGGATATTCAGACCTCTTTGAGGCCTTCGTTGGAAACGGGATTTCTCCATACTGTGCTAGACAGAAGAATTCCCAGTAACTTCCTTGTGTTGTGTGTGTTCGACTCACAGAGTTGAACTTTCATTTACACAGAGCAGATTTGAAACACTCTTTTTGTGGAATTTGCAAATGGAGATTTCAAGCGCTTTGAGTCCAAAGGCAGAAAAGGAAATATCTTCGTATAAAAACTAGACAGAATCATTCTCAGAAACTGCTCTGCGATGTGTGCGTTCAACTCTCAGAGTTTAACTTTTCTTTTCATTCAGCAGTTTGGAAACACTCTGTTTGTAAAGTCTGCACGTGGATATTTTGACCACTTAGAGGCCTTCGTTGGAAACGGGTTTTTTTCCTGTAAGGCTAGACAGAAGAATTCCCAGTAACTTCCTTGTGTTGTGTACATTCAACTCACAGAGTTGAACGTTCCCTTAGACAGAGCAGATTTGAAACACTCTTTTTGTGCAATTGGCAAGTGGAGATTTCAAGCGCTTTAAGGTCAATGGCAGAAAAGGAAATATCTTCGTTTCAAAACTAGACAGAATCATTCCCACAAACTGCGTTGTGATGTGTTCGTTCAACTCACAGAGTTTAACCTTTCTTTTCATAGAGCAGTTAGGAAACAGTCTGTTTGTCAATTCTGTAAGTGGATATTCTGACATCTTGTGGCCTTCGATGGAAACGGGTTTTCTTCATATTCTGCTAGACAGAAGAATTCTCAGAAACTTCCTTGTGTTGTGTGTATTCAACTCACAGAGTTGAACGATCGTTTACACAGAGCAGACTTGAGACACTCTTTTTGTGGAATTTGTAAGTGGAGATTTCAGCCGCTTTGAGGTCAATGGTAGAAAAGGAAATATCTTCATATAAAAACTAGACAGAATGATTCTCAGAAACTCCTTTGTGATGTGTGTGTTCAACTCACAGAGTTTAACCTTTCTTTCCGTAGAGCAGTTAGGAAACACTCTGTTTGTAAAGTCTGCAAGTGGATATTCAGACCTCCTTGAGGCCTTCGTTGGAAATGGGATTTCTTCATATTCTGCTAGACAGAAGAATTCCCAGTAACTTCCTTGTGTTGTGTGTGTTCAACTCACAGAGTTGAACTTTCATTTACACAGAGCAGATTTGAAACACTCTTTTTGTGGAATTTGCAAGTGGAGATTTCAAGCGCTTTGAGGCGAAAGGCAGAAAAGGAAATATCTTCGTATAAAAACTAGACAGAATCATTCTCAGAAACTGCTGCGTGACGTGTGCCTTCAACTCTCAGAGTTTAACTTTTCTTTTCATTCAGCGGTTTGGAAACACTCTGTTTGTAAAGTCTGCACGTGGATATTTTGACCACTTAGAGGCCTTCGTTGGAAACGGGATTTTTTCATGTAAGGCTAGACAGAAGAATTCCCAGTAACTTCCTTGTGTTGTGTGCATTCAACTCACAGAGTTGAACGTTCCCTTAGACAGAGCAGATTTGAAACACTCTATTTGTGCAATTTGCAAGTGTAGATTTCAAGCGCTTTAAGGTCAATGGCAGAAAAGGAAATATCTTCGTTTCAAAACTAGACAGAATCATTCCCAGAAACTGCGTTGTGATGTGTTCGTTCAACTCACAGAGTTTAACCTTTCTGTTCATAGAGCAGTTAGGAAACACTCTGTTTGTAAAGTCTGTAAGTGGATATTCTGACGTCTTGTGGCCTTCGTTGGAAACGGGATTTCTTCATATTCTGCTAGACAGAAGAATTCTCAGTAACTTCCTTGTGTTGTGTGTATTCAACTCACAGAGTTGAACGATCATTTACACAAAGCAGACTTGAAACACTCTTTATGTGGAATTTGCAAGTGGAGATTTCAGCCGCTTTGAGGTTAATGGTAGAAAATGAAATGTCTTCGTATAGAAACTAGACAGAATGATTCTCAGAAACTCCTTTGTGATGTGTGCGTTCAACTCACAGAGTTTAACCTTTCTTTTCATAGAGCAGTTAGGAAACACTCTGTTTGTAAAGTCTGCAAGTGGATATTCAGACCTCCTTGAGGCCTTCGTTGGAAACGGGATTTCTTCCTATTATGCTAGACAGAAGAATTCCCAGTAACTTCCTTGTGTTGTGTGTGTTCAACTCATAGAGTTGAACTTTCATTTACACAGAGCAGATTTGAAACACTCTTTTTGTGGAATTTGCAAGTGGAGATTTCAAGCGCTTTGAGGCCAAAGGCAGAAAAGGAAATATCTTCGTATAAAAACTAGACAGAATCATTCTCAGAAACTGCTGCGTGATGTGTGCGTTCAACTCTCGGAGTTTAACTTTTCTTTTCATTCAGCGGTTTGGAAACACTCTGTTTGTAAAGTCTGCACGTGGATATTTTGACCACTTAGAGGCCTTCGTTGGAAACGGGTTTTTTTCATGTAAGGCTAGACAGAAGAATTCCCAGTAACTTCCTTGTGTTGTGTGCATTCAACTCACAGAGTTGAACGTTCCCTTAGACAGAGCAGATTTGAAACACTCTATTTGTGCAATTTGCAAGTGTAGATTTCAAGCGCTTTAAGGTCAATGGCAGAAAAGGAAATATCTTCGTTTCAAAACTAGACAGAATGATTCTCAGAAACTCCTTTGTGATGTGTGCGTTCAACTCACAGAGTTTAACTTTTCTTTTCATAGAGCAGTTAGGAAACTCTCTGTAAAGTCTGCAAGTGCATATTCAGACCTCTTTGAGGCCTTCGTTGGAAACGGGATTTCTTCATATTATGCTAGACAGAATAATTCTCAGTAACTTCCTTATGTTGTGTGTATTCAACTCACAGAGTTGAACGATCCTTTACAGAGAGCAGACTTGAAACACTCTTTTTGTGGAATTCGCAAGTGGAGATTTCAGCCGCTTTGAGGTCAATGGTAGAAAAGGATATATCTTCGTATAAAGACTAGACAGAATGATTCTCAGAAACTCCTTTGTGATGTGTGCGTTCAACTCACAGAGTTTAACCTTTCTTTTCATAGAGCAGTTAGGAAACACTCTGTTTGTAAAGTCTGCAAGTTGATATTCAGACCTCTTTGAGGCCTTCGTTGGAAAGGGGATTTCTTCATATTCTGCTAGAGAGAAGAATTCTCAGTAACTTCCCTTGTGTTGTGTGTATTCAACTCACAGAGTTGAACGATCCTTTACACAGAGAAGACTTGAAACACTCTTTTTGTGGAATTTGCAAGTGGAGATTTCAGCCGCTTTCAGGTCAATAGTAGAAAAGGAAATATCTTCGTAGAAAAACTAGACAGAATCATTCTCAGAAACTGCTCTGCGATGTGTGCGTTCAACTCTCAGAGTTTAACTTTTCGTTTCATTCAGCAGTTTGGAAACACTCTGTTTGTAAAGTCTGCACGTGGATATTTTGACCACTTAGAGGCCTTCGTTGGAAACGGGTTTTTCTCCTGTAAGGCTAGACAGAAGAATTCCCAGTAACTTCCTTGTGTTGTGTACATTCAACTCACAGAGTTGAACGTTCCCTTAGACAGAGCAGATTTGAAACACTCTTTTTGTGCATTTGGCAAGTGGAGATTTCAAGCGCTTTGAGGTCAATGGCAGAAAAGGAAATATCTTCGTTTCAAAACTAGACAGAATCATTCCCACAAACTGCGTTGTGATGTGTTCGTTCATCTCACAGAGTTTAACCTTTCTTTTCATAGAGCAGTTAGGAAACACTCTGTTTGTAAATTCTGTAAGTGGATATTCTGACATCTTGTGGCCTTCGTTGGAAACGGGATTTCTTCATATTCTGCTAGACAGAAGAATTCTCAGTAACTTCCTTGTGTTGTGTGTATTCAACTCACAGAGTTGAACGATCCTTTACACAGAGCAGACTTGAAACACTCTTTTTCTGGAATTTGCAAGTGGAGATTTCAGCCGCTTTGAGGTCAATGGTAGAATAGGAAATATCTTCTTATAGAAACTAGACAGAATGATTCTCAGAAACTTCATTGTGATGTGTGCGTTCAACTCACAGAGTTTAACCTTTCTTTTCATAGAGCAGTTAGGAAACACTCTGTTTGTAAACTCTGCAAGTGGATATTCAGACCTCTTTGAGGCCTTCGTTGGAAAGGGGATTTCTCCATACTGTGCTAGACAGAAGAATTCCCAGTAACTTCCTTGTGTTGTGTGTGTTCAACTCACAGAGTTGAACTTTGATTTACACAGAGCAGATTTGAAACACTCTTTTTGTGGAATTTGCAAGTGGAGATTTCAAGCGCTTTGAGGCCAAAGGCAGAAAAGGAAATATCTTCGTATAAAAACTAGACAGAATCATTCTCAGAAGCTGCTCTGCAATGTGTGCGTTCAACTCTCAGAGTTTAACTTTTCTTTTCATTCAGCAGTTTGGAAACACTCTGTTTGTAAAGTCTGCACGTGGATATTTTGACCACTTAGAGGCCTTCGTTGGAAACGGGTTTTTTTCCTGTAAGGCTAGACAGAAGAATTCCCAGTAACTTCCTTGTGTTGTGTACATTGAACTCACAGAGTTGAACGTTCCCTTAGACAGAGCAGATTTGAAACACTCTTTTTGTGCAATTGGCAAGTGGAGATTTCAAGGGCTTTAAGGTCAATGGCAGAAAAGGAAATATCTTCGTTTCAAAACTAGACAGAATCATTCCCACAAACTGCGTTGTGATGTGTTCGTTCAACTCACAGAGTTTAACCTTTCTTTTCATAGAGCAGTTAGGAAACAGTCTGTTTGTAAATTCTGTAAGTGGATATTCTGACATCTTGTGGCCTTCGTTGGAAACGGGATTTCTTCATATTCTGCTAGACAGAAGAATTCTCAGTAACTTCCTTGTGGAGTTGTGTGTATTCAACTCACAGAGTTGAACGATCCTTTACACAGAGCAGACTTGAAACATTCTTTTTCTGGAATTTGCAAGTGGAGATTTCAGCCGCTTTGAGGTCAATGGTAGAATAGGAAATATCTTCCTATAGAAACTAGACAGAATGATTCTCATAAACTCCTTTGTGATGTGTGCGTTCAACTCACAGAGTTTAACCTTTCTTTTCATAGAGCAGTTAGGAAACACTCTGTTTGTAAAGTCTGCAAGTGGATATTCAGACCTCCTTGAGGCCTTCGTTGGAAACGGGATTTCTTCATATTCTGCTAGACAGAAGAATTCTCAGTAACTTCCTTGTGTTGTGTTTATTCAACTCACAGAGTTGAATGATCGTTTACACAGAGCAGACTTGAAACACTCTTTTTGTGGAATTTGCAAGTGGAGATTTCAGCCGCTTTGAGGTCAATGGTAGAAAAGTAAATATCTTCGTATAAAGACTAGACAGAATGATTCTCAGAAACTCCTTAGTGATGTGTGCGTTCAACTCACAGAGTTTAACCTTTCTGTTCATAGAGCAGTTAGGAAACACTCTGTTTGTAAAGTCTGCAAGTGGATATTCAGACCCCTTTGAGGCCTTCGTTGGAAACGGGATTTCTTCATATTATGCTAGACAGAAGAATTCCCAGTAACTTCCTTGTGTTGTGTACATTCAACTCACAGAGTTGAACGTTCCCTTAGACAGAGCAGATTTGAAACACTCTTTTTGTGCAATTGGCAAGTGGAGATTTCAAGCGCTTTAAGGTCAATGGCAGAAAAGGAAATATCTTCGTTTCAAAACTAGACAGAATCATTCCCACAAACTGCGTTGTGATGTGTTCGTTCAACTCACAGAGTTTAACCTTTCTTTTCATAGAGCAGTTAGGAAACACTCTGTTTGTAAATGTCTGCAAGTGGATATTCAGACCTCCTTGAGGCCTTCATTGGAAACGGGATTTCTTCATATTCTGCTAGACAGAAGAATTCTCAGTAACTTCCTTGTGTTGTGTGTATTCAACTCACAGAGTTGAACGATCCTTTACACAGAGCAGACTTGAAACACTCTTTTTGTGGAATTTGCAAGTGGAGATTTCAGCCGCTTTGAGTTCAATGGTAGAATAGGAAATATTTTCCTATAGAAACTAGACAGAATGATTCTCAGAAATTCCTTTGTGATGTGTGCGTTCAACTCACAGAGTTTAACCTTTCTTTTCATAGAGCAGTTAGGAAACACTCTGTTTGTAAAGTCTGCAAGTGGATATTCAGACCTCCTTGAGGCCTTCGTTGGAAACGGGATTTCTTCATATTATGCTAGACAGAAGAATTCCCAGTAACTTCCTTGTGTTGTGTGTGTTCAACTCACAGAGTTGAACGTTCATTAACACAGAGCAGATTTGAAACACTCTTTTTGTGGAATTTGCAAATGGAGATTTCAAGCGCTTTGGGGCCAAAGGCAGAAAAGGTAATATCTTCGTTTCAAAACTAGACAGAATCATTCTCAGAAACTGCTCTGCGATGTGTGCGTTCAACTCTCAGAGTTTAACTTTTCTTTTCATTCAGCAGTTTGGAAACACTCTGTTTGTAAAGTCTGCACGTGGATAATTTGACCACTTAGAGGCCTTCGTTGGAAACGGGTTTTTTTCATGTAAGGCTAGACAGAAGAATTCTCAGTAACTTCCTTGTGTTGTGTGTATTCAACTCACACAGCTGAACGATCCTTTACACAGAGCAGACTTGTAACACTCTTTTTGTGGAATTTGCAAGTGGAGATTTCAGCCGCTTTGAAGTCAAAGGTAGAAAAGGAAATATCTTCCTATAAAAACTAGACAGAATCATTCCCACAAACTGCGTTGTGATGTGTTCGTTCAACTCACAGAGTTTAACCTTTCTGTTCATAGAGCAGTTAGGAAACTCTCTGTTTCTAAAGTCTGTAAGTGGATATTCTGACATCTTGTGGCCTTCGTTGGAAACGCGATTTCTTCATATTCTGCTAGACAGAAGAATTCTCAGAAACTTCCTTCTGTTGTGTGTTTTCAACTCACAGAGTTGAACGATGCTTTACACAGAGTAGACTTGAAACACTCTTTTTGTGTAATTTGCAAGTGGAGATTTCAGCCGCTTTGAGGTCAATGGTAGAAAAGGAAATATCTTCGTATAAAAACAAGACAGAACGATTCTCAGAAACTCCTTTGTGATGTCTGCGTTCAACTCACAGAGTTTAACCTTTCTTTTCATAGAGCAGTTAGGAAACACTCTGTTTGTAAAGTCTGCAAGTGGATATTCAGACCTCTTTGAGGCCTTCGTTGGAAACGGGTTTTTTTCATGTAAGGCTAGACAGAAGAATTCCCAGTAACTTCCTTGTGTTGTGTGTGTTCAACTCACAGAGTTGAACTTTCATTTACACAGACCAGATTTGAAACACTCTTTTTGTGGAATTTGCAAGTGGAGATTTCAAGCGCTTTGAGGCCAAAGGCAGAAAAGGAAATATCTTCGTATAAAAACTAGACAGAATCATTCTCAGAAACTGCTCTGCGATGTGTGCGTTCAACTCTCAGAGTTTAACTTTTCTTTTCATTCAGCAGTTTGGAAACACTCTGTTTGTAAAGTCTGCACGTGGATATTTTGACCACTTAGAGGCCTTCGTTGGAAACGGGTTTTTTTCCTGTAAGGCTAGACAGAAGAATTCCCAGTAACTTTCCTTGTGTTGTGTACATTCAACTCACAGAGTTGAACGTTCCCTTAGACAGAGCAGATTTGAAACACTCTTTTTGTGCAATTCGCAAATGGAGATTTCAAGCGCTTTAAGTTCAATGGCAGAAAAGGAAATATCTTCGTTTCAAAACTAGACAGAATCATTCCCACAAACTGCGTATTGATGTGTTCGTTCAACTCACAGAGTTTAACCTTTCTTTTCATAGAGCAGTTAGGAAACACTCTGTTTGTAAATTCTGTAAGTGGATATTCTGAAATCTTGCGGCCTTCGTTGGAAACGGGCTTTCTTCATATTCTGCTAGACAGAATAATTCTCAGTAACTTCCTTGTGTTGTGTGTATTCAACTCACAGAGTTGAAGGATCCTTTACAGAGAGCAGGCTTGAAACACTCTTTTTGTCGAATTTGCAAGTGGAGATTTCAGCCGCTTTGAGGTCAATGGTAGAATAGGAAATATCTTCTTATAGAAACTAGACAGAATGATTCTCAGAAACTCCCTTGTGATGTGTGCGTTCAACTCACAGAGTTTAACCTTTCTTTTCATAGAGCAGTTAGGAAACACTCTGTTTGTAAACTCTGCAAGTGGATATTCAGACCTCTTTGAGGCCTTCGTTGGAAACGGGATTTCTTCATATTATGCTAGACAGAAGAATTCCCAGTAACTTCCTTGTGTTGTGTGTGTTCAACTCACAGAGTTGAACTTTCATTTACACAGAGCAGATTTGAAACACTCTTTTTGTGGAATTTGCAAGTGGAGATTTCAAGCGCTTTGAGGCCAAAGGCAGAAAAGGAAATATCTTCGTATGAAAACTAGACAGAATCATTCTCAGAAACTGCTCTGCGATGTGTGCGTTCAACTCTCAGAGTTTAACTTTTCTTTTCATTCAGCAGTTTGGAAACACTCTGTTTGTAAAGTCTGCGCGTGGATAATTTGACCACTTAGAGGCCTTCGTTGGAAACGGGTTTTTTTCATATAAGGCTAGACAGAAGAATTCCCAGTAACTTCCTTGTGTTGTGTGCATTCAACTCACAGAGTTGAACGTTCCCTTAGACAGAGCAGATTTGAAACACTCTATTTGTGCAATTTGCAAGTGTAGTTTTCAAGCTCTTTAAGGTCAACGGCAGAAAAGGAAATATCTTGGTTTCAAAACTAGACAGAATCATTCCCACAAACTGCGTTGTGCTGTGTTCGTTCAACTCACAGAGTTTAACCTTTCTGTTCATAGAGCAGTTAGGAAACACTCTGTTTGTAAAGTCTGTAAGTGGATATTCAGACATCTTGTGGCCTTCGTTGGAAACGGGATTTCTTCATATTCTGCTAGACAGAGGAATTCCCAGTAACTTCCTTGTGTTGTGTGCATTCAACTCACAGAGTTGAATGATTCTTTACACAGAGCAGATTTGAGACACTCTTTTGGTGGAATTTGTAAGTGGAGAATTCAGCCGCTTTGAGGTCAATGGTAGAAAAGGAAATATCTTCGTATAAAAACTAGACAGAATGATTCTCAGAAACTCCTTTGTGATGTGTGCGTTCAACTCACAGAGTTTAACTTTTCTTTTCATAGAGCAGTTAGGAAACACTCTGTTTGTAAAGTCTGCAAGTGGATATTCAGACCTCTTTGAGGCCTTCGTTGGAAACGGGATTTCTTCCTATTCTGCTAGACAGAAGAATTCTCAGTAACTTCCTTGTGTTGTGTGTATTCAACTCACAGAGTTGAACGATCCTTTACACAGAGCAGACTTGAAACACTCTTTTTGTGGAATTTGCAAGTGGAGATTTCAGCCGCTTTCAGGTCAATGGTAGAATAGGAAATATCTTCATATAGAAACTAGACAGAATGATTCTCAGAAACTCCTTTGTGATGTGTGCGTTCCACTCACACAGTTTAACCTTTCTTTTCATAGAGCAGTTAGGAAACACTCTGTTTGTAAAGTCTGCAAGTGGATATTCAGACCTCCTTGAGGCATTCGTTGGAAACGGGATTTCTTCATATTATGCTAGACAGAAGAATTCCCAGTAACTTCCTTGTGTTGTGTACATTCAACTCACAGAGTTGAACGATCCCTTAGACAGAGCAGATTTGAAACACTCTTTTTGTGGAATTTGCAAATGGAGATTTCAAGCGCTTTGAGGCCAAAGGCAGAAAAGGAAATATCTTCGTATAAAAACTAGACAGAAATGATTCTCAGAAACTCCTTTGTGATGTGTGCGTTCAACTCACAGAGTTTAACCTTTCTTTTCATAGAGCAGTTAGGAAACACTCTGTTTGTAAAGTCTGCAAGTGGATATTCAGACCTCTTTGAGGCCTTCGTTGGAAACGGGTTTTCTTCATATTCTGCTAGACAGAAGAATTCTCAGTAACTTCCTTGTGTTGTGTGTATTCAACTCACAGAGTTGAACGATCCTTTACACAGAGCAGTCTTGAAACACTCTTTTTGTGGAATTTGCAAGTGGAGATTTCAGCCGCTTTGAGGTCAATAGTAGAAAAGGAAATATCTTCGTAGAAAAACTAGGCAGAATGATTCTCAGAAACTCCTTTGTGATGTGTGCGTTCAACTCATAGAGTTTAACCTTTCTTTTCATAGAGCAGTTAGGAAACACTCTGTTTGTAAAGTCTGCAAGTGGATATTCAGACCTCTTTGAGGCCTTCGTTGGAAACGGGATTTCTTCATATTCTGCTAGACAGAATAATTCTCAGTAACTTCCTTGTGTTGTGTGTATTCAACTCACAGAGTTGAACGATCCTTTACAGAGAGCAGACTTGAAACACTCTTTTTGTGGAATTTGCAAGTGGAGATTTCAGCCGCTTTGAGGTCAATAGTAGAAAAGGAAATATCTTCGTAGAAAAACTAGACAGAGTGATTCTCAGAAACTCCTTTGTGATGTCTGCGTTCAACTCACAGAGTTTAACCTTTCTTTTCATAGAGCAGTTAGGAAACACTCTGTTTGAAAAGTCTGCAAGTGGATATTCAGACCTCCTTGAGGCCTTCGTTGGAAGCGGGATTTCTTCATATTCTGCTATACAGAAGAATTCTCAGAAACTTCCTTGTGTTGTGTGTATTCAACTCACAGAGTTGAACGATCGTTTACACAGAGCAGACTTGAGACACTCTTTTTTGGAATTTGTAAGTGGAGATTTCAGCCGCTTTGAGGTCAATGGTAGAAAAGGAAATATCTTCACATAAAAACTAGACAGAATGATTCTCAGAAACTCCTTTGTGCTGTGTGCGTTCAACTCACAGAGTTTAACCTTTCTTTTCATAGAGCAGTTAGGAAACACTCTGTTTGTTAAGTCTGCAGGTGGATATTCAGACCTCTTTGAGGCCTTCGTTGGAAACGGGATTTCTTCATATTATGCTAGACAGAAGAATTCTCAGTAACTTCCTTGTGTTGTGTGTATTCAACTCACAGAGTTGAACGATCCTTTACACAGAGCAGACTTGAAACTCTCTTTTTGTGGAATTTGCAAGTGGAGATTTCAGCCGCTTTGAGGTCAATAGTAGAAAAGGAAATATCTTTCGTAGAAAAACTAGACAGAATGATTCTCAGAAACTCCTTTGGGATGTGTGTGCCCAACTCACAGAGTTTAACCTTTCTTTTCATAGAGCTGTTAGGAAACACTCTGTTTGTAAAGTCTGCAAGAGGATATTCAGACCTCTTTGAGGCCTTCGTTGGAAACGGGTTTTTTTCATATAAGGCTAGACAGAAGAATTCCCAGTAACTTCCTTGTGTTGTGTGTGTTCAACTCACAGAGTTGAACTTTGATTTACACAGAGCAGATTTGAAACACTCTTTTTGTGGAATTTTCAAGTGGAGATTTCAAGCGCTTTGAGGCCAAAGGCAGAAAAGGAAATATCTTCGTATAAAAACTAGACAGAATCATTCTCAGAAACTGCTGCGTGATGTGTGCCTTCAACTCTCAGAGTTTAACTTTTCTTTTCATTCAGCGGTTTGGAAACACTCTGTTTGTAAAGTCTGCACGTGGAAATTTTGACCACTTAGAGGCCTTCGTTGGAAACGGGTTTTTTTCATGTAAGGCTAGACAGAAGAATTCTCAGTAACTTCCTTGTGTTGTGTGTATTCAACTCACAGAGTTGAACGATCCTTTACACAGAGCAGACTTGAAACACACTTTTTGTGGAATTTGCAAGTGGAGATTTCAGCCGCTTTGAGGTCAATGGTAGAATAGGAAATATCTTCTTATAGAAACTAGACAGAATGATCTCAGAAACTCCTTTGTGATGTGTGCCTTCAACTCACAGAGTTTAACCTTTCTTTTCATAGAGCAGTTAGGAAACACTCTGTTTGTAAAGTCTGCAAGTGGATATTCAGACCTCTTTGAGGCCTTCGTTGGAAACGGGATTTCTTCATATTCTGCTAGACAGAAGAATTCTCAGTAACTTCCTTGTGTTGTGTGTATTCAACTCACAGAGTTGAACGATCCTTTACACAGAGCAGACTTGAAACACTCTTTTTGTGGAATTTGCAAGTGGAGATTTCAGCCGCTTTGAGGTCAGTAGTAGAAAAGGAAATATCTTCGTAGAAAAACTAGACAGAATGATTCTCAGAAACTCCTTTGTGATGTGGGCGTTGAACTCACAGAGTTTAACCTTTCTTTTCATAGAGCAGTTAGGAAACACTCTGTTTGTAAAGTCTGCAAGTGGATATTCAGACCTCTTTGAGGCTTTCGTTGGAAACGGGATTTCCTCATATTCTGCTAGACAGAAGAATTCCCAGTAACTTCCTTGTGTTGTGTGTGTTCAACTCACAGAGTTGAACTTTCATTTACACAGAGCAGATTTGAAACACTCTTTTTGTGGAATTTGCAAATGGAGATTTCAAGCGCTTTGAGGCCAAAGGCAGAAAAGGAAATATTCTTTGTATAAAAACTAGACAGAACCATTCTCAGAAACTGCTCTGCGATGTGTGCGTTCAACTCTCAGAGTTTAACTTTTCTTTTCATTCAGCAGTTTGGAAACACTCTGTTTGTAAAGTCTGCACGTGGATAATTTGACCACTTAGAGGCCTTCGTTGGAAACGGGTTTTTTTCATGTAAGGCTAGACAGAAGAATTCCCAGTAACTTCCTTGTGTTGTGTGCATTCAACTCACAGAGTTGAACGTTCCCTTAGACAGTGCAGATTTGAAACACTCTATTTGTGCAATTTGCAAGTGTAGATTTCAAGCGCTTTAAGGTCAATGGCAGAAAAGGAAATATCTTCGTTTCAAAACTAGACAGAATGATTCTCAGAAACTCCTTTGTGATGTGTGCGTTCAACTCACAGAGTTCAACCTTTCTTTTCATAGAGCAGTTAGGAAACACTCTGTTTGTAATGTCTGCAAGTGGATCTTCAGACCTCTTTGAGGCCTTCGTTGGAAACGGGTTTTCTTCATATTATGCTAGACAGAAGAATTCTCAGTAACTTCCTTGTGTTGTGTGTATTCAACTCACAGAGTTGAACGATCCTTTACACAGAGCAGACTTGAAACACTCTTTTTGTGGAATTTGCAAGTGGAGATTTCAGCCGCTTTGAGGTCAATGGTAGAATAGGAAATATCTTCCTATAAAAACTAGACAGAATGATTCTCAGAAAATCTTTTGTGATGTGTGCGTTCAACTCACAGAGTTTAACTTTTCTTCTCATAGAGCAGTTAGGAAACACTCTGTTTGTAAAGTCTGCAAGTGGATATTCAGACCTCTTTGAGGTCTTCGTTGGAAACGGGATTTCTTCATATTATGCTAGACAGAAGAATTCTCAGTAACTTCCTTGTGTTGTGTGTATTCAACTGACAGAGTTGAACTTTTATTTAGAGAGAGCAGATTTGAAACTCTGTTTTTGTGGAATTTGCAAGTGGAGATTTCAAGCGCTTTGGGGCCAAAGGCAGAAAAGGAAATATCTTCGTATAAAAACTAGACAGAATCATTCTCAGAAACTGCTGGGTGATGTGTGCGTTCAACTCTCAGAGTTTAACTTTTCTTTTCATTCAGCGGTTTGGAAACACTCTGTTTGTAAAGTCTGCACGTGGATATTTTGACCACTTAGAGGCCTTCGTTGGAAACGGGTTTTTTGCATGTAAGGCTAGACAGAAGAATTCCCAGTAACTTCCTTGTGTTGTGTACATTCAACTCACAGAGTTGAACGTTCCCTTAGACAGAGCAGATTTGAAACACTCTTTTTGTGCAATTGGCAAGTGGAGATTTCAAGCGCTTTAAGGTCAATGGCAGAAAAGGAAATATCTTCGTTTCAAAATTAGACAGAATGATTCTCAGAAACTCCTTTGTGATGTGTGCGTTCAACTCACAGAGTTCAACCTTTCTTTTCATAGAGCAGTTGGGAAACACTCTCTTTGTAAAGTCTGCAAGTGGATATTCAGACTTCTTTGAGGCCTTCGTTGGAAGCGGGATTTCTTCATATTCTGCTAGACAGAAGAATTCTCAGTAACTTCCTTGTGTTGTGTGTATTCAACTCACAGAGTTGAACGATCCTTTACACAGAGCAGACTTGAAACACTCTTTTTGTGGAATTTGCAAGTGGAGATTTCAGCCGCTTTGAGGTCAATGGTAGAATAGGAAATATCTTCCTATAGAAACTAGCCAGAATGATTCTCAGAAACTCCTTTGTGATTTGGGTGTTCAACTCACAGAGTGTAACCTTTCTTTTCATAGAGCAGTTAGGAAACACTCTGTTTGTAAAGTCTGCAAGTGGATATTTTTACCTCTTTGAGGCCTTCGTTGGAAACGGGTTTTTTTCATGTAAGGCTAGACAGAAGAATTCTCAGTAACTTCCTTGTGTTGTGTGTATTCAACTGACAGAGTTGAACTTTCATTTAGAGAGAGCAGATTTGAAACACTCTTTTTTTGGAATTTGCAAGTGGAGATTTCAAGCGCTTTGAGGCCAAAGGCAGAAAAGGAAATATCTTCGTATAAAAACTAGACAGAATCATTCTCAGAAACTGCTCTGCGATGTGTGCGTTCAGATCTCAGAGTTTAACTTTTCTTTTCATTCAGCAGTTTGGAAACACTCTGTTTGTAAAGTCTGCACGTGGATATTTTGACCACTTAGAGGCCTTCGTTGGAAACGGGATTTTGTCATGTAAGGCTAGACAGAAGAATTCCCAGTAACTTCCTTGTGTTGTGTACATTCAACTCACAGAGTTGAACGTTCCCTTATACAGAGCAGATTTGAAACACTCTTTTTGTGAAATTGGCAAGTGGAGATATCAAGCGCTGAAGGTCAATGGCAGAAAAGGAAATATCTTCGTTTCAAAACTAGACAGAATCATTCCCACAAACTGCGTTGTGATGTGTTCGTTCAACTCACAGAGTTTAACCTTTCTTTTCATAGAGCAGTTAGGAAACAGTCTGTTTGTCAATTCTGTAAGTGGATATTCTGACATCTTGTGGCCTTCGTTGGAAACGGGATTTTTTCATATTCTGCTAGACAGAAGAATTCTCAGTAACTTCCTTGTGTTGTGTGTATTCAACTCACAGAGTTGAACGATCCTTTACAGAGAGCAGACTTGAAACACTCTTTTTGTGGAATTTGCAAGTGGAGATTTCAGCCGCTTTGAGGTCAATGGTAGAATAGGAATTATCTTCCTATAGAAACTAGACAGAATGATTCTCAGAAACTCCTTTGTGATGTGTGCGTTGAACTCACAGAGTTTAACCTTGCTTTTCATAGAGCAGTTAGGAAACACTCTGTTTGTAATGTCTGCAAGTGGATATTCAGACCTCCTTGAGGCCTTCGTTGGAAAAGGGATTTCTTCATATTATGCTAGACAGAAGAATTCTCAGAAACTTCCTTGTGTTGTGTGTTTTCAACTCACAGAGTTGAACGATCCTGTACACAGAGCAGACTTGAAACACTCTTTTTGTGGAATTTGCAAGTGGAGATTTCAGCCGCTTTGAGGTCAATGGTAGAATAGGAAATATCTTCCTATAGAAACTAGACAGAATCATTCTCAGAAACTGCTCTGCGATGTGTGCGTTCAACTCTCAGAGTTTAACTTTTCTTTTCATTCAGCAGTTTGGAAACACTCTGTTTGTAAAGTCTGCACGTGGATATTTTGACCACTTAGAGGCCTTCGTTGGAAACGGGTTTTTTTCCTGTAAGGCTAGACAGAAGAATTCTCAGTAACTTCCTTGTGTTGTGTACATTCAGCTCACAGAGTTGAACGTTCCCTTAGACAGAGCAGATTTGAAACACTCTTTTTGTGCAATTGGCAAGTGGTGATTTCAGCCGCTTTGAGGTCAATGGTAGAAAAGGAAATATCTTCGTATAAAAACTAGACAGAATCATTCCCACAAACTGCGTTGTGATGTGTTCGTTCAACTCACAGAGTTTAACCTTTCTTTTCATAGAGCAGTTAGGAAACAGTCTATTTGAAAATTCTGTAAGTGGATATTCTGACATCTTGTGGCCTTCGTTGGAAACGGGATTTCTTCATATTCTGCTAGACAGAAGAATTCTCACTAACTTCCTTGTGTTGTGTGTATTCAACTCACAGAGTTGAACGATCCTTTACACAGAGCGGACTTGAAACACTCATTTTGTGGAATTTGCAAGTGGAGATTTCAGCCGCGTTGAGGTCAATGGTAGAAAAGGAAATATCTTCGTATAAAAACTAGACAGAATGATTCTCAGAAACTCCTTTGTGATGTGTGTGTTCAACTCACAGAGTTTCACCTTTCTTTTCATAGAGCAGATAGGAAACACTCTGTTTGTAAAGTCTGCAAGTGGATATTCACACCTCTTTGAGGCCTTCGTTGGAAACGGGTTTTTTTCATATAAGGCTAGACAGAAGAATTCCCAGTAACTTCCCTTGTGTTGTGTGTGTTCAACTCACAGAGTTGAACTTTCATTTACACAGAGCAGATTTGAAACACTCTTTTTGTGGAATTTGCAAATGGAGATTTCAAGCGCTTTGAGGCCAAAGGCAGAAAAGGAAATATCTTCGTTTCAAAACTAGACAGAATCATTCTCAGAAACTGCTCTGCGATGTGTGCGTTCAACTCTCAGAGTTTAACTTTTCTTTTCATTCAGCAGTTTGGAAACACTCTGTTTGTAAAGTCTGCACGTGGATATTTTGACCACTTAGAGGCCTTCGTTGGAAACGGGTTTTTTCCTGTAAGGCTAGACAGAAGAATTCCCAGTAACTTCCTTGTGTTGTGTACATTCAACTCACAGAGTTGAACGTTCCCTTAGAAAGAGCAGATTTGAAACACTCTTTTTGTGCAATTGGCAAGTGGAGATTTCAAGCGATTTAAGGTCAATGGCAGAAAAGGAAATATCTTCGTTTCAAAACTAGACAGAATGATTCTCAGAAACTCCTTTGTGATGTGTGCGTTCAACTCACAGAGTTTAACCTTTCTGTTCATAGAGCAGTTAGGAAACACTCTGTTTGTAAAGTCTGCAAGTGGATATTCAGACCTCTTTGAGGCCTTCGTTTTAAACGGGATTTCTTCATATTATGCTAGACAGAATAATTCTCAGTAACTTCCTTGTGTTGTGTGTATTCAACTCACAGAGTTGAACGATCCTTTACACAGAGCAGACTTGAAACACTCTATTTGTAGAATTTGCAAGTGGAGATTTCAGCCGCTTTGAGGTCAATAGTAGAAAAGGAAATATCTTCGTAGAAAAACTAGACAGAATGATTCTCAGAAACTCCTTTGTGATGTGTGCATTCAACTCACAGAGTTTAACCTTTCTTTTCATAGAGCAGTTAGGAAACACTCTGTTTGTAAAGTCTGCAACTGGATATTCAGACCTCTTTGAGGCCTTCGTTGGAAACGGGATTTCTTCATATTATGCTAGACAGAAGAATTCTCAGTAAATTCCTTGTTTTGTGTGTATTCAACTCACAGAGTTGGACGATCCTTTACACAGAGCAAACTTGAAACACTCTTTTTGTGGAATTTGCAATTGGAGATTTCAGCCGCTTTGAGGTCAATTGTAGAAAAGGAAATATCTTCGTATAAAAACTAGACAGAATGATTCTCAGAAACTCCCTTGTGATGTGCGCGTTCAACTCACAGAGTTTAACCTTTCTTTTCATAGAGCAGTTAGGAAACACTCAGTTTGTAAAGTCTGCAAGTGGATATTCAGACCTCCTTGAGGCCTTCGTTGGAAACGGGATTTCTTCATATTATGCTAGACAGAAGAATTCCCAGTAACTTCCTTGTGTTGTGTACATTCAACTCACAGAGTTGAACGTTCCCTTAGACAGAGCAGATTTGAAACACTCTTTTTGTGCAATTGGCAAATGGAGATTTCAAGCGCTTTAAGGTCAATGGCAGGAAAGGAAATATCTTCGTTTCAAAACTAGACAGAATCATTCCCACAAACTGCGTTGTCATGTGTTCGTTCAACTCACAGAGTTTAACCTTTCTTTTCATAGAGCAGTTAGGAAACAGTCTGTTTGTAAATTCTGTAAGTGGATATTCTGACATCTTGTGGCCTTCGTTGGTAACGGGATTTCTTCATATTCTGCTAGACAGAATAATTCTCAGTAACTTCCTTGTGTTGTGTGTATTCAACTCACAGATTTGAAGGATCCTTTACAGAGAGCAGGCTTGAAACACTCTTCTTCTCGAATTTGCAAGTGGAGATTTCAGCCGCTTTGAGGTCAATGGTAGAAAAGTAAATATCTTCGTATAAAGACGAGACAGAATTATTCTCAGAAACTCCTTTGTGATGTGTGCGTTCAACTCACAGAGTTTAACCTTTCTTTTCATAGAGCAGTTAGGAAACACTCTGTTTGTAAAGTCTGCAAGTGGATATTCAGACATCTTTGAGGCTTTCGTTGAAAACGGGATTTCTTCATATTATGCTAGACAGAAGAATTCCCAGTAACTTCCTTGTGTTGTGTGTGTTCAACTCACAGAGATGAACTCTCATTTACACAGAGCAGATTTGAAACTCTCTTTTTGTGGAATTTGCAAATGGAGATTTCAAGCGCTTTGAGGCCAAAGGCAGAAAAGGAAATATCTTCGTATAAAAACTAGACAGAATCATTCTCAGAAACTGCTGCGTGATGTGTGCGTTCAACTCTCAGAGTTTAACTTTTCTTTTCATTCAGCGGTTTGGAAACACTCTGTTTGTAAAGTCTGCACGTGGAAATTTTGACCACATAGAGGCCTTCGTTGGAAACGGGTTTTTTTCATGTAAGGCTAGACAGAAGAATTCCCAGTAACTTCCTTGTGTTGTGTGCATTCAACTCACAGAGTTGAACGTTCCCTTAGACAGAGCAGATTTGAAACACTCTATTTGTGCAATTTGCAAGTGTAGATTTCAAGCGCTTTAAGGTCAATGGCAGAAAAGGAAATATCTTCGTTTCAAAACTAGACAGAATGATTCTCAGAAACTCCTTCGTGATGTGTGCGTTCAACTCACAGAGTTTAACCTTTCTTTTCATAGAGCAGTTAGGAAACACTCTGTTTGTAAAGTCTGCAAGTGGATATTCAGACCTCTTTGAGGCCTTCGTTGGAAACGGGATTTCTTCATATTCTGCTAGACAGAAGAATTCTCAGTAACTTCCTTGTGTTGTGTGTATTCAACTCACAGAGTTGAACGATCCTTTACACAGAGCAGACTTGAAACACTCTTTTTGTGGAATTTGCAAGTGGAGATTTCTGCCGCTTTGAGGTCAATGGTAGAATAGGAAATATCTTCCTATAGAAACTAGACAGAATGATTCTCAGAAACTTCTTTGTGATGTGTGTGTTCAACTCACAGTGTTTAACCTTTCTTTTCATAGAGCAGTTAGGAAACACTGTGTTTTTAAACTCTGCAAGTGGATATTCAGACCTCTTTGAGGCCTTCGTTGGAAACGGGTTTCTTCATACTGTGCTAGACAGAAGAATTCTCAGTAACTTACCTTGTGTTGTGTGTATTCAACTCACAGAGTTGAACGATCCTTTACACAGAGCAGACTTGTAACACTCTTTTTGTGGAATTTGCAAGTTGAGATTTCAGCCGCTTTGAAGTCAAAGATAGAAAAGGAAATATCTTCCTATAAAAACTAGACAGAATGATTCTCAGAAACTCCTTTGTGATGTGTGCGTTCAACTCACAGAGTTTAACTTTTCTTTTCATAGAGCAGTTAGGAAACACTCTGTTTGTAAAGTCTGCAAGTGGATATTCAGACCTCTTTGAGGCCTTCGTTGGAAACGGGATTTATTCATATTCTGCTAGACAGAAGAATTCCCAGTAACTTCCTTGTGTTGTGTGCATTCAACTCACAGAGTTGAACGTTCCCTTAGACAGAGGAGATTTGAAACACTCTATTTGTGCAATTTGCAAGTGTAGATTTCAAGCGCTTTAAGGTCAATGGCAGAAAAGGAAATATCTTCGTTTCAAAGCTAGACAGAATCATTCCCACAAACTGCGTTGTGATGTGTTCGTTCAACTCACAGAGTTTAACCTTTCTGTTCATAGAGCAGTTAGGAAACACTCTGTTTGTAAAGTCTGCAAGTGGATATTCAGACCTCCTTGAGGCCTTCGTTGGAAACTGGATTTCTTCATATTCTGCTAGACAGAAGAATTCTCAGTGACTTCCTTGTGTTGTGTGTATTCAACTCACAGAGTTGAACGATCCTTTACACAGAGCAGACTTGAAACACTCTTTTTGTGGAATTTGCAAGTGGAGATTTCAGCCGCTTTGAGGTCAATGGTAGAATAGGAAATATCTTCCTATAGAAACTAGACAGAATGATTCTCAGAAACTCCTTTGTGATGTGTGTGTTCAACTCACAGAGTTTAACCTTTCTTTTCATAGAGCAGTTAGGAAACACTCTGTTTGTAAAGACTGCAAGTGGATATTCAGGCCTCTTTGAGGCCTTCGTTGGAAACGGGTTTTTTTCATATAAGGCTAGACAGAAGAATTCTCAGTAACTTCCCTTGTGTTGTGTGTATTCAACTGACAGAGTTGAACTTTCATTTGGAGAGAGCAGATTTGAAACACTGTTTTTGTGGAATTTGCAAGTGGAGATTTCAAGCGCTTTGCGGCCAAAGGCTGAAAAGGAAATATCCTCGTATAAAAACAAGACAGAATCATTCTCAGAAACTGCTCTGTGATGTGTGCGTTCAACTCTCAGAGTTTAACTTTTCTTTTCATTCAGCAGTTTGGAAACACTCTGTTTGTAAAGTCTGCACGTGGATAACTTGACCACTTAGAGGCCTTCGTTGGAAACGGGTTTTTTTCATGTAAGGCTAGACAGAAGAATTCCCAGTAACTTCCTTGTGTTGTGTACATTCAACTCACAGAGTTGAACGTTCCCATAGACAGAGCAGATTTGAAACACTCTTTTTGTGCAATTGGCAAGTGGAGATTTCAAGCGCTTTAAGGTCAATGGCAGAAAAGGAAATATCTTCGTTTCAAAACTAGACAGAATCATTCCCACAAACTGCGTTGTGATGTGTTCGTTCAACTCACAGAGTTTAACCTTTCTTTTCATAGAGCAGTTAGGAAACAGTCTGTTTGTAAATTCTGTAAGTGGATATTCTGACATCTTGTGGCCTTCGTTGGAAACGGGATTTCTTCATATTCTGCTAGACAGAAGAATTCTCAGTAACTTCCTTGTGTTGTGTTTATTCAACTCACAGAGTTGAACGATCCTTTACACAGAGCAGACTTGAAACACTCTTTTTCTTGAATTTGCAAGTGGAGATTTCAGCCGCTTTGAGGTCAATGGTAGAAAAGGAAATATCTTCGTATAAAGACTAGACAGAATGATTCTCAGAAACTTCATTGTGACGTGTGCGTTCAACTCACAGAGTTTAACCTTTCTTTTCATAGAGCAGTTAGGAAACACTCTGTTTGTAAAGTCTGCAAGTGGATATTCAGACCTCTCTGAGGCCTTCGTTGGAAACGGGATTTCTTCATACTGTGCTAGACAGAAGAATTCTCAGTAACTTCCTTGTGTTGTGTGTATTCAACTCACAGAGTTGAACGATCCTTTACACAGAGCAGACTTGAACCATTCTTTTTGTGGAATTTGCAAGTGGAGATTTCAGCCGCTTTGAGGTCAATGGTAGAATAGGAAATATCTTCCTATAGAAACTAGACAGAATCATTCTCAGAAACTGCTCTGCGATGTGTGCGTTCAACTCTCAGAGTTTAACTTTTCTTTTCATTCAGCAGTTTGGAAACACTCTGTTTGTAAAGTCTGCACGTGGATATTTTGACCACTTAGAGGCCTTCGTTGGAAACGGGTTTTTTTCCTGTAAGGCTAGACAGAAGAATTCCCAGTAACTTCCTTGCGTTGTGTACATTCAACTCACAGAGTTGAACGTTCCCTTAGACAGAGCAGATTTGAAACACTCTTTTTGTGCAATTGGCAAGTGGAGATTTCAAGCGCTTTAAGGTCAATGGCAGAAAAGGAAATATCTTCGTTTCAAAACTAGACAGAAATCATTCCCACAAACTGCGTTGTGATGTGTTCGTTCATCTCACAGAGTTTAACCTTTCTTTTCGTAGAGCAGTTAGGAAACAGTCTGTTTGTAAATTCTGTAAGTGGATATTCTGACATCTTGTGGCCTTCGTTGGAAACGGGATTTCTTCATATTCTGCTAGACAGAAGAATTCTCAGAATCTTCCTTGTGTTGTGTGTATTCAACTCACACAGTTGAACGATTGTTTACACAGAGCAGATTTGAAACACTCTTTCTGTGGAATTTGCAAGTGGAGATTTCAGCCGCTTTGAGGTCAATGGTAGAAAAGGAAATATCTTCGTATAAAAAACTAGACAGAATGATTCTCAGAAACTCCTGTGTGATGTGTGCGTTCAACTCACAGAGTTTAACCTTTCTTTTCATAGAGCAGTTAGGAAACACTCTGTTTGTAAAGTCTGCAAGTGGATATTCAGACCTCTTTGAGGCCTTCGTGGGAAACGGGTTTTTTTCATATAAGGCTAGACAGAAGAATTCCCAGTAACTTCCTTGTGTTGTGTGTGTTCAACTCACAGAGTTGAACTTTCATTTACACAGAGCAGATTTGAAACACTCTTTTTGTGGAATTTGCAAGTGGAGATTTCAAGCGCTTTGAGGCCAAAGGCAGAAAAGGAAATATCTTCTTTTGAAAACTAGACAGAATCATTCTCAGAAACTGCTCTGCGATGTGTGCGTTCAACTCTCAGAGTTTAACTTTTCTTTTCATTCAGCAGTTTGGAAACACTCTGTTTGTAAAGTCTGCACGTGGATATTTTGACCACTTAGAGGCCTTCGTTGGAAACGGGTTTTTTTCCTGTAAGGCTAGACAGAAGAATTCCCAGTAACTTCCTTGTGTTGTGTGCATTCAACTCACAGAGTTGAACGTTCCCTTAGACAGAGCAGATTTGAAACACTCTATTTGTGCAATTTGCAAGTGTAGATTTCAAGCGCATTAAGGTCAATGGCAGAAAAGGAAATATCTTCGTTTCAAAATTAGACAGAATCATTCCCACAAACTGCGTTGTGATGTGTTCGTTCAACTCACAGAGTTTTACCTTTCTGTTCATAGAGCAGTTAGGAAACACTCTGTAAAGTCTGTAAGTGGATATTCTGACATCTTGTGGCCTTCGTTGGAAACGGGATTTCTTCATATTCTGCTAGACAGAAGAATTCCCAGTAACTTCCTTGTGTTGTGTGTGTTCAACTCACAGAGTTGAACTTTCATTTACACAGAGCAGATTTGAAACACTCTTTTTGTGCAATTGGCAAGTGGTGATTTCAGCCGCTTTGAGGTCAATGGTAGAAAAGGAAATATCTTCGTATAAAAACTAGACAGAATGATTCTCAGAAACTCCTTTGTGATGTGTGCGTTCAACTCACAGAGTTTAACCTTTCTTTTCATAGAGCAGTTAGGAAACACTCTGTTTGTAAAGTCTGCAAGTGGATATTCAGACCTCTTTGAGGCCTTCGTTGGAAACGGGTTTTATTCATATAAGGCTAGACAGAAGAATTCCCAGTAACTTCCTTGTGTTGTGTGTGTTCAACTCACAGAGTTGAACTTTCATTTACACAGAGCAGATTTGAAACACTCTTTTTGTGGAATTTGCAGGTGGAGATTTCAAGCGCTTTGAGGCCAAAGGCAGAGAAGGAAATATCTTCGTATAAAACCTAGACAGAATCATTCTCAGAAACTGCTGCGTGATGTGTGCGTTCAACTCTCAGAGTTTAACTTTTCTTTTCATTCAGCGGTTTGGAAACACTCTGTTTGTAAAGTCTGCACGTGGATATTTTGACCACTTAGAGGCCTTCGTTGGAAACGGGTTTTTTTTCATGTAAGGCTAGACAGAAGAATTCTCAGTAACTTCCTTGTGTTGTGTGTATTCAACTCACAGAGTTGCACGATCCTTTACACAGAGCAGACTTGAAACACTCTTTTTGTGGAATTTGCAAGTGGAGATTTCAGCCACTTTGAGGTCAATGGTAGAATAGGAAATATCTTCCTATAGAAACTAGACAGAATGATTCTCAGAAACTCCTTTGTGATGTGTGCGTTCAACTCACAGAATTTAACATTTCTTTTCATAGAGCAGTTAGGAAACACTCTGTTTGTAAAGTCTGTAAGTGGATATTCAGACCTCTTTGAGGCCTTCGTTGGAAACGGGATTTCTTCGTATTCTGCTAGACAGAAGAATTCTCAGTAACTTCCTTGTGTTGTGTGTATTCAACTCACAGAGTTGAACGATCCTTTACAGAGAGCAGACTTGAAACACTCTTTTTGTGGAATTTGCAAGTGGAGATTTCAGCCGCTTTGAGGTCAATGGTAGAATAGGAAATATCTTCGTAGAAAAACTAGACAGAATGATTCTCAGAAACTCCCTTGTGATGTGTGCGTTCAACTCACAGAGTTTAACCTTTCTTTTCATAGAGCAGTTAGGAAACACTCTGTTTGTAAAGTCTGCAAGTGGATATTCAGACCTCCTTGAGGCCTTCGTTGGAAACGGGATTTCTTCATATTATGCTAGACAGAAGAATTCTCAGTACCTTCCTTGTGTTGTGTGTATTCAACTCACAGAGTTGAACGATCCTTTACACAGAGCATACTTGAAACACTCTTGTTGTGGAATTTGCAAGTGGAGATTTCAGCCGCTTTGAGGTCAATGGTAGAATAGGAAATATCTTCCTATAGAAACTAGACAGAATGATTCTCAGAAACTCCTTTGTGATGTGTGCGTTGAACTCACAGGGTTTAACCTTTCTTTTCATAGAGCAGTTAGGAAACACTCTCTTTGTAAAGTCTGGAAGTGGATATTCAGACCTCCTTGAGGCCTTCGTTGGAAACGGGATTTCTTCATATTATGCTAGACAGAAGAATTCCCAGTAACTTCCTTGTGTTGTGTACATTCAACTCACGGAGTTGAACGTTCCCTTAGACAGAGCAGATTTGAAACACTCTTTTTGTGCAATTGGCAAATGGAGATTTCAAGCGCTTTAAGGTCAATGGCAGAAAAGGAAATATCTTCGTTTCAAAACTAGACAGAATCATTCCCACAAACTGCGTTGTGATGTGTTCGTTCAACTCACAGAGTTTAACCTTTCTTTTCATAGAACAGTTAGGAAACAGTCTGTTTGTAAATTCTGTAAGTGGATATTCTGATATCTTTTGGCCTTCGTTGGAAACGGGATTTCTTCATATTCTGCTAGACAGAAGAATTCTCAGTAACTTCCTTGTGTTGTGTGTATTCAACTCACAGAGTTGAACGATCCTTTACACAGAGCAGACTTGAAACACTCTTTTTGTGGAATTTGCAAGTGGAGATTTCAGCCGCTTTGAGGTCAATGGTAGAAAAGGAAATATCTTCGTATAAAGACTAGACAGAATGATTCTGAGAAACTCCTTTCTGATGTGTGCGTTCAACTCACAGAGTTTAACCTTTCTTTTCATAGAGCAGTTAGGAAACACTCTGTTTGTAAAGTCTGCAAGTGGATATTCAGACCTCCTTGAGGCCTTCGTTGGAAACGGGATTTCTTCATATTATGCTAGACAGAAGAATTCCCAGTAACTTCCTTGTGTTGTGTGTGTTCATCTCACAGAGTTGAACTTTCATTTACACAGAGCAGATTTGAAACACTCTTTTTGTGGAATTTGCAGGTGGAGATTTCAAGCGCTTTGAGGCCAAAGGCAGAAAAGGAAATATCTTCGTATAAAAACTAGACAGAATCATTCTCAGAAACTGCTCTGCGATGTGTGCGTTCAACTCTCAGAGTTTAACTTTTCTTTTCATTCAGCAGTTTGGAAACACTCTGTTTGTAAAGTCTGCACGTGGATATTTTGACCACTTAGAGGCCTTCGTTGGAAACGGGTTTTTTTCCTGTAAGGCTAGACAGAAGAATTCCCAGTAACTTCCTTGTGTTGTGTACATTCAACTCACAGAGTTGAACGTTTCCTTAGACAGAGCAGATTTGAAACACTCTTTTTGTGCAATTGGCAAGTGGAGATTTCAAGCGCTTTGAGGTCAATGGCAGAAAAGGAAATATCTTCGTTTCAAAACTAGACAAAATCATTCCCACAAACTGCGTTCTGATGTGTTCGTTCAACTCACAGAGTTTAACCTTTCTGTTCATAGAGCAGTTAGGAAACACTCTGTTTGTAAAGTCTGTAAGTGGATATTCTGACATCTTGTGGCCTTCGTTGGAAACGGGATTTCTTCATATTCTGCTAGACAGAAGAATTCTCAGTAACTTCCGCGTGTTGTGTGTATTCAACTCACAGAGCTGAACGATCCTTTACACAGAGTAGACTTGAAACACTCTTTTTGTGGAATTTGCAAGTGGAGATTTCAGCCGCTTTGAGGTCAATGGTAGAAAAGGAAATATCTTCCTATAAAAACTAGACAGAATGATTCTCAGAAACTCCTTTGTGATGTGTGCGTTCAACTCACAGAGTTTAACCTTTCTTTTCATAGCGCAGTTGGGAAACACACTGTTTGTAAAGTCTGCAAGTGGATATTCAGACATCCTTGAGGCTTTCGTTGGAAACGGGATTTCTTCATATTCTGCTAGAAAGAAGAATTCTCAGTAACTTCCTTGTGTTGTGTGTATTCAACTCACAGAGTTGAACGATCCTTTACAGAGAGCAGACTTGAAACACTCTTTTTGTGGAATTTGCAAGTGGAGATTTCAGCCGCTTTTCTGGTCAATGGTAGAATAGGAAATATCTTCCAATAGAAACTAGACAGAATGATTCTCAGAAACTCCTTTGTGATGTGTGCGTTCAACTCACAGAGTTTAACTTTTCTTTTCATAGAGCAGTAAGGAAACACTCTGTTTGTAAAGTCTGCAAGTGGATATTCAGACCTCTTTGAGGCCTTCGTTGGAAACGGGATTTCTTCATATTCTGCTAGACAGAAGAATTCCCAGTAACTTCCTTGTGTTGTGTGCATTCAACTCACAGAGTTGAACGTTCCCTTAGACAGAGAAGATTTGAAACACTCTATTTGTGCAATTTGCAAGTGTAGATTTCAAGCGCTTTAAGGTCAACGGCAGAAAAGGAAATATCTTCGTTTCAAAACCAGACAGAATCATTCCCACAAACTGCGTTGTGATGGGTTCGTTCAACTCACAGAGTTTAACCTTTCCGTTCATAGAGCAGTTAGGAAACACACTGTTTGTAAAGTCTGTAAGTGGATATTCTGACATCTTGTGGCCCTCGTTGGAAACGGGATTTCTTCATATTCTGCTAGACAGAAGAATTCTCAGAATCTTCCTTGTGTTGTGTGTATTCAACTCACAGAGTTGAACGATCCTTTACACAGAGCAGACTTGAAACACTCTTTTTGTGGAATTTGCAAGTGGAGATTTCAGCCGCTTTGAGGTCCCATGGTAGAAAAGGAAATATCTTCGTATAAAAACTAGACAGAATGATTCTCAGAAACTTCTTTGTGATGTGTGTGTTCAACTGACAGAGTTTAACCTTTCTTTTCATAGAGCAGTTAGGAAACACTCTGTTTGTAAACTCTGCAAGTGGATATTCAGACCTCTTTGAGGCCTTCGTTGGAAACGGGTTTTGTTCATATAAGGCTAGACAGAATAATTCTCAGTAACTTCCTTGTGTTGTGTTTATTCAACTCACAGAGTTGAATGATCCTTTACAGAGAGCAGACTTGAAACACTCTTTTTGTGGAATTTGCAAGTGGAGATTTCAGCCGCTTTGAGGTCAATGGTAGAAAAGTAAATATCTTCGTATAAAGACTAGACAGAATCATTCTCAGAAACTGCTCTGCGATGTGTGCGTTCAACTCTCAGAGTTTAACTTTTCTTTTCATTCAGCAGTTTGGAAACACTCTGTTTGTAAAGTCTGCACGTGGATAATTTGACCACTTAGAGGCCTTCGTTGGAAACGGGTTTTTTTCATGTAAGGCTAGACAGAAGAATTCCCAGTAACTTCATTGTGTTGTGTACATTCTACTCACAGAGTTGAACGTTCCCTTAGACAGAGCAGATTTGAAACACTCTTTTTGTGCAATTGGCAAGTGGTGATTTCAACCGCTTTGAGGTCAATGGTAGAAAGGGAAATATCTTCGTATTAAAACTAGACAGAATCATTCCCACAAACTGCGTTGTGATGTGTTCGTTCAACTCACAGAGTTTAACCTTTCTGTTCATAGAGCAGTTAGGAAAAACTCTGTTTGTAAAGTCTGTAAGTAGATATTCTGACATCTTGTGGCCTTCTTTGGAAACGGGATTTCTTCATATTCTGCTAGACAGAAGAATTCTCAGTAACTTACCTTGTGTTGTGTGTATTCAACTCACAGAGTTGAACGATCCTTTACACAGAGCAGACTTGAAACACTCTTTTTGTGGAATTTTGCAAGTGGAGATTTCAGCCGCTTTGAGGTCAATGGTAGAAAAGGAAACTATCTTCATATAAAGACTAGACAGAATGATTCTCAGGAACTCCTTTGTGATGTGTGAGTTCAACTCACAGAGTTTATCCTTTCTTTTCATAGAGCAGTTAGGAAACACTCTGTTTGTAAAGTCTGCAAGTGGATATTCAGACCTCTTTGAGGCCTTCGTTGGAAACGGGATTTCTTCATATTCTGCTAGACAGAAGAATTCTCAGTAACTTCCTTGTGTTGTGTGTATTCAACTGACAGAGTTGAACTTTCATTTGGAGAGAGCAGATTTGAAACACTGTTTTTGTGGAATTTGCAAGTGGAGATTTCAAGCGCTTTTGGGCCAAAGGCAGAAAAGGAAATATCTTCGTATAAAAACTAGACAGAATCATTCTCAGAAACTGCTCTGCGATGTGTGCGTTCAACTCTCAGAGTTTAACTTTTCTTTTCATTCAGCAGTTTGGAAACACTCTGTTTGTAAAGTCTGCACTTGGATATTTTGACCACTTAGAGGCCTTCGTTGGAAACGGGTTTTTTTCCTGTAAGGCTAGACAGAAGAATTCCCAGTAACTTCCTTGTGTTGTGTGCATTCAACTCACAGAGTTGAACGTTCCCTTAGACAGAGCAGATTTGAAACACTCTATTTGTGCAATTGGCAACTGTAGATTTCAAGCGTTTAAGGTCAATGGCAGAAAAGGAAATATCTTCGTTTCAAAACTAGACAGAATCATTCCCACAAACTGCGTTGTGATGTGTTCGTTCAACTCACAGAGTTTAACCTTTCTGTTCATAGAGCAGTTAGGAAACACTCTGTTTGTAAAGTCTGTAAGTGGATATTCTGACATCTTGTGGCCTTCGTTGGAAACGGGATTTCTTCATATTCTGCTAGACAGAAAGAATTCTCAGTAACTTCCTTGTGTTGTGTGTATTCAACTCACAGTGTTGAACGATCCTTTACACAGAGCATACTTGAAACACTCTTTTTGTGGAATTTGCAAGTGGAGATTTCAGCCGCTTTGATGTCAATGGTAGAAAAGGAAATAACTTCGTATAAAGACTAGACAGATGATTCTCAGAAACTCCTTTGTGATGTGTGCGTTCAACTCACAGAGTTTAACCTTTCTTTTCATAGAGCAGTTAGGAAACACTCTGTTTGTAAAAGTCTGCAAGTGGATATTCAGACCTCTTTGAGGCCTTCGTTGGAAACGGGTTTTTTTCATATAAGGCTAGACAGAAGAATTCTCAGTAACTTCCTTGTGTTGTGTGTATTCAGCTGACAGAGTTGAACTTTCATTTAGAGAGAGCAGATTTGAAACACTGTTTTTGTGGAATTTGCAAGTGGAGATTTCAAGCGCTTTGGGGCCAAAGGCAGAAAAGGAAATATCTTCGTATAAAAACTAGACAGAATCATTCTCAGAAACTGCTCTGCTGATGTGTGCGTTCAACTCTCAGAGTTTAACTTTTCTTTTCATTCAGCAGTTTGGAAACACTCTGTTTGTAAAGTCTGCACGTGGATATTTTGACCATTTAGAGGCTTTCGTTGGAAACGGGTTTTTTTCTTGTAAGGCTAGACAGAAGAATTCCCAGTAACTTCCTTGTGTTGTGTGCAATCAAATCACAGAGTTGAACGTTCCCTTAGACAGAGTAGATTTGAAACACTCTATTTGTGCAATTTGCAAGTGTAGATTTCAAGCGCTTTAAGGTCAAAGGCAGAAAAGGAAATATCTTCGTTTCAAAACTAGACAGAATGATTCTCAGAAACTTCTTTGTGATGTGTGCGTTCAACTCAGAGAGTTTAACATTTCTTTTCATAGAGCAGTTAGGAAACACTCTGTTTGTAAACTCTGCAAGTGGATATTCAGACCTCTTCGAGGTCTTCGTTGGAAACGGGATTTCTTCATACTGTGCTAGACAGAAGAATTCTCAGTAACTTCCTTGTGTTGTGTGTATTCAACTCACAGAGTTGAACGATCCTTTACACAGAGCAGACTTGGAACACTCTTTTTGTGGAATTTGCAAGTGGAGATTTCAGCCGCGTTGAGGTCAATGGTAGAAAAGGAAATATCTTCGTATAAAAACTAGACAGAATGATTCTCAGAAACTCCTTTGTGATGTGTGCGTTCAACTCACAGAGTTTAACCTTTCTGTTCATAGAGCAGTTAGGAAACACTCTGTTTGTAAAGTCTGCAAGTGGATATTCAGATCCTCCTTGAGGCCTTCGTTGGAAACGGGATTTCTTCATATTCTGCTAGACAGAAGAATTCTCAGTAACTTCCTTGTGTTGTGTGTATTCAACTGACAGAGTTGAACTTTCATTTAGAGAGAGCAGATTTGAAACACTGTTTTTGTGGAATTTGCAAGTGGAGATTTCAAGCGCTTTGGGCCCAAAGGCAGAAAAGGAAATATCTTCGTATAAAAACTAGACAGAATCATTCTCAGAAACTGCTCTGCGATGTGTGCGTTCAACTCTCAGAGTTTAACTTTTCTTTTCATTCAGCAGTTTGGAAACACTCTGTTTGTAAAGTCTGCACGTGGATATTTTGACCACTTAGAGGCCTTCGTTGGAAACGGGTTTTTTTCCTGTAAGGCTAGACAGAAGAATTCCCAGTAACTTCCTTGTGTTGTGTACATTCAACTCACAGAGTTGAACCGTTCCCTTAGACAGAGCAGATTTGAAACACTCTTTTTGTGCAATTGGCAAGTGGAGATTTCAAGCGCTTTGAGGTCAATGGCAGAAAAGGAAATATCTTCGTTTCAAAACTAGACAGAATGATTCTCAGAAACTCCTTTGTGATGTGTGCGTTCAACTCACAGAGTTTAACCTTTCTTTTCATAGAGCAGTTAGGAAACACTCTGTTTGTAAAGTCTGCAAGTGGATATTCAGACATCTTTGAGGCTTTCGTTGGAAACGGGATTTCTTCATATTCTGTTAGACAGAAGAATTCTCAGAAACTTCGTTGTGTTGTGTGTTTTCAACTCACAGAGTTCAACGATCCTTTACACAGAGTAGATTTGAAACACTCTTTTTGTGGAATTGGCAGGGTGGAGATTTCAGCCGCTTTGAGGTCAATGGTAGAAAAGGAAATATCTTCGTATAAAAACTAGACAGAGTGATTCTCAGAAACTCCTTTGTGATGTCTGCGTTTAACTCACAGAGTTTAACCTTTCTTTTCATAGAGCAGTTAGGAAACACTCTGTTTGTAAAGTGTGCAAGTGGATATTCAGACCTCCTTGAGGCCTTCGTTGGAAACGGGATTTCTTCATATTCTGCTATACAGAAGAATTCCCAGTAACTTCCTTGTGTTGTGTGTGTTCAACTCACAGAGTTGAACTTTCATTTACACAGAGCAGATTTGAAACACTCTTTTTGTGGAATTTGCAAATGGAGATTTCAAGCGCTTTGAGGCCAAAGGCAGAAAAGGAAATATCTTCGTATAAAAACTAGACAGAATCATTCTCAGAAACTGCTCTGCGATGTGTGCGTTCAACTCTCAGAGTTTAACTTTTCTTTTCATTTAGCAGTTTGGAAACACTCTGTTTGTAAAGTCTGCACGTGGATATTTTGACCACTTAGAGGCCTACGTTGGAAACGGGTTTTTTTCCTGTAAGGCTAGACAGAAGAATTCCCAGTAACTTCCTTGTGTTGTGTACATTCAACTCACAGAGTTGAACGTTCCCTTAGACAGAGCAGATTTGAAACACTCTTTTTGTGCAATTGGCAAATGGAGATTTCAAGCGCTTTAAGGTCAATGGCAGAAAAGGAAATATCTTCGTTTCAAAACTAGACAGAATCATTCCCACAAACTGCGTTGTGATGTGTTCGTTCAACTCACAGCAGTTTAACCTTTCTGTTCATAGAGCAGTTAGGAAACACTCTGTTTGTAAAGTCTGTAAGTGCATATTCTGACATCTTGTGGCCTTCGTTGGAAACGGGATTTCTTCATATTCTGCTAGACAGAAGAATTCTCAGTAACTTCCTTGTGTTGTGTGTATTCAACTCACAGAGTTGAACGATCCTTTACACAGAGCAGACTTGAAACACTCTTTTTGTGGAATTTGCAAGTGGAGATTTCAGCCGCTTTGATGTCAATGGTAGAAAAGGAAATATCTTCGTATAAAGACTAGACAGAATGATTCTCAGAAACTCTTTTGTGATGTGTGCGTTCAACTCACAGAGTTTAACCTTTCTTTTCATAGAGCAGTTAGGAAACACTCTGTTTGTAAAGTCTGCAAGTGGATATTCAGACCTCTTTGAGGCCTTCGTTGGAAACGGGATTTCTTCATATTCTGCTAGACAGAAGAATTCTCAGTAACTACCTTGTGTTGTGTGTATTCACCTGACAGAGTTGAACATTCATTTAGAGAGAGCAGATTTGAAACACTGTTTTTGTGGAATTTGCAAGTGGAGATTTCAAGAGGTTTGGGGCCAAAGGCAGAAAAGGAAATATCTTCGTATAAAAACTAGACAGAATCATTCTCAGAAACTGCTCTGCGATGTGTGCGTTCAACTCTCAGAGTTTAACTTTTCTTTTCATTCAGCAGTTTGGAAACACTCTGTTTGTAAAGTCTGCACGTGGATATTTTGACCACTTAGAGGCCTTCGTTGGAAACGGGCTTTTTCCTGTAAGGCTAGACAGAAGAATTCCCAGTAACTTCCTTGTGTTGTGTACATTCAACTCACAGAGTTGAACGTTCCCTTAGACAGAGCAGATTTGAAACACTCTTTTTGTGCAATTGGCAAATGGAGATTTCAAGCGCTTTAAGGTCAATGGCAGAAAAGGAAATATCATCGTTTCAAAACTAGACAGAATGATTCTCAGAAACTCCTTTGGGATGTGCGCGTTCAACTCACAGAGTTTAACCTTTCTTTTCATAGAGCAGTTAGGAAACACTCTGTTTGTAAAGTCTGCAAGTGGATATTCAGACATCCTTGAGGCTTTCGTTGGAAACGGGATTTCTTCATATTCTGCTAGAAAGAAGAATTCTCAGTAACTTCCTTGTGTTGTGTGTATTCAACTCACAGAGTTGAACGATCCTTTACACAGAGCAGACTTGAAACACTCTTTTTGTGTAATTTGCAAGTGGAGATTTCAGCCGCTTTGAGTTCAATGGTAGAATAGGAAATATCTTCCTATAGAAACTAGACAGAATGATTCTCAGAAACTCCTTTGTGATGTGTGCGTTCAACTCACAGAGTTCAACCTTTCTTTTCATAGAGCAGTTGGGAAACACTCTGTTTGTAAAGTCTGCAAGTGGATATTCAGACTTCTTTGAGGCCTTCGTTGGAAGCGGGATTTCTTCATGTTCTGCTAGAGAGAAGAATTCTCAGAAACTTCCTTGTGTTGTGTGTTTTCAACTCACAGAGTTGAACGATCCTTTACACAGAGCAGACTTGAAACACTCTTTTTGTGGAATTTGCAAGTGGAGATTTCAGCCTCTTTGAGGTCAATGGTAGAATAGGAAATATCTTCCTATAGAAACTAGACAGAATCATTCTCAGAAACTGCTCTGCGATGTGTGCGTTCAACTCTCAGAGTTTAACTTTTCTTTTCATTCAGCAGTTTGGAAACACTCTGTTTGTAAAGTCTGCACGTGGATATTTTGACCATTTAGAGGCCTTCGTTGGAAACGGGTTTTTTTCTTGTAAGGCTAGACAGAAGAATTCCCAGTAACTTCCTTGTGTTGTGTGCATTCAACTCACAGAGTTGAACGTTCCCTTAGACAGAGCAGATTTGAAACACTCTATTTGTGCAATTTGCAAGTGTAGATTTCAAGCGCTTTAAGGTCAACGGCAGAAAAGGAAATATCTTCGTTTCAAAACTAGACAGAATCATTCCCACAAACTGCGTTGTGATGTGTTCGTTCAACTCACAGAGTTTAACCTTTCTGTTCATAGAGCAGTTAGGAAACACTCTGTTTGTAAAGTCTGCAAGTGGATATTCAGACCTCCTTGAGGCCTTCGTTGGAAACGGGATTTCCTCATATTCTGCTAGACAGAATAATTGTCAGTAACTTCCTTGTGTTGTGTGTATTCAACTCACAGAGTTGAACGATCCTTTACAGAGAGCACACTTGAAACACTCTTTTTGTGGAATTTGCAAGTGGAGATTTCAGCCGCTTTGAGGTCAATGGTAGAATAGGAAATATCTTCCTATAGAAACTAGACAGAATGATTCTCAGAAAGTCCTTTGTGATGTGTGTGTTCAAATCACAGAGTTTAACCTTTCTTTTCATAGAGCAGTTAGTAAACACTCTGTTTATAAAGTCTGCAAGTGGATAATCAGACCCCTTTGAGGCCTTCGTTGGAAACGGGATTTCCTCATATTATGCTAGACAGAAGAATTCCCAGTAACTTCCTTGTGTTGTGTGTGTTCAACTCACAGAGTTGAACTTTCATTTACACAGAGCAGATTTGAAACACTCTTTTTGTGGAATTTGCAAGTGGAGATGTCAAGCGCTTTGAGGCCAAAGGCAGAAAAGGAAATATCTTCGTAAAAAAACTAGACAGAATCATTCTCAGAAACTGCTCTGCGATGTGTGCGTTCAACTCTCAGACTTTAACTTTTCTTTTCATTCAGCAGTTTGGAAACACTCTGTTTGTAAAGTCTGCACGTGGATAATTTGACAACTTAGAGGCCTTCGTTGGAAACGGGTTTTTTCATGTAAGGCTAGACAGAAGAATTCCCAGTAACTTCCTTGTGTTGTGTACATTCAACTCACAGAGTTGAACGTTCCGTTAGACAGAGCAGATTTGAAACACTCTTTTTGTGCAATTGGCAAATGGAGATTTCAAGCGCTTTAAGTTCAATGGCAGAAAAGGAAATATCTTCGTTTCAAAACTAGACAGAATCATTGCCACAAACTGCGTTGTGATGTGTTCGTTCAACTCACAGAGTTTAACCTTTCTTTTCATAGAGCAGTTAGGAAACAGTCTGTTTGTAAATTCTGTAAGTGGATATTCTGACATCTTGTGACCTTCGTTGGAAACGGGATTTCTTCATATTCTGCTAGACAGAAGATTTCTCAGAAATTTCCTTGTGTTGTGTGTATTCAACTCACAGAGTTGAACGATCCTTTACTCAGAGAAGACTTGAAACACTCCTTCTGTGGAATTTGCAAGTTGAGATTTCAGCCGCTTTGAGGTCAATGGTAGAATAGGAAATATCTTCCTATAGAAACTAGACAGAATGATTCTCAGAAACTCCTTTGTGATGTGTGCGTTCAACTCACAGAGTTTAACCTTTCTTTTCATAGAGCAGTTAGGAAACACTCTGTTTGTAAAGTCTGCAATTGGATATTCAGACCTCTTTGAGGCCTTCGTTGGAAACGGGATTTCTTCATATTATGCTAGACAGAAGAATTCTCAGTAACTTCCTTGTGTTGTGTGTATTCAACTCACAGAGTTGGACTATCCTTTACACAGAGCAGACTTGAAACACTCTTTTTGTGGAATTTGCAAGTGGAGATTTCTGCCGCTTTGAGGTCAATGGTAGAAAAGGAAATATCTTCGTATAAAAACTAGAGAGAATCATTCTCAGAAACTGCTCTGTGATGTGTGCGTTCAACTCTCAGAGTTTAACTTTTCTTTTCATTCAGCAGTTTGGAAACACTCTGTTTGTAAAGTCTGCACGTGGATATTTTGACCATTTAGAGGCCTTCGTTGGAAACGGGTTTTTTTCTTGTAAGGCTAGACAGAAGAATTCCCAGTAACTTCCTTGTGTTGTGTACATTCAACTCACAGAGTTGAACGTTCCCTTAGACAGAGCAGATTTGAAACACTCTTTTTGTGCAATTGGCAAGTGGTGATTTCAGCTGCTTTGAGGTCAATGGTAGAAAAGGGAATATCTTCGTATAAAAACTAGACAGAATCATTCCCACAAACTGCGTTGTGATGTGTTCGTTCAACTCACAGAGTTTTACCTTTCTGTTCATAGAGCAGTTAGGAAACACTCTGTAAAGTCTGTAAGTGGATATTCTGACATCTTGTGGCCTTCGCTGGAAACGGGATTTCTTCATATTCTGCTAGACAGAAGAATTCTCAGTAACTTCCTTGTTGTTGTGTGTATTCAACTCACAGAGTTGAACGATCCTTTACACAGAGCAGACTTGTAACACTCTTTTTGTGGAATTTGCAAGTGGAGATTTCAGCCGCTTTGACGTCAAAGGTAGAAAAGGAAATATCTTCCTATAAAAACTAGACAGAATGATTCTCAGAAACTTCCTTGTGATGTGTGCGTTCACCTCACAGAGTTTAACCTTTCTTTTCATAGAGCAGTTAGGAAACACTCTGTAAAGTCTGCAAGTGGATATTCAGACCTCTTTGAGGCCTTCGTTGGAAACGGGTTTTTTTCATATAAGGCTAGACAGAAGAATTCTCAGTAACTTCCTTGTGTTGTGTGTATTCAACTCACAGAGTTGAACGATCCTTTACACAGAGCAGACTTGAAACACTCTTTTTGTGGAGTTTGCAAGTGGAGATTTCAGCCGCTTTGAGGTCAATGGTAGAAAAGGAAATATCTTCGTATAAAAACTAGACAGAATCATTCTCAGAAAATGCTCTGTGATGTGTGCGTTCAACTCTCAGAGTTTAACTTTTCTTTTCATTCAGCAGTTTGGAAACACTCTGTTTGTAAAGTCTGCACGTGGATATTTTGACCACTTAGAGGCCTTCGTTGGAAACGGGTTTTTTTCATGTAAGGGTAGACAGAAGAATTCCCAGTAACTTCCTTGTGTTGTGTGCATTCAACTCACAGAGTTGAACGTTCCCTTAGACAGAGCAGATTTGAAACACTCTATTTGTGCAATTTGCAAGTGTAGATTTCAAGCGCTTTAAGGTCAACGGCAGAAAAGGAAATATCTTCGTTTCAAAACTAGACAGAATCATTCCCACAAACTGCGTTGTGATGTGTTCGTTCAACTCACAGAGTTTAACCTTTCTGTTCATAGAGCAGTTAGGAAACACTCTGTTTGTAAAGTCTGCAAGTAGATATTGAGACCTCCTAGAGGCCTTCGTTGGAAACGGGATTTCTTCATATTCTGCTAGACAGAAGAATTCTCAGTACCTTCCTTGTGTTGTGTGTATTCAACTCACAGAGTTGAACGATCCTTTACACACAGCAGACTTGTAACACTCTTTTTGTGGAATTTGCAAGTGGAGATTTCAGCCGCTTTGAAGTCAAAGGTAGAAAAGGAAATATCTTCCTATAAAAACTAGACAGAGTGATTCTCAGAAACTCCTTTGTGATGTGTGCGTTTAACTCACAGAGTTTAACCTTTCTTTTCATAGAGCAGATAGGAAACACTCTGTTTGTAAAGTCTGCAAGTGGATATTCAGACCTCCTTGAGGCCTTCGTTGGAAACGGGATTTCTTCATATTATGCTAGACAGAAGAATTCCCAGTAACTTCCTTGTGTTGTGTGTGTTCAACTCACAGAGTTGAACTTTCATTTACACAGAGCAGATTTGAAACACTCTTTTTGTGGAATTTGCAGGTGGAGATTTCAAGCGCTTTGAGACCAAAGGCAGAAAAGGAAATATCTTCGTATAAAAACTAGACAGAATCATTCTCAGAAACTGCTCTGCGATGTGTGCGTTCAACTCTCAGAGTTTAACTTTTCTTTTCATTCAGCAGTTTGGAAACACTCAGTTTGTAAACTCTGCAAGTGGATATTCAGACCTCTTTGAGGCCTTCGTTGGAAACGGGATTTCTTCATACTATGCTAGACAGAAGAATTCCCAGTAACTTCCTTGCGTTGTGTACATTCAACTCACAGAGTTGAACGTTCCCTTAGACAGAGCAGATTTGAAACACTCTTTTTGTGCAATTGGCAAGTGGAGATTTGAAGCGCTTTGAGGTCAATGGCAGAAAAGGAATTATCTTCGTTTCAAAACTAGACAGAATGATTCTCAGAAAATCTTTTGTGATGTGTGCGTTCAACTCACAGAGTTTAACTTTTCTTCTCATAGAGCAGTTAGGAAACACTCTGTTTGTAAAGTCTGCAAGTGGATATTCAGACCTGTTTGAGGCCTTCGTTGGATACGGGATTTCTTCATATTATGCTAGACAGAATAATTCTCAGTAACTTCCTTGTGTTGTGTGTATTCAACTCACAGAGTTGAAGGATCCTTTACAGAGAGCAGGCTTGAAACACTCTTTTTGTCGAATTTGCAAGTGGAGATTTCAGCCGCTTTGAGGTCAATGGTAGAATAGGAAATATCTTCTTATAGAAACTAGACAAAATGATTCTCAGAAACTTCATTGTGATGTGTGCGTTCAACTCACAGAGTTTAACCTTTCTTTTCATAGAGCAGTTAGGAAACACTCTGTTTGTAAAGTCTGCAAGTGGATATTCAGACCTCTTTGAGGCCTTCGTTGGAAACGGGTTTTTTTCATGTAAGGCTAGACAGAAGAATTCTCAGTAACTTCCTTGTGTTGTGTGTATTCACACTGACAGAGTTGAACTTTCATTTAGAGAGAGCAGTTTTGAAACACTGTTTTTGTGGAATTTGCAAGTGGAGATTTCAAGCGCTTTGGGGCCAAAGGCAGAAAAGGAAACATCTTCGTATGAAAACTAGACAGAAATCATTCTCAGAAAACTGCTGCGTGATGTGTGCGTTCAACTCTCAGAGTTTAACTTTTCTTTTCATTCAGCGGTTTGGAAACACTCTGTTTGTAAAGACTGCACGTGGATATTTTGACCACTTAGAGGCCTTCGTTGGAAACGGGTTTTTTTCATGTAAGGCTAGACAGAAGAATTCCCAGTAACTTCCTTGTGTTGTGTGCATTCAACTCACAGAGTTGAACGTTCCCTTAGACAGAGCAGATTTGAAACACTCTATTTGTGCAATTTGCAAGTGTAGATTTCAAGCGCTTTAAGGTCAATGGCAGAAAAGGAAATATCTTCGTTTCAAAACTAGACAGAATGATTCTCAGAAACTCCTTTGTGATGTGTGCCTTCAACTCACAGAGTTTAACCTTTCTGTTCATAGAGCAGTTAGGAAACACTCTGTTTGTAAAGTCTGCAAGTGGATATCCGACCTCCTTGAGGCCTTCGTTGGAAACGGGATTTCTTCATATTCTGCTAGACAGAATAATTCTCAGTAACTTCCTTGTGTTGTGTGTATTCAACTCACAGAGTTCAACGATCCTTTACACAGAGCAGACTTGAAACACTGTTTTTGTGGAATTTGCAAGTGGAGATTTCAGCCGCTTTGAGGTCAATGGTAGAAAAGGAAATATCTTCCTATAAAAACTAGACAGAATGATTCTCAGAAACTCCTTTCTGATGTGTGCGTTCAACTCACAGAGTTTAACTTTTCTTTTCATAGAGCAGTTAGGAAACACTCTGTTTGTAAAGTCTGCAAGTGGATATTCAGACCTCTTTGAGGCCTTCGTTGGAAACGGGATTTCTTCATATTATGCTAGACAGAAGAATTCTCAGTAACTTCCTTGTGTTGTGTGTATTCAACTCACAGAGTTGAACTTTCATTTACACAGAGCAGATTTGAAACACTCTTTTTGTGGAATTTGCAAGTGGAGATTTCAAGCGCTTTGAGGCCAAAGGCAGAAAAGGAAATGTCTTCGTTTCAAAACTAGACAGAATCATTCTCAGAAACTGCTCTGCGATGTGTGCGTTCAACTCTCAGAGTTTAACTTTTCTTTTCATTCAGCAGTTTGGAAACACTCTGGTTGTAAAGTCTGCACGTGGATATTTTGACCACTTAGAGGCCTTCGTTGGAAACGGGTTTTTTTCCTGTAAGGCTAGACAGAAGAATTCCCAGTAACTTCCTTGTGTTGTGTACATTCAACTCACAGAGTTGAACGTTCCCTTAGACAGAGCAGATTTGAAACACTCTTTTTGTGCAATTGGCAAATGGAGATTTCAAGCGCTTTAAGGTCAATGGCAGAAAAGGAAATATCTTCGTTTCAAAACTAGACAGAATGATTCTCAGAAACTCCTTTGTGATGTGTGCGTTCAACTCACAGAGTTTAACTTTTCTTTTCATAGAGCAGTTAGGAAACACTCGGTTTGTAAAGTCTGCAAGTGGATATTCAGACCTCTTTGAGGCCTTCGTTGGAAACGGGATTTCTTCATATTATGCTAGACAGAAGAATTCTCAGTAACTTCCTTGTGTTGTGTGTATTCAACTCACAGAGTTGAACGATGCTTTACACAGAGCAGACTTGAAACATTCTTTTTGTGGAATTTGCAAGTGGAGATTTCAGCCGCTTTGAGGTCAATGGTAGAATAGGAAATATCTTCCTATAGAAACTAGACAGAATGATTCTCATAAACTCCTTTGTGATGTGTGCGTTGAACTCACAGAGTTTAACCTTTCTTTTCATGGAGCAGTTAGGAAACACTCTGTTTATAAAGTCTGCAAGTGGATATTCAGACCCCTTTGAGGCCTTCGTTGGAAACGGGATTTCTTCATATTATGCTAGACAGAAGAATTCTCAGTAACTTCCTTGTGTTGTGTGTATTCAACTGACAGAGTTGAACTTTCATTTAGAGAGAGCAGATTTGAAACACTGTTTTTGTGGAATTTGCAAATGGAGATTTCAAGCGCTTTGGGGCCAAAGGCAGAAAAGGAAATGTCTTCGTATAAAAACTAGACAGAATCATTCTCAGAAACTGCTGCGTGATGTGTGCGTTCAACTCTCAGAGTTTAACTTTTCTTTTCATTCAGCGGTTTGGAAACACTCTGTTTGTAAAGTCTGCACGTGGATATTTTGACCACTTAGAGGCCTTCGTTGGAAACTGGTTTTTTGCATGTAAGGCTAGACAGAAGAATTCCCAGTAACTTCCTTGTGTTGTGTGCATTCAACTCACAGAGTTGAACGTTCCCTTAGACAGAGCAGATTTGAAACAGCCTATTTGTGCAATTTGCAAGTGTAGATTTCAAGCGCTTTAAGGTCAACGGCAGAAAAGGAAATATCTTCCTTTCAAAACAAGACAGAATCATTCCCACAAACTGCGTTGTGATGTGTTCGTTCAACTCACAGAGTTTAACCTTTCTGTTCATAGAGCAGTTAGGAAACACTCTGTTTGTAAAGTCTGTAAGTGGATATTCTGACATCTTGTGGCCTTCGTTGGAAACGGGATTTCTTCATATTCTGCTAGACAGAAGAATTCTCAGTAACTTCCTTGTGTTGTGTGTATTCAACTCACAGAGTTGAACGATCCTTTACACAGAGCAGACTTGAAACACTCTTTTCGTGGAATTTGCAAGTGGAGATTTCAGCCGTTTTGAGGTCAATGGTAGAAAAGGAAATATCTTCGTATAAAGACTAGACAGAATGATTCTCAGAAACTCCTTTGTGATGCGTGCGTTCAACTCACAGAGTTTAACCTTTCTTTTCATAGAGCAGTTAGGAAACACTCTGTTTGTAAAGTCTGCAAGTGGATATTCAGACCTCCTTGAGGCCTTCGTTGGAAACGGGATTTCTTCATATTATGCTAGACAGAAGAATTCTCAGTAACTTCCTTCTGTTGTGTTTATTCAACTCACAGAGTTGAATGATCCTTTACACAGAGCAGACTTGAAACACTCTTTTTGTGGAAATTGCAAGTGGAGATTTCAGCCGCTTTGAGGTCAATGGTAGAAAAGTAAATATCTTCGTATAAAGACTAGACATAATCATTCTCAGAAACTGCTGTGTGATGTGTGCGTTCAACTCTCAGAGTTTAACTTTTCTTTTCATTCAGCGGTTTGGAAACACTCTGTTTGTAAAGTCTGCACGTGGAAATTTTGACCACTTAGAGGCCTTCGTTGGAAACGGGTTTTTTTCATGTAAGGCTAGACAGAAGAATTCCCAGTAACTTCCTTGTGTTGTGTACATTCAACTCACAGAGTTGAACGTTCCCTTAGACAGAGCAGATTTGAAACACTCTTTTTGTGCAATTGGCAAGTGGAGATTTCAAGCGCTTTAAGGTCAATGGCAGAAAAGGAAATATCTTCGTTTCAAAACTAGACAGAATCATTCCCACAAACTGCGTTGTGATGTGTTCGTTCAACTCACAGAGTTTAACTTTTCTTCTCATTCAGCAGTTTGGAAACACTCTGTTTGTAAAGTCTGCACGTGGATAATTTGACCACTTAGAGGCCTTCGTTGGAAACGGGTTTTTTTCATGTAAGGCTAGACAGAAGAATTCTCAGTAACTTCCCTTGTGTTGTGTGTATTCAACTCACAGAGTTGAACGATCCTTTACACAGAGCAGACTTGAAACACTCTTTTTGTGGAATTTGCAAGTGGAGATTTCAGCCGCTTTGAGGTCAATAGTCGAAAAGGAAATATCTTCGTAGAAAAACTAGACAAAATGATTCTCAGAAACTCCTTTGTGATGTGTGCGTTCAACTCACAGAGTTTAACCTTTCTTTTCATAGAGCAGTTAGGAAACACTCTGTTTGTAAAGTCTGCAAGTGGATATTCAGACCTCCTTGAGGCCTTCGTTGGAAACGGGATTTCTTCATGTTCTGCTATACAGAAGAATTCTCAGTAACTTCCCTTGTGTTGTGTGTATTCAACTGACAGAGTTGAACTTTCATTTAGAGAGAGCAGATTTGAAACACTGTTTTTGTGGAATTTGCAAGTGGAGATTTCAAGCGCTTTGGGACCAAAGGCAGAAAAGGAAATATCTTCGTATAAAAACTAGACAGAATCATTCTCAGAAACTGCTCTGCGATGTGTGCGTTCAACTCTCAGAGTATAACTTTTCTTTTCATTCAGCAGTTTGGAAACACTCTGTTTGTAAAGTCTGCACGTGGATAATTTGACCACTTAGAGGCCTTCGTTGGAAACGGGTTTTTTTCATGTAAGGCTAGACAGAAGAATTCCCAGTAACTTCCTTGTTGTTGTGTGCATTCAACTCACAGAGTTGAACGTTCCCTTAGACAGAGCAGATTTGAAACACTCTATTTGTGCAATTTGCAAGTGTAGATTTCAAGCGCTTTAAGGTCAATGGCAGAAAAGGAAATTTCTTCGTTTTAAAACTAGACAGAATTATTCTCAGAAACTCCTTTGTGATGTGTGCGTTCAACTCACAGAGTTCAACCTTTCTTTTCATAGAGCAGTTGGGAAACACTCTGTTTGAAAAGTCTGCAAGTGGATATTCAGACTTCTTTGAGGCCTTCGTTGGAAGCGGGATTTCTTCATGTTCTGCTAGAGAGAAGAATTCTCAGAAACTTCCTTGTGTTGTGTGTTTTCAACTCACAGAGTTGAACGATGCTTTACACAGAGTAGACTTGAAACAATCTTTTTGTGTAATTTGCAAGAGGAGATTTCAGCCGCTTTGAGGTCAATGGTAGAAAAGGAAATATCTTCGTATAAAAACTAGACAGAATGATTCTCAGAAACTCCTTTGTGATGTGTGCGTTCAACTCACAGAGTTTAACCTTTCTTTTCATAGAGCAGTTAGGAAACACTCTGTTTGTAAAGTCTGCAAGTGGATATTCAGACCTCCTTGAGGCCTTCGTTGGAAACGGGATTTCTTCATATTATGCTAGACAGAAGAATTCTCAGAAACTTCCTTGTGTTGTGTGTATTGAACTCACAGAGTTGAATGATCCTTTACTCAGAGCAGACTTGAAACACTCCTTTTGTGGAATTTGCAAGTGGAGATTTCAGCCGCTTTGAGGTCAATGGTAGAATAGGAATTATCTTCCTATAGAAACTAGACAGAATCATTCTCAGAAACTGCTGCGTGATGTGTGCGTTCAACTCTCAGAGTTTAACTTTTCTTTTCATTCAGCGGTTTGGAAACACTCTGTTTGTAAAGTCTGCACGTGGAAATTTTGACCACTTAGAGGCCTTCGTTGGAAACGGTTTTTTTTCATGTAAGGCTAGACAGAAGAATTCCCAGTAACTTCCTTGTGTTGTGTACATTCAACTCACAGAGTTGAACGTTCCCTTAGACAGAGCAGATTTGAAACACTCTTTTTGTGCAATTGGCAAATGGAGATTTCAAGCGCTTTAAGTTCAATGGCAGAAAAGGAAATATCTTCGTTTCAAAACTAGACAGAATGATTCTCAGAAACTCCTTTGTGATGTGTGCGTTCAACTCACAGAGTTTAACCTTTCTTTTCGTAGAGCAGTTAGGAAACACTCTGTTTGTAAAGTCTGCAAGTGGATATTCAGACCTCTTTGAGGCCTTCGTTGGAAACGGGATTTCTTCATATTCTGCTAGACAGAAGAATTCTCAGAAACTTCCTTGTGTTGTGTGCATTCAACTCACAGAGTTGAACGATCCGTTACACAGTGCAGACTTGAAACACTCTTTTTGTGGAATTTGCAAGGGGAGATTTCAGCCGCTTTGAGGTCAATGGTAGTAAAGGAAATATCTTCGTATAAAAACTAGACAGAATGATTCTCAGAATCTCCTTTGTGATGTGTGCGTTCAACTCACAGAGTTTAACCTTTCTTTTCATAGAGCAGTTAGGAAACACTCTGTTTGTAAAGTCTGCAAGTGGATATTCAGACCTCTTTGAGGCCTTCGTTGGAAACGGGTTTTTTACATATAAGGCTAAACAGAAGAATTCCCAGTAACTTCCTTGTGTTGTGTGTGTTCAACTCACAGAGTTGAACTTTGATTTACACAGAGCAGATTTGAAACACTCTTTTTGTGGAATTTGCAAGTGGAGATTTCAAGCGCTTTGAGGCCAAAGGCAGAAAAGGAAATATCTTCGTATAAAAACTTGTCAGAATCATTCTCAGAAACTGCTCTGCAATGTGCGCGTTCAACTCTCAGAGTTTAACTTTTCTTTTCATTCAGCAGTTTGGAAACACTCTGTTTGTAAAGTCTGCACGTGGATATTTTGACCACTTAGAGGCCTTCGTTGGAAACGGGTTTTTTTCCTGTAAGGCTAGACAGAAGAATTCCCAGTAACTTCCTTGTGTTGTGTACATTCAACTCACAGAGTTGAACGTTCCCTTACACAGAGCAGATTTGAAACACTCTTTTTGTGCACTTGGCAAGTGGAGATTTCAAGCGCTTTAAGGTCAATGGCAGAAAAGGAAATATCTTCGTTTCAAAACTAGACAGAATCATTCTCAGAAACTGCTCTGCGATGTGTGCGTTCAACTCTCAGAGTTTAACTTTTCTTTTCATTCAGCAGTTTGGAAACAATCTGTTTGTAAAGTCTGCACGTGGATAATTTGACCACTTAGAGACCTTCGTTGGAAACGGGTTTTTTTCATGTAAGGCTAGACAGAAGAATTCTCAGAATCTTCCTTGTGTTGTGTGTATTCAACTCACAGAGTTGAACGATCCTTTACACAGAGCAGACTTGAAACACTCTTTTTGTGGAATTTGCAAGTGGAGATTTCAGCCGCTTTGAGGTCCGTGTTAGAAAAGGAAATATCTTCGTACAAAAACTAGACAGAATGATTCTCAGAAACTCCTTTGTGATGTGTGCGTTCAACTCACAGAGTTTAAACTTTCTTTACATACAGCAGTTAGGAAACACTCTGTTTGTAAAGTCTGCAAGTGGATATTCAGACCTCTTTGAGGCCTTCGTTGGAAACGGGTTTTTTTCATATAAGGCTAGACAGAAGAATTCCCAGTAACTTCCTTGTGTTGTGTGTGTTCAACTCACAGAGTTGAACTTTCATTTACACAGAGCAGATTTGAAACACTCTTTTTGTGGAATTTGCAAGTGGAGATTTCAAGCGCTTTCAGGCCAAAGGCAGAAAAGGAAATATCTTCGTATAAAAACTAGACAGAATCATTCTCAGAAACTGCTCTGCGATGTGTGCGTTCAACTCTCAGAGTTTAACTTTTCTTTTCATTCAGCAGTTTGGAAACACTCTGTTTGTAAAGTCTGCACGTGGATAATTTGACCACTTAGAGTCCTTCGTTGGAAACGGGTTTTTTTCATGTAAGGCTAGACAGAAGAATTCTCAGTAACTTCCTTGTGTTGTGTGTATTCAACTCACAGAGTTGAACGATCCTTTACACAGAGCAGACTTGTAACACTCTTTTTGTGGAATTTGCAAGTGGAGATTTCAGCCGCTTTGAAGTCAAAGGTAGAAAAGGAAATATATTCCTATAAAAACTAGACAGAATGATTCTCAGAAACTTCTTGGTGATGTGTGCGTTCAACTCACAGAGTTTAACCTTTCTTTTCATAGAGCAGTTAGGAAACAGTCTGTTTGTAAACTCTGCAAGTGGATATTCAGACCTCTTTGAGGCCTTCGTTGGAAACGGGATTTCTTCATACTGTGCTACACAGAAGAATTCTCAGTAACTTCCTTGTGTTGTGTGTATTCAACTCACAGAGTTGAACGATCCTTTACACAGAGCAGACTTGAAACACTCTTTTTGTGGAATTTGCAAGTGGAGATTTCAGCCGCGTTGAGGTCAATGGTAGAAAAGGAAATATCTTCGTATAAAAACTAGACAGAATCATTCTCAGAAACTCCTTTGTGATGTGTGTGTTCAACTCACAGAGTTTAACCTTTCTTTTCATAGAGCAGTTAGTAAACACTCTGTTTATAAAGTCTGCAAGTGGATATTCAGACCCCTTTGAGGCCTTCGTTGGAAACGGGATTTCTTCATATTATGCTAGACAGAAGAATTCCCAGTAACTTCCTTGTGTTGTGTGTGTTCAACTCACAGAGTTGAACTTTCATTTACACAGAGCAGATTTGAAACACTCTTTTTGTGGAATTTGCAAGTGGAGATTTCAAGCCCTTTGAGGCCAAAGGCAGAAAAGGAAATATCTTCGTATAAAAACTAGACAGCATCATTCTCAGAAACTGCTCTGCGATGTGTGCGTTCAACTCTCAGAGTTTAACTTTTCTTTTCATTCAGCAGTTTGGAAACACTCTGTTTGTAAAGTCTGCACGTGGATAACTTGACCACTTAGAGGCCTTCGTTGGAAACGGGTTTTTTTCATGTAAGGCTAGACAGAAGAATTCCCAGTAACTTCCTTGTGTTGTGTACATTCAACTCACAGAGTTGAACGTTCCCTTAGACAGAGCAGATTTGAAACACTCTTTTTGTGCAATTGGCAAATGGAGATTTCAAGCGCTTTAAGGTCAATGGCAGAAAAGGAAATATCTTCGTTTCAAAACTAGACAGAATCATTCCCACAAACTGCGTTGTGATGTGTTCGTTCAACTCACAGAGTTTAACCTTTCTTTTCATAGAGGAGTTAGGAAACAGTCTGTTTGTCAATTCTGTAAGTGGATATTCTGACATCTTGTGGCCTTCGTTGGAAACGGGATTTCTTCATATTCTGCTAGACAGAAGAATTCCCAGTAACTTCCTTGTGTTGTGTGTGTTCAACTCACAGAGTTGAACTTTCATTTACACACAGCAGATTTGAAACACTCTTTTTGTGGAATTTGCAAGTGGAGATTTCAGCCGCGTTGAGGTCAATGGTAGAAAAGGAAATATCTTCGTATAAAAACTAGACAGAATGATTCTGAGAAACTCCTTTGTGATGTGAGCGTTCAACTCACACAGTTTAACCTTTCTTTTCATAGAGCAGTTAGGAAACACTCTGTTTGTAAAGTCTGCAAGTGGATATTCAGACCTCCTTGAGGCCTTCGTTGGAAACGGGATTTCTTCATATTATGCTAGACAGAAGAATTCTCAGTAACTTCCTTGTGTTGTGTGTATTCAACTCACAGAGTTGAACGATCCTTTACACAGAGCAGACTTGAAACACTCCTTTTGTGGAATTTGCAATTGGAGATTTCAGCCGCTTTGAGGTCAATGGTAGAATAGGAAATATCTTCCTATAGAAACTAGACAGAATGATTCTCATAAACTCCTTTCTAATGTGTGCGTTCAACTCACAAAGTTTAACTTTTCTTTTCATAGAGCAGTTAGGAAACACTCTGTTTGTAAAGTCTGCAAGTGGATATTCAGACCTCTTTGAGGCCTTCGTAGGAAACGGGATTTCTTCATATTATGCTAGACAGAAGAATTCCCAGTAACTTCCTTGTGTTTTGTGCATTCAACTCACAGAGTTGAACGTTCCCTTAGACAGAGCAGATTTGAAACACTCTATTTGTGCAATTTGCAAGTGTAGATTTCAAGCGCTTTAAGGTCAATGGCAGAAAAGGAAATATCTTCGTTTCAAAACTAGACAGAATCATTCCCACAAACTGCGTTGTGATGTGTTCGTTCAACTCACAGAATTTAACCTTTCTGTTCATAGAGCAGTTAGGAAACACTCTGTTTGTAAAGTCTGTAAGTGGATATTCTGACATCTTGTGGCCTTCGTTGGAAACGGGATTTCTTCATATTCTGCTAGACAGAATAATTCTCAGTAACTTCCTTGTGTTGTGTGTATTCAACTCACAGAGTTGAACGATCCTTTACACAGAGCAGACTTGAAACACTCTTTTTGTGGAATTTGCAAGTGGAGATTTCAGCCGCTTTGAGGTCAATGGTAGAATAGGAAATATCTTCCTATAGAAACTAGACAGAATGATTCTCAGAAACTTCTTTGTGATGTGTGTGTTCAACTCACAGAGTTTAACCTTTCTTTTCATAGAGTAGTTAGGAAACACTGTGTTTTCAAACTCTGCAAGTGGATATTCAGACCTCTTTGAGGCCTTCGTTGGAAACGGGTTTCTTCATACTGTGCTAGACAGAAGAATTCCCAGTAACTTCCTTGTGTTGTGTGTGTTCAACTCACAGAGTTGAACTTTCATTTACCCAGAGCAGATTTGAAACACTCTTTTTGTGGAATTTGCAAGTGGAGATTTCAAGCGCTTTGAGGCCAAAGGCAGAAAAGGAAATATCTTCGTTTCAAAACTAGACAGAATCATTCTCAGAAACTGCTCTGCGATGTGTGCGTTCAACTCTCAGAGTTTAACTTTTCTTTTCATTCAACAGTTTGGAAACACTCTGTTTGTAAAGTCTGCACGTGGATATTTTGACCACTTAGAGGCCTTCGTTGGAAACGGGATTTTTTCCTGTAAGGCTAGACAGAAGAATTCCCAGTAACTTCCTTGTGTTGTGTACATTCAACTCACAGAGTTGAACGTTCCCTTAGACAGAGCAGATTTGAAACACTCTTTTTGTGCAATTGGCAAATGGAGATTTCAAGCGCTTTAAGGTCAATGGCAGAAAAGGAAATATCTTCGTTTCAAAACTAGACAGAATCATTCCCACAAACTGCGTTGTGATGTGTTCGTTCAACTCACAGAGTTTAACCTTTCTTTTCATAGAGCAGTTAGGAAACAGTCTGTTTGTAAATTCTGTAAGTGGATATTCTGACATCTTGTGGCCTTCGTTGGAAACGGGATTTCTTCATATTCTGCTAGACAGAAAAAATTCTCAGTAACTTCCTTGTGTTGTGTGTATTCAACTCACAGAGTTGATCGATCCTTTACACAGAGCATACTTGAAACACTCTTCTTGTGGAATCTGCAAGTGGAGATTTCAGCCGCTTTGAGGTCAATGGTAGAATAGGAAATATCTTCCTATAGAAACTAGACAGAATGATTCTCATAAACTCCTTTGTGATGTGTACGTTCAACTCACAGAGTTTAACATTTCTTTTCATAGAGCAGTTAGGAAACACTCTGTTTGTAAAGTCTGCAAGTGGATATTCAGTCCTCCTTGAGGCCTTCGTTGGAAACGGGATTTCTTCATATTCTGCTAGACAGAAGAATTCTCAGTAACTTCCTTGTGTTGTGTGTATTCAACTGACAGAGTTGAACTTTCATTTGGAGAGAGCAGATTTGAAACACTGTTTTTGTGGAATTTGCAAGTGGAGATTTCAAGCGCTTTGGGGCCAAAGGCAGAAAAGGAAATATCTTCGTATAAAAACGAGACAGAATCATTCTCAGAAACTGCTGTGTGATGTGTGCGTTCAACTCTCAGAGTTTAACTTTTCTTTTCATTCAGCGGTTTGGAAACACTCTGTTTGTAAAGTCTGCACGTGGATATTTTGACCACTTAGAGGCCTTCGTTGGAAACGGGTTTTTTTCATGTAAGGCTAGACAGAAGAATTCCCAGTAACTTCCTTGTGTTGTGTGCATTCAACTCACAGAGTTGAACGTTCCCTTAGACAGAGCAGATTTGAAACACTCTATTTGTGCAATTTGCAAGTGTAGATTTCAAGCGCTTTAAGGTCAACGGCAGAAAAGGAAATATCTTCGTTTCAAAACTAGACAGAATTATTCCCACAAACTGCGTTGTGATGTGTTCGTTCAACTCACAGAGTTTAACCTTTCTGTTCATAGAGCAGTTAGGAAACACTCTGTTTGTAAAGTCTGTAAGTGGATATTCTGACATCTTGTGGCCTTCGTTGGAAACGGGATTTCTTCATATTCTGCTAGACAGAAGAATTCTCAGAATCTTCCTTGTGTTGTGTGTATTCAACTCACAGAGTTGAACGATCCTTTACACAGAGCAGACTTGAAACACTCTTTTTGTGGAATTTGCTAGTGGAGATTTCAGCCGCTTTGAGGTCCATGGTAGAAAAGGAAATATCTTCGTATAAAAACTAGACAGAATGATTCTCAGAAACTCCTTTGTGATGTGTGCGTTCAACTCACAGAGTTCAACCTTTCTTTTCATAGAGCAGTTGGGAAACACTCTGTTTGTAAAGTCTGCAAGTGGATATTCAGACTTCTTTGAGGCCTTCGTTGGAAGCGGGATTTCTTCATGTTCTGCTAGACAGAAGAATTCTCAGAAACTTCCTTGTGTTGTGTGTTTTCAACTCACAGAGTTGAACGATCCTTTACACAGAGCAGACTTGAAACACTACTTTTGTGGAATTTGCAAGTGGAGATTTCAGCCGCTTTGAGGTCAATGGTAGAATAGGAAATATCTTCCTATAGAAACTAGACAGAATCATTCTCAGAAACCGCTCTGTGATGTGTGCGTTCAACTCTCAGAGTTTAACTTTTCTTTTCATTCAGCAGTTTGGAAACACTCTGTTTGTAAAGTCTGCACGTGGATATTTTGACCACTTAGAGGCCTTCGTTGGAAACGGGTTTTTTTCATGTAAGGCTAGACAGAAGAATTCCCAGTAACTTCCTTGTGTTGTGTGCATTCACCTCACAGAGCTGAACGTTCCCTTAGACAGAGCAGATTTGAAACACTCTATTTGTGCAATTTGCAAGTGTAGATTTCAAGCGCTTTAAGGTCAATGGCAGAAAAGGAAATATCTTCGTTTCAAAACTAGACAGAATGATTCTCATAAACTCCTTTGTGATGTGTGCGTTCAACTCACAGAGTTTAACTTTTCTTTTCATAGAGCAGTTAGGAAACACTCTGTTTGTAAAGTCTGCAAGTGGATATTCAGACCTCTTTGAGGCCTTCCTTGGAAACGGGATTTCTTCATATTCTGCTAGACAGAAGAATTCTCAGTAACTTCCTTGTGTTGTGTGTATTCAACTCACAGAGTTGAACGATCCTTTACACAGAGCAGACTTGAAACATTCTTTTTGTGGAATTTGCAAGTGGAGATTTCAGCCGCTTTGAGGTCAATGGTAGAATAGGAAATATCTTCCTATAGAAACTAGACAGAATGATTCTCAGAAACTCCTTTGTGATGTGTGCATTCAACTCACAGAGTTTAACCTTTCTTTTCATAGAGCAGTTAGGAAACACTCTGTTTGTAAAGTCTGCAAGTGGATATTCAGACATCCTTGAGGCTTTCGTTGGAAACGGGATTTCTTCATATTCTGCTAGAAAGAAGAATTCTCAGTAACTTCCCTTGTGTTGTGTGTATTCAACTCACAGAGTTGAACAATCCTTTACACAGAGCAGACTTGAAACACTCTTTTTGTGGAATTTGCAAGTGGAGATTTCAGCCACTTTGAGGTCAATGGTAGAATAGGAAATATCTTCCTATAGAAACTAGACAGAATCATTCTCAGAAACTGCTGCTTGATGTGTGCGTTCAACTCTCAGAATTTAACTTTTCTTTTCATTCAGCGGTTTGGAAACACTCTGTTTGTAAAGTCTGCACGTGGAAATTTTGACCACTTAGAGGCCTTCGTTGGAAACGGGTTTTTTTCATGTAAGGCTAGACAGAAGAATTCCCAGTAACTTCCTTGTGTTGTGTGCATTCAACTCACAGAGTTGAACGTTCCCTTAGACAGAGCAGATTTGAAACACTCTATTTGTGTAATTTACAAGTGTAGATTTCAAGCGCATTAAGGTCAATGACAAAAAGGAAATATCTTCGTTTCAAAACTAGACAGAATCATTCCCACAAACTGCGTTGTGATGTGTTCGTTCAACTCACAGAGTTTAACCTTTCTGTTCATAGAGCAGTTAGGAAACACTCTGGTTGTAAAGTTTGCCAGTGGATATTCAGACCTCTTTGAGGTCTTCGTTGGAAACGGGATTTCTTCATATTCTGCTAGACAGAATAATTCTCAGTAACTTCCTTGTGTTGTGTGTATTCAACTCACAGAGTTGAACGATCCTTTACACAGAGCAGACTTGAAACACTCTTTTTGTGGAATTTGTAAGTGGAGATTTCAGCCGCTTTGAGGTCAATGGTAGAATAGGAAATATCTTCCTATAGAAACTAGACAGAATGATTCTCAGAAACTCCTTTGTGATGTGTGCGTTCAACTCACAGAGTTTAACCTTTCTTTTCATAGAGCAGTTAGGAAACACTCTGTTTGTAAAGTCTGCAAGTGGATATTCAGACATCCTTGAGGCCTTCGCTGGAAAAGGGATTTCTTCATATTATGCTAGACAGAAGAATTCCTAGTAACTTCCTTGTGTTGTGTGTGTTCAACTCACAGAGTTGAACTTTCATTTACACAGAGCAGATTTGAAACACTCTTTTTGTGGAATTTGCAAGTGGAGATTTCAAGCGCTTTGAGACCAAAGGCAGAAAAGGATATATCTTCGTATAAAAACTAGACAGAATCATTCTCAGAAAATGCTCTGCGATGTGTGCGTTCAACTCTCAGAGTTTAACTTTTCTTTTCATTCAGCAGTTTGGAAACAATCTGTTTGTAAAGTCTGCACGTGGATAATTTGACCACTTAGAGGCCTTCGTTGGAAACGGGTTTTTTTCATGTAAGGCTAGACACAAGAATTCTCAGTAACTTCCTTGTGTTGTGTGTATTCAACTCACAGAGTTGAACGATCCTTTACACAGAGCAGACTTGAAACACTCTTTTTGTGGAATTTGCAAGTGGAGATTTCAGCCGCTTTGAGGTCAATGCTAGAATAGGAAATATCTTCCTATAGAAACTAGACAGAATGATTCTCAGAAAGTCCTTTGTGATGTGTGCGTTCAACTCACAGAGTTTAACCTTTCTTTTCATAGAGCAGTTAGGAAACACTCTGTGTGTAAAGTCTGCAAGTGGATATTCAGACCTCTTTGAGGCCTTCGTTGGAAACGGGATTTCTTCATATTATGCTAGACAGAATAATTCTCAGTAACTTCCTTGTGTTGTGTGTATTCAACTCACAGAGTTGAACGATCCTTTACAGAGAGCAGACTTGAAACACTCTTTTTGTGGAATTTGCAAGTGGAGATTTCAGCCGCTTTGAGGTCAATGGTACAATAGGAAATATCTTCCTATAGAAAATAGACAGAATGATTCTCAGAAACTCCTTTGTGATGTGTGTGTTCAACCCACAGAGTTTAACCTTTCTTTTCATAGAGCAGTTAGTAAACACTCTGTTTATAAAGTCTGCAAGTGGATATTCAGACCCCTTTGAGGCCTTCGTTGGAAACGGGATTTCTTCATATTATGCTAGACAGAAGAATTCCCAGTAACTTCCTTGTGTTGTGTGTGTTCAACTCACAGAGTTGAACTTTCATTTACACAGAGCAGTTTTGAGACACTCTTTTTGTGGAATTTGCTAATGGAGATTTCAAGCGCTTTGAGGCCAAAGGCAGAAAAGGAAATATCTTCGTATAAAAACTAGACAGAATCATTCTCAGAAACTGCTCTGCGATGTGTGCGTTCAACTCTCAGAGTTTAACTTTTCTTTTCATTCAGCAGTTTGGAAACACTCTGTTTGTAAAGTCTGCACGTGGATAATTTGACCACTTAGAGGCCTTCGTTGGAAACGGGTTTTTTTCATGTAAGGCTAGACAGAAGAATTCTCAGTAACTTCCTTGTGTTGTGTGTATTCAACTGACAGAGTTGAACTTTCATTTAGAGAGAGCAGATTTGAAACACTGTTTTTGTGGAATTTGCAAGTGGAGATTTCAAGCGCTTTAAGGTCAACGGCAGAAAAGGAAATATCTTCGTTTCAAAACTAGACAGAATGATTCTCAGAAACTCCTTTGTGATGTGTGCGTTCAAGTCACAGAGTTCAACCTTTCTTTTCATAGAGCAGTTGGGAAACACTCTGTTTGTAAAGTCTGCAAGTGGATATTCAGACTTCTTTGAGGCCTTCGTTGGAAGCGGGATTTCTTCATATTCTGCTAGACAGAAGAATTCTCAGTAACTGCCTTGTGTTGTGTGTATTCAACTCACAGAGTTGAACGATGCTTTACACAGAGCAGACTTGAAACACTCTTTTTGTGGAATTTGCAAGTGGAGATTTCAGCCGCTTTGAGGTCAATGGTAGAATAGGAAATATCTTCCTATAGAAACTAGACAGAAATGATTCTCAGAAACTCCTTTGTGATGTGTGCGTTCAACTCACAGAGTTTAACCTTTCTTTTCATAGAGCAGTTAGGAAACACTCTGTTTGTAAAGTCTGCAAGTGGATATTCAGACATCCTTGAGGCTTTCGTTGGAAACGGGATTTCTTCATATTCTGCTAGAAAGAGAATTCCCAGTAACTTCCTTGTGTTGTGTGTGTTCAACTCACAGAGTTGAACTTTCATTTACACAGAGCAGATTTCAAACACTCTTTTTGTGGAATTTGCAAATGGAGATTTCAAGCGCTTTGAGGCCAAAGGCAGAAAAGGAAATATCTTCGTTTCAAAACTAGACAGAATCATTCTCAGAAACTGCTCTGTGATGTGTGCGTTCAACTCTCAGAGTTTAACTTTTGTTTTCATTCAGCAGTTTGGAAACAATCTGTTTGTAAAGTCTGCACGTGGATATTTTGACCACTTAGAGGCCTTCGTTGAAAACGGGTTTCTTTCATGTAAGGGGAGACAGAAGAATTCCCAGTAACTTCCTTGCGTTGTGTACATTCAACTCACAGAGTTGAACGTTCCCTTAGACAGAGCAGATTTGAAACACTCTTTTTGTGCAATTGGCAAGTGGAGATTTCAAGCGCTTTAAGGTCAATGGCAGAAAAGGAAATATCTTCGTTTCAAAACTAGACAGAATGATTCTCAGAAACTTCTTTGTGATGTGTGCGTTCAACTCACAGAGTTTAACCTTTCTTTTCATAGAGCAGTTAGGAAACACTCTGTTTGTAAACTCTGCAAGTGGATATTCAGACCTCTTGGAGGCCTTCGTTGGAAACGGGATTTCTTCATACTATGCTAGACAGAAGAATTCTCAGTAACTTCCTTGTGTTGTGTGTATTCAACTCACAGAGTTGAACGATCCTTTACACAGAGCAGACTTGTAACACTCTTTTTGTGGAATTTGCAAGTGGAGATTTCAGCCGCTTTGAAGTCAAAGGTAGAAAAGGAAATATCTTCCTATAAAAACTAGACAGAATGATTCTCAGAAACTCCTTTGTGATGTGTGCGTTCAACTCACAGAGTTTAACCTTTCTTTTCATAGAGCAGTTAGGAAACACTCTGGTTGTAAAGACTACAAGTGGATATTCAGACCTCTTTGAGGCCTTCGTTGGAAACGGGTTTTTTTCCTGTAAGTCTAGACAGAAGAATTCCCAGTAACTTCCTTGTGTTGTGTGTGTTCAACTCACAGAGTTGAACTTTGATTTACACAGAGCAGATTTGAAACACTCTTTTTGTGGAGTTTGCAAGTGGAGATTTCAAGCGCTTTGAGGCCAAAGGCAGAAAAGGAAATATCTTCGTATAAAAACTAGACAGAATCATTCCCACAAACTGCGTTGTGATGTGTGCGTTCAACTCACAGAGTTTAACCTTTCTTTTCATAGAGCCGTTTGTAAACGCTCTGTTTGCCAAGTCTGCAAGTGGATATTCTGACATCTTGTGGACTTCGTTGGAAACGGGATTTCTTCATATTCTGCTAGACAGAAGAATTCTCAGAAACTTCCTTGTGTTCTGTGTATTCAACTCACAGAGTTGAACGATCCTTTACACAGAGCAGATTTGACACACTCTTTTTGTGGAATTTGCAAGTGGAGATTTCAGCCGCTTTGAGGTCCATGGTAGAAAAGGAAATATCTTCGTATAAAAACTAGACAGAATGATTCTCAGAAACTTCTTTGTGATGTGTGCGTTCAACTCACAGAGTTTAACCTTTCTTTTCATAGAGCAGTTAGGAAACACTCTGTTTGTAAATCAGCAAGTGGATATTCAGACCTCTTTGAGGCCTTCGTTGGAAACGGAATTTCTTCATATTATGCTAGACAGAGGAATTCTCAGTAACCTCCTTGTGTTGTGTGTACTCAACTCACAGAGTTGAACGATCCTTTACACAGAGCAGACTAGAATCACTCTTTTTGTGGAATTTGCAAGTGGAGATTTCAGCCGCTTTGAGGTCAATGGTAGAAAAGGAAATATCTTCGTATAAAAACTAGACAGAATGATTCCCAGAAACTCCTTTGTGATGTGTACGTTCAACTCACAGAGTTTAACCTTTCTTTTCATAGAGCAGTTAGGAAACACTCTGTTTGTAAACTCTGCAAGCGGATATTCAGACCGCTTTGAGGCCTTCGTTGGAAACGGGATTTCTTAATATTATGCTAGACAAAAGAATTCCCAGTAACTTCCTTGTGTTGTGTGTGTTCAACTCACAGAGTTGAACTTTCATTTACACAGAGCAGATTTGAAACACTCTTTTTATGGAATTTGCAAATGGAGGTTTCAAGCGCTTTGAGGCCAAAGGCAGAAAAGGAAATATCTTCGTATAAAAACTAGACAGAATCATTCTCAGAAACTGCTGCGTGATGTGTGCGTTCAACTCACAGAGTTTAACTTTTCTTTTCATTCAGCGGTTTGGAAACACTCTGTTTGTAAAGTCTGCACGTGGATATTTTGACCACTTAGAGGCCTTCGTTGGAAACGAGATTTTTTCATGTAAGGCTAGACAGAAGAATTCCCAGTAACTTCCTTGTGTTGTGTGCATTCAACTCACAGAGTTGAACGTTCCCTTAGACAGAGCAGATTTGAAACACTCTATTTGTGCAACTTGCAAGTGTAGATTTCAAGCGCTTTAACCTCAATGGCAGAAAAGGAAATATCTTCGTTTCAAAACTAGACAGAATCATTCCCACAAACTGCTTTGTGATGTGTTCGTTCAACTCACAGAGTTTAACCTTTCTTTTCATAGAGCAGTTAGGAAACAGTCTGTTTGTCAATTCTGTAAGTGGATATTCTGACATCTTGTGGCCTTCGTTGGAAACGGGATTTCTTCATATTCTGCTAGACAGAAGAATTCTTAGAAACTTCCTTGTGTTGTGTGTTTTCAACTCACAGAGTTGAACGATCCTTTACACAGAGCAGACTTGAAACACTCTTTTTGTGGAATTTGCAAGTGGAGATTTCAGCCGCTTTGAGGTCAATGGTAGAATAGGAAATATCTTCCTATAGAAAGTAGACAGAATGATTCTCAGAAACTCCTTTGTGATGTGTGCGTTCAACTCACAGAGTTTAACCTTTCTTTTCATAGAGCAGTTAGGAAACACTCTGTTTGTAAAGTCTGCAAGTGGATATTCAGACCTCCTTGAGGCCTTCTTTGGAAACGGGATTTCTTCCTATTATGCTAGACAGAAGAATTCTCAGTAACTTCCTTGTGTTGTGTGTATTCAACTCACAGAGTTGAACGATCCTTTACACAGAGCAGACTTGAAACACTCTTTTTGTGGAATTTGCAAGTGGAGATTTCAGCCGCTTTGAGGTCAATGGTAGAATAGGAAATATCTTCCTGTAGAAACTAGACAGAATCATTCTCAGAAACTGCTCTGCGATGTGTGCGTTCAGCTCTCAGAGTTTAACTTTTCTTTTCATTCAGCAGTTTGGAAACACTCTGTTTGTAAAGTCTGCACGTGCATAATTTGACCACTTAGAGGCCTTCGTTGGAAACGGGTTTTTTTCATGTAAGGCTAGACAGAAGAATTCCCAGTAACTTCCTTGTGTTGTGTACATTCAACTCACAGAGTTGAACGTTCCCTTAGACAGAGCAGATTTGAAATACTCTTTTTATGCAATTGGCAAGTGGAGATTTCAAGCGCTTTAAGGTCAATGGCAGAAAAGGAAATATCTTCGTTTCAAAACTAGACAGAATCATTCCCACAAACTGCGTTGTGAAGTGCTCGTTCAACTCATAGAGTTTAACCTTTCTGTTCATAGAGCAGTTAGGAAACACTCTGTTTGAAAAGTCTGTAAGTGGATATTCTGACATCTTGTGGCCTTCGTTGGAAACGGGATTTCTTCATATTCTGCTAGAAAGAAGAATTCTCAGTAACTTCCTTGTGTTGTGTGTATTCAACTCACAGAGTTGAACGATCCTTTACACAGAGCAGACTTGAAACACTCTTTTTGTGGAATTTGCAAGTGGAGATTTCAGCCGCTTTGAGGTCAATGGTAGAATAGGAAATATCTTCCTATAGAAACTAGACAGAATGATTCTCAGAAACTCCTTTGTGATGTGTGCGTTCAACTCACAGAGTTTAACCTTTCTTTTCATAGAGCAGTTAGGAAACACTCTGTTTGTACAGTCTGCAAGTGGATATTCAGACCTCCTTGAGGCCTTCGTTGGAAACGGGTTTTTTTCATATAAGGCTAGACAGAAGAATTCCCAGTAACTTCCTTGTGTTGTGTGTGTTCAACTCACAGAGTTGAACTTTCATTTACACAGAGCAGATTTGAAACACTCTTTTTGTGGAATTTGCAAGTGGAGATTTCAAGCGCTTTGAGGCCAAAGGCAGAAAAGGAAATATCTTCGTTTCAAAACTAGACAGAATCATTCTCAGAAACTGCTCTGCGATGTGTGCCTTCAGCTCTCAGAGTTTAACTTTTCTTTTCATTCAGCAGTTTGGAAACACTCTGTTTGTAAAGTCTGCACGTGGATATTTTGACCACTTAGAGGTCTTCGTTGGAAACGGGTTTTTGTCATGTAAGGCTAGACAGAAGAATTCCCAGTAACTTCCTTGTGTTGTGTGCATTCAACTCACAGAGTTGAACTTTCCCTTAGACGGAGCAGATTTGAAACACTCTATTTGTGCAATTTGCAAGTGTAGATTTCAAGCGCTTTAAGGTCAATGGCAGAAAAGGAAATATCTTCGTTTCAAAACTAGAGAGAATCATTCCCACAAACTGCGTTGTGATGTGTTCGTTCAACTCACAGAGTTTAACCTTTCTGTTCATAGAGCAGTTAGGAAACACTCTGTTTGTAAAGTCTGTAAGTGGATATTCTGACATCTTGTGGCCTTCGTTGGAAACGGGATTTCTTCGTATTCTGCTAGACAGAAGAATTCTCAGTAACTTCCTTGTGTTGTGTGTATTCAACTCACAGAGTTGAACGATCCTTTACACAGAGCAGACTTGAAACACTCTTTTTGTGTAATTTGCAAGTGGAGATTTCAGCCGCTTTGAGGTCAATGGTAGAAAAGGAAACTATCTTCATATAAAGACTAGACAGAATGATTCTCAGAAAATCTTTTGTGATGTGTGCGTTCAACTCACAGAGTTTAACTTTTCTTCTCATAGAGCAGTTAGGAAACACTCTGTTTGTAAAGTCTGCAAGTGGATATTCAGACCTCTTTGAGGCCTTCGTTGGAAACGGGATTTCTTCATATTATGCTAGACAGAAGAATTCCCAGTAACTTCCTTGTGTTGTGTGTGTTCAACTCACAGAGTTGAACTTTCATTTACACAGAGCAGATTGGAAACACTCTTTTTGTGGAATTTGCAAGTGGAGATTTCAAGCGCTTTGAGGACAAAGGCAGAAAAGGATATATCTTCGTATAAAAATTAGACAGAAATCATTCTCAGAAACTGCTCTGCGATGTGTGCGTTCAACTCTCAGAGTTTAACTTTTCTTTTCATTCAGCAGTGTGGAAAAACTCTGTTTGTAAAGTCTGCACGTGGATATTCTGACCACTTAGAGGCCTTCGTTGGAAACGGGTTTTTTTCCTGTAAGGCTAGACAGAAGAATTCCCAGTAACTTCCTTGTGTTGTGTACATTCAACTCACAGAGTTGAACGTTCCCTTAGACAGAACAGATTTGAAACACTCTTTTTGTGCAATTGGCAAGTGGTGATTTCAGCCGCTTTGAGGTCAATGGTAGAAAAGGAAATATCTTCGTATAAAAACTAGACAGAATGATTCTCAGAAACTCCTTTGTGATGTGTGCGTTCAACTCACAGAGTTTTACCTTTCTTTTCATAGAGCAGTTAGGAAACACTCTGTTTGTAAAGTCTGCAAGTGGATATTCAGACCTCTTTGAGGCCTTCGTTGGAAACGGGATTTCTTCATATTATGCTAGACGGAAGGATTCTCAGTAACTTCCTTGTGTTGTGTGTATTCAACTCACAGAGTTGAACGATCCTTTACACAGAGCAGACTTGAAACACTCTTTTTGTGGAATTTGCAAGTGGAGATTTCAGCCTCTTTGAGGTCAATGGTAGAAAAGGAGATATCTTCGTATAAAAACTAGACAGAATGATTCTCAGAAACTCCTTTGTGATGTGTGCGTTCAACTCACAGAGTTTAACCTTTCTTTTCATAGAGCAGTTAGGAAACACTCTGTTTGTAAAGTCTGCAAGTGGATATTCAGACCTCTTTGAGGCCTTCGTTGGAAACGGGATTTCTTCATATTATGCTAGACAGAAGAATTTCCCAGTAACTTCCTTGTGTTGTGTGTGTTCAACTCACAGAGTTGAACTTTCATTTACACAGAGCAGATTTGAAACACTCTTTTTGTGGAATTTGCAAGTGGAGATTTCAAGCGCTTTGAGGCCAAAGGCAGAAAAGGAAATATCTTCGTTTCAAAACTAGACAGAATCATTCTCAGAAACTGCTCTGCGATGTGTGCGTCCAACTCTCAGAGTTTAACTTTTCTTTTCATTCAGCAGTTTGCAAACACTCTGTTTGTAAAGTCTGCACGTGGATATTTTGACCACTTAGAGGCCTTCGTTGGAAACGGGTTTTTTTCATGTAAGGCTAGACAGAAGATTTCCCAGTAACTTCCTTGTGTTGTGTACATTCAACTCACAGAGTTGAACGTTCCCTTAGGCAGAGCAGATTTGAAACACTCTTTTTGTGCAATTGGCAAATGGAGATTTCAAGCGCTTTAAGGTCAATGGCAGAAAAGGAAATATCTTCGTTTCAAAACTAGACAGAATCATTCCCACAAACTGCGTTGTGATGTGTTCGTTCAACTCACAGAGTTTAACCTTTCTGTTCATAGAGCAGTTAGGAAACACTCTGTTTGTAAAGTCTGTAAGTGGATATTCTGACATCTTGTGGCCTTCGTTGGAAACGGGATTTCTTCATATTCTGCTAGACAGAAGAATTCTCAGTAACTTCCTTGTGTTGTGTGTATTCAACTCACAGAGTTGAACGATCCTTTACACAGAGCAGACTTGAAACACTCTTTTTGTGGAATTTGCAATTGGAGATTTCAGCCGCTTTGAGGTCAATGGTAGAAAAGGAAACTATCTTCATATAAAGATTAGACAGAATGATTCTCAGAAACTCCTTTGTGATGTGTGAGTTCAACTCACAGAGTTTAACCTTTCTTTTCATAGAGCAGTTAGGAAACACTCTGTTTTTAAAGTCTGCAAGTGGATATTCAGACCTCTTTGAGGCCTTCGTTGGAAACGGGTTTTTTTCATATAAGGCTAGAGAGAAGAATTCTCAGTAACTTCCTTGTGTTGTGTGTATTCAACTGACAGAGTTGAACTTTCATTTAGACAGAGCAGATTTGAAACACTATTTATGTGGAATTGGCAATTGGAGATTTCAACCTCTTTGAGGCCAAAGGCAGAAAAGGAAATATCTTCGTTTCAAAACTAGACAGAATCATTCTCAGAAACTGCTCTGCGATGTGTGCGTTCAACTCTCAGAGTTTAACTTTTCTTTTCATTCAGCATTTTGGAAACACTCTGTTTGTAAAGTCTGCACGTGGATAATTTGACCACTTAGAGGCCTTCGTTGGAAACGGGTTTTTTTCATGTAAGGCTAGACAGAAGAATTCCCAGTAACTTCCTTGTGTTGTGTACATTCAACTCACAGAGTTGAACGTTCCCTTAGACAGAGCAGATTTGAAACACTCTTTTTGTGCAATTGGCAAGTGGAGATTTCAAGCGCTTTAAGGTCAATGGCAGAAAAGGAAATATCTTCGTTTCAAAACTAGACAGAATCATTCCCACAAACTGCGTTGTGCTGTGTTCGTTCAACTCACAGAGATTAACCTTTCTTTTCATAGAGCATTAGGAAACAGTCTGTTTGTAAATTCTGTAAGTGGATATTCTGACATCTTGTGGCCTTCGTTGGAAACGGGATTTCTTCATATTCTGCTAGACAGAAGAATTCTCAGTAACTTCCTTGTGTTGTGTGTATTCAACTCACGGAGTTGAACGATCCTTTACACAGAGCAGACTTGAAACACTCTTTTTGTGGAATTTGCAAGTGGAGATTTCAGCCGCTTTGAGGTCAATGGTAGAATAGGAAATATCTTCCTATAGAAACTAGACAGAATGATTCTCAGAAACTCCTTTGTGATGTGTGCGTTCAACTCACAGAGTTTAACTTTCCTTTTCATAGAGCAGTTAGGAAACACTCTGTTTGTAAAGTCTGCAAGTGGATATTCAGACCTCTTTGAGGCCTTCTTTGGAAACGGGATTTCTTCATATTCTGATATACAGAAGAATTCCCAGTAACTTCCTTGTGTTGTGTGTGTTCAACTCACAGAGTTGAACTTTCATTTACACAGAGCAGGTTTGAAACACTCTTTTTGTGGTATTTGCAAATGGAGATTTCAAGCGCTTTGTGGCCAAATGCAGAAAAGGAAATATCTTCGTATAAAAACTAGACAGAATGATTCTCAGAAAATCCTTTGTGATGTGTGCGTTCAACTCACAGAGTTTAACTTTTCTTTTCATAGAGCAATTAGGAAACACTCTGTTTGTAAAGTCTGCAAGTGGATATTCAGACCTCTTTGAGGCCTTCGTTGGAAACGGGATTTCTTCATATTATGCTAGACAGAAGAATTCTCAGTAACTTCCTTGTGTTGTGTGCATTCAACTCACAGAGTTGAACGTTCCCTTAGACAGAGCAGATTTGAAACACTCTATTTGTGCAATTTGCAAGTGTAGATTTCAAGCGCATTAAGGTCAAAGGCAGAAAAGGAAATATCTTCGTTTCAAAACTAGACAGAATCATTCCCACAAACTGCGTTGTGATGTGTTCGTTCAACTCACAGAGTTTAACCTTTCTTTTCATAGAGCAGTTAGGAAACAGTCTGTTTGTCAATTCTGTAAGTGGATATTCTGACATCTTGTGGCCTTCGTTGGAAACGGGATTTCTTCATATTCTGCTAGACAGAAGAATTCTCAGTAACTTCCTTGTGTTGTGTGTATTCAACTCACAGAGTTGAACGATCCTTTACACAGGGCAGACTTGAAACACTCTTTTTGTGGAATTTGCAAGTGGAGATTTCAGCCGCGTTGAGGTCAATGGTAGAAAAGGAAATATCTTCGTATAAAAACTAGACAGAATGATTCTCAGAAACTCCTTTGTGATGTGTGCGTTCAACTCACAGAGTTCAACCTTTCTTTTCATAGAGCAGTTGGGAAACACTCTGTTTGTAAAGTCTGCAAGTGGATATTCAGACTTCTTTGAGGCCTTCGTTGGAAGCGGGATTTCTTCATATTCTGCTAGACAGAAGAATTCTCAGTAACTTCCTTGTGTTGTGTGTATTCAACTCACAGAGTTGAACGATCCTTTACACAGAGCAGACTTGAAACACTCTTTTTGTGGAATTTGCAAGGGGAGATTTCAGCCGCTTTGAGGTCAATGGTAGAATAGGAAATATCTTCCTATAGAAACTAGACAGAATCATTCTCAGAAACTGCTCTGCGATGTGTGCGTTCAACTCTCAGAGTTTAACTTTTCTTTTCATTCAGCAGTTTGGAAACACTCTGTTTGTAAAGTCTGCACGTGGATAATTTGACCACTTAGAGGCCTTCGTTGGAAACGGGTTTTTTTCATGTAAGGCTAGACAGAAGAATTCCCAGTAACTTCCCTGTGTTGTGTACATTCAACTCACAGAGTTGAACGTTCCCTTAGACAGAGCAGATTTGAAACACTCTTTTTGTGCAATTGGCAAGCGGAGATTTCAAGCGCTTTAAGGTCAATGGCAGAAAAGGAAATATCTTCGTTTCAAAACTAGACAGAATCATTATCAAAAACTGCGTTGTGATGTGTTCGTTCAACTCACAGAGTTTAACCTTTCTTTTCATAGAGCAGTTGGGAAACAGTCTGTTTGTAAATTCTGTAAGTGGATATTCTGACATCTTGTGGCCTTCGTTGGAAACGGGATTTCTTCATATTCTGCTAGACAGAAGAATTCTCAGTAACTTCCTTGTGTTGTGTGTATTCAACTCACAGAGTTGAACGATCCTTTACACAGAGCAGACTTGAAACACTCTTTTTGTGGAATTTGCAAGTGGAGATTTCAGCCGCTTTGAGGTCAATGGTAGAAAAGGAAATATCTTCGTATAAAAACTAGACAGAATGATTCTCAGAAAATCTTTTGTGATGTGTGCGTTCAACTCACAGAGTTTAACTTTTCTTCTCATAGAGCAGTTAGGAAACACTCTGTTTGTAAAGTCTGCCAGTGGATATTCAGACCTCTTTGAGGTCTTCGTTGGAAACGGGATTTCTTCATATTATGCTAGACAGAAGAATTCCCAGTAACTTCCTTGTGTTGTGTGTGTTGAACTCACAGAGTTGAACTTTCATTTACACAGAGCAGATTTGAAACACTCTTTTTGTGGAATTTGCAAGTGGAGATTTCAAGCGCTTTCAGGCCAAAGGCAGAAAAGGAAATATCTTCGTATAAAAACTAGACAGAATCATTCTCAGAAACTGCTCTGCGATGTGTGCGTTCAACTCTCAGAGTTTAACTTTTCTTTTCATTCAGCAGTTTGGAAACACTCTGTTTGTAAAGTCTGCACGTGGATAATTTGACCACTTAGAGGCCTTCGTTGGAAACGGGTTTTTTTCATGTAAGGCTAGACAGAAGAATTCCCAGTAACTTCCTTGTGTTGTGTACATTCAACTCACAGAGTTGAACGTTCCCTTAGACAGAGCAGATTTGAAACACTCTTTTTGTGCAATTGGCAAGTGGAGATTTCAAGCGCTTTAAGGTCAATGGCAGAAAAGGAAATATCTGCGTTTCAAAACTAGAGAGAACGATTCTCAGAAACTCCTTTGTGATGTGTGCGTTCAACTCACAGCAGTTTAACCTTTCTGTTCATAGAGCAGTTAGGAAACACTCTGTTTGTAAAATCTGCAAGTGGATATTCAGACCTCTTTGAGGCCTTCGTTGGAAACGGGATTTCTTCATATTCTGCTAGACAGAAGAATTCTCAGTAACTTCCTTGTGTTGTGTGTATTCAACTCACAGAGTTGAACGATCCTTTACACAGAGCAGACTTGAAACACTCTTTTTGTGGAATTTGCAAGTGGAGATTTCAGCCGCTTTGAGGTCAATAGTCGAAAAGGAAATATCTTCGTAGAAAAACTAGACAGAATGATTCTCAGAAACTTCTTTGTGATGTGTGCGTTCAACTCACAGAGTTTAACCTTTCTTTTCATAGAGCAGTTAGGAAACACTCTGTTTGTAAACTCTGCAAGTGGATATTCAGACCTCTTTGAGGCCTTCGTTGGAAACGGGATTTCTTCATACTATGCTAGACAGAAGAATTCTCAGTAACTTCCTTGTGTTGTGTGTATTCAACTGACAGAGTTGAACTTTCATTTAGACAGAGGAGATTTGAAACACTCTTTTTGTGGAATTTGCAAGTGGAGATTTCAAGCGCTTTGAGGCCAAAGGCAGAAAAGGAAATATCTTCGTATAAAAACTAGACAGAATCATTCTCAGAAACTGCTGCGTGATGTGTGCGTTCAACTCTCAGAGTTTAACTTTTCTTTTCATTCAGCGGTTTGGAAACACTCTGTTTGTAAAGTCTGCACGTGGATATTTTGACCACTTAGAGGCCTTCGTTGGAAACGGGTTTTTTTCATGAAGGCTAGACAGAAAGAATTCCCAGTAACTTCCTTGTGTTGTGTGCATTCAACTCACAGAGTTGAACGTTCCCTTAGGCAGAGCAGATTTGAAACACTCTATTTGTGCAATTTGCAAGTGTAGATTTCAAGCGCTTTAAGGTCAATGGCAGAAAAGGAAATATCTTCGTTTCAAAACTAGACAGATGATTCTCAGAAACTTCATTGTGACGTGTGCGTTCAACTCACAGAGTTTAACCTTTCTTTTCATAGAGCAGTTAGGAAACACTCTGTTTGTAAAGTCTACAAGTGGATATTCAGACCTCTTTGAGGCCTTCGTTGGAAACGGGATTTCTTCATACTGTGCTAGACAGAAGAATTCTCAGTAACTTCCTTGTGTTGTGTGTATTCAACTCACAGTAGTTGAACGATCCTTTACACAGAGCGGACTTGAAACACACTTTTTGTGGAATTTGCAAGTGGAGATTTCAGCCGCGTTGAGGTCAATGGTAGAAAAGGAAATATCTTCGTATAAAAACTAGACAGAATGATTCTCAGAAACTCCTTTGTGATGTGTGTGTTCAACTCACAGAGTTTAACCTTTCTTTTCATAGAGCAGTTAGGAAACACTCTGTTTGTAAAGACTGCAAGTGGATATTCAGGCCTCTTTGAGGCCTTCGTTGGAAACGGGTTTTTTCATATAAGGCTAGACAGAAGAATTCCCAGTAACTTCCTTGTGTTGTGTGTGTTCAACTCACAGAGTTGAACTTTCATTTACACAGAGCAGATTGGAAACACTCTTTTTGTGGAATTTGCCAGTGGAGATTTCAAGCGCATTGAGGCCAAAGGCAGAAAAGGAAATATCTTCGTATAAAAACTAGACAGAATCATTCTCAGAAACTGCTCTGTGATGTGTGCGTTCAACTCTCAGAGTTTAACTTTTCTTTTCATTCAGCAGTTTGGAAACCCTCTGTTTGTAAAGTCTGCACGTGGATATTTTGACCACTTAGAGGCCTTCGTTGGAAACGGGTTTCTTTCCTTTAAGGCTAGACAGAAGAATTCCCAGTAACTTCCTTGCGTTGTGTACATTCAACTCACAGAGTTGAACGGTTCCCTTAGACAGAGCAGATTTGAAACACTCTTTTTGTGCAATTGGCAAGTGGAGATTTCAAGCGCTTTAAGGTCAATGGCAGAAAAGGAAATATCTTCGTTTCAAAACTAGACAGAATCATTCTCACAAACTGCGTTGTGATGTGTTCGTTCAACTCACAGAGTTTAACCTTTCTGTTCATAGAGCAGTTAGGAAACACTCTGTTTGTAAAGTCTGTAAGTGGATATTCTGACATCTTGTGGCTTTCGTTGGAAACGGGATTTCTTCATATTCTGCTAGACAGAATAATTCTCAGTAACTTCCTTGTGTTGTGTGTATTCAACTCACAGAGTTGAACGATCCTTTACACAGAGCAGACTTGAAACACTCTTTTTGTGGAATTTGCAAGTGGAGATTTCAGCCGCTTTGAGGTCAATAGTAGAAAAGGAAATATCTTCGTAGAAAAACTAGACAGAATGATTCTCATAACTCTTTTGTGATGTGTGCGTTCAACTCACAGAGTTCAACCTTTCTTTTCATAGAGCAGTTGGGAAACACTCTGTTTGTAAAGTCTGCAAGTGGATATTCAGACTTCTTTGAGGCCTTCGTTGGAAGCGGGATTTCTTCATATTCTGCTAGACAGAAGAATTCTCAGTAATTTCCTTGTGTTGTGTGTATTCAGCTGACAGAGTTGAACTTTCATTTAGAGAGAGCAGATTTGAAACACTGTTTTTGTGGAATTTGCAAGTGGATATTTCAAGCGATTTGAGGCCAAAAGCAGAAAAGGAAATATCTTCGTATAAAAACTAGACAGAATCATTCTCAGAAACTGCTCTGCGATGTGTGCGTTCAACTCTCAGAGTTTAACTTTTCTTTTCATTCAGCAGTTTGGAAACACTCTGTTTGTAAAGTCTGCACGTGGATAATTTGACCACTTAGAGGCCTTCGTTGGAAACGGGTTTTTTTCATGTAAGGCTAGACAGAAGAATTCTCAGTAACTTCCTTGTGTTGTGTGTATTCAACTCACAGAGTTGAACGATCCTTTACACAGAGCAGACTTGAAACACTCTTTTTGTGGAATTTGCAAGTGGAGATTTCAGCCGCTTTGAGGTCAATGGTAGAAAAGGAAATATCTTCGTGTAGAAACAAGACAGAATGATTCTCAGAAACTCCTTTGTGATGTGTGCGTTCAACTCACAGAGTTTAACCTTTCTTTTCATAGAGCAGTTAGGAAACACTCTGTTTGTAAAGTCTGCAAGTGGATATTCAGACCTCTTTGAGGCCTTCGTTGGAAACGGCATTTCTTCACATTATGCTAGACAGTTTAATTCTCAATAACTTCCTTGTGTTGTGTGTATTCAACTCACAGAGTTGAACGATCCTTTACAGAGAGCAGACTTGAAACACTCTTTTTGTGGAATTTGCAAGTGGAGATTTCAGCCGCTTTGAGGTCAGTGGTAGAATAGGAAATATCTTCCTATAGAAACTAGACAGAATGATTCTCAGAAACTCCTTTGTGATGTGTGCGTTCAACTCACAGAGTTTAACCTTTCTTTTCATAGAGCAGTTAGGAAACACTCTGTTTGTAAAGTCTGCAAGTGGATATTCAGACCTCTTTGAGGCCTTCGTTGGAAACGGGATTTCTTCATATTCTGCTAGACAGAAGAATTCTCAGTAACTTCCTTGTGTTGTGTGTATTCAACTCTTAGAGTTGAACGATCCTTTACAGAGAGCAGACTTGAAACACTCTTTTTGTGGAATTTGCAAGTGGAGATTTCAGCCGCTTTGAGGTCAATGGTAGAATAGGAAATATCTTCCTATAGAAACTAGACAGAATCATTCTCAGAAACTGCTGCGTGATGTGTGCGTTCAACTCTCAGAGTTTAACTTTTCTTTTCATTCAGCGGTTTGGAAACACTCTGTTTGTAAAGTCTGCACGTGGATATTTTGACCACTTAGAGGCCTTCGTTGGAAACGGGTTTTTTTCATGTAAGGCTAGACAGAAGAATTCCCAGTAACTTCCTTGTGTTGTGTGCATTCAACTCACAGAGTTGAACGTTCCCTTAGACAGAGCAGATTTGAAACACTCTATTTGTGCAATTTGCAAGTGTAGATTTCAAGCGCTTTAAGGTCAATGGCAGAAAAGGAAATATCTTCGTTTCAAAACTAGACAGTATCATTCCCACAAACTGCGTTGTGATGTGTTCGTTCAACTCACAGAGTTTAACCTTTCTGTTCATAGAGCAGTTAGGAAACACTCTGTAAAGTCTGTAAGTGGATATTCTGACATCTTGTGGCCTTCGTTGTAAACGGGATTTCTTCATATTCTGCTAGACAGAAGAATTCTCAGTAACTTCCTTGTGTTGTGTGTATTCAACTCACAGAGTTGAACGATCCTTTACACAGAGCAGACTTGAAACACTCTTTTTGTGGAATTTGCAAGTGGAGATTTCAGCCTCTTTGAGGTCAATGGTAGAATAGGAAATATCTTCCTATGGAAACTAGACAGAATGATTCTCAGAAACTCCTTTGTGATGTGTGCGTTCAACTCACAGAGTTTAACCTTTCTTTTCATAGAGCAGTTGGGAAACACTCTGTTTGTAAAGTCTGCAAGTGGATATTCCGACATCCTTGAGGCTTTCGTTGGAAACGGGATTTCTTCATATTCTGCTAGAAAGAAGAATTCTCAGTAACTTCCTTGTGTTGTGTGTATTCAACTCACAGAGTTGAACGATCCTTTATACAGAGCAGACTTGAAACACTCTTTTTGTGGAATTTGCAAGTGGAGATTTCAGCCGCTTTGAGGTCAATGGTAGAATAGGAAATATCTTCCTATAGAAACTAGACAGAACGATTCTCAGAAACTCCTTTGTGATGTGAGCGTTCAACTCACAGAGTTTAACCTTTCTTTTCATAGAGCAGTTAGGAAACACTCTGTTTGTAAAGTCTGCAAGTGGATATTCAGACCTCTTTGAGGCCTTCGTTGGAAACGGGATTTCTTCATATTCTGCTACACAGAAGAATTCCCAGTAACTTCCTTGTGTTGTGTGCATTCCACTCACAGAGTTGAACGTTCCCTTAGACAGAGCAGATTTGAAACACTCTATTTGTGCAATTTGCAAGTGTAGATTTCAAGCTCTTTAAGGTCAATGGCAGAAAAGGAAATATCTTCGTTTCAAAACTAGACAGAATCATTCCCACAAACTGCGTTGCGATGTGTTCGTTCAACTCACAGAGTTTAACATTTCTTTTCATAGAGCACTTAGGAAACAGTCTGTTTGTAAATTCTGTAAGTGGATATTCTGACATCTTGTGGCCTTCGTTGGAAACAGGATTTCTTCATATTCTGCTAGACAGAAGAATTCTCAGTAACTTCCGGGTGTTGTGTGTATTCAACTCACAGAGTTGAACGATCCTTTACACAGAGCAGACTTGAAACACTCTTTTTGTGGAATTTGCAAGTGGAGATTTCAGCCGCTTTGAGGTCAATGGTAGAAAAGGAAATACCTTCCTATAAAAACTAGACAGAATGATTCTCATAAACTCCTTTGTGATGTGTGCGTTCAACTCACAGAGTTTAACTTTTCTTTTCATAGAGCAGTTAGGAAACACTCTGTTTGTAAAGTCTGCAAGTGGATATTCAGACCTCCTTGAGGCCTTCGTTGGAAACGGGATTTCTTCATATTCTGCTAGACAGAAGAATTCTCAGTAACTTCCTTGAGTTGTGTGTATTCAACTCACAGAGTTGAACGATCCTTTACACAGAGCAGACTTGAAACATTCTTTTTGTGGAATTTGCAAGTGGAGATTTCAGCCGCTTTGAGGTCAATGGTAGAATAGGAAATATCTTCCTATAGAAACTAGACAGAATCATTCTCAGAAACTGCTGCGTGATGTGTTCGTTCAACTCTCAGAGTTTAACTTTTCTTTTCATTCAGCGGTTTGGAAACACTCTGTTTGTAAAGTCTGCACGTGGAAATTTTGACCACTTAGAGGCCTTCGTTGGAAACGGGTTTTTTTCATGTAAGGCTAGACAGAAGAATTCCCAGTAACTTCCTTGTGTTGTGTGCATTCAACTCACAGAGTTGAACGTTCCCTTAGACAGAGCAGATTTGAAACACTCTATTTGTGCAATTTGCAAGTGTAGATTTCAAGCGCTTTAAGGTCAACGGCAGAAAAGGAAATATCTTCGTTTCAAAACTAGACAGAATGATTCTCAGAAACTCCTTTGTGATGTGTGCGTTCAACTCACAGAGTTTAACCTTTCTTTTCATAGAGCCTTTAGGAAACACTCTGTTTGTAAAGTCTGCAAGTGGATATTCAGACCTCCCTGAGGCCTTCGTCGGAAATGGGATTTCTTCATATTCTGCTAGACAGAAGAATTCTCACTAACTTCCTTGTGTTGTGTGTGTTCAACTCACAGAGTTGAACGATCCTTTACACAGAGCAGACTTGAAACACTCTTTTTGTGGAATTTGCAAGTGGAGATTTCAGCCGCTTTGAGGTCAATGGTAGAATAGGAAATATCTTCCTATAGAAAATAGACAGAATGATTCTCAGAAACTCCTTTGTGATGTGGGCGTTCAACTCACAGAGTTTAACCTTTCTTTTCATAGAGCAGTTAGGAAACACTCTGTTTGTAAAGTCTGCACGTGGATATTTGGACTTCTTTGAGGCCTTCGTTGGAAACGGGTTTTTTTCATGTAAGGCTAGACGGAAGAATTCCCAGTAACTTCTTTGTGTTGTGTGTGTTCAACTCACAGAGTTGAACTTTGATTTACACAGAGCAGATTTGAAACACTCTTTTTGTGGAATTTGCAAGTGGAGATTTCAAGCGATTTGAGGCCAAAGGCAGAAAAGGAAATATCTTCGTATAAAAACTAGACAGAATCATTCTCAGAAACTGCTGCGTGATGTGTGCGTTCAAGTCTCAGAGTTTAACTTTTGTTTTCATTCAGCGGTTTGGAAACACTCTGTTTGTAAAGTCTGCACGTGGAAATTTTGACCACTTAGAGGCCTTCGTTGGAAACGGGTTTTTTTCATGTAAGGCTCGACAGAAGAATTCCCAGTAACTTCCTTGTGTTGTGTACATTCAACTCACAGAGTTGAACGTTCCCTTAGACAGAGCAGATTTGAAACACTCTTTTTGTGCAATTGGCAAGTGGAGATTTCAAGCGCTTTGAGGTCAATGGCAGAAAAGGAAATATCTTCGTTTCAAAACTAGACAGAATCATTCCCACAAACTGCGTTGTGATGTGTTCGTTCAACTCACAGAGTTTAACCTTTCTTTTCATAGACCAGTTAGGAAACAGTCTGTTTGTCAATTCTGTAAGTGGATATTCTGACATCTTGTGGCCTTCGTTGGAAACGGGATTTCTTCATATTCTGCTAGACAGAAGAATTCTCAGTAACTTCCTTGTGTTGTGTGTATTCAACTCACAGAGTTGAAGGATCCTTTACAGAGAGCAGGCTTGAAACACTCTTTTTGTCGAATTTGCAAGTGGAGATTTCAGCCGCTTTGAGGTCAATGGTAGAATAGGAAATATCTTCCTATAGAAACTAGACAGAATGATTCTCAGAAACTCCTTTGTGATGTGTGCGTTCAACTCACAGAGTTTAACCTTTCTTTTCATAGAGCAGTTAGGAAACACTCTGTTTGTAAAGTCTGCAAGTGGATATTCAGACCTCTTTGAGGCCTTCGTTGGAATCGGGTTTTTTTCATATAAGGCTAGACAGAAGAATTCCCAGTAACTTCCTTGTGTTGTGTGTGTTCAACTCACAGAGTTGAACTTTCATTTACACAGAGCAGATTTGAAACACTCTTTTTGAGGAATTTGCAAGTGGAGATGTCAAGCGCTTTGAGGCCAAAGGCAGAAAAGGAAATATCTTCGTATAAAAACTAGACAGAATGATTGTCAGAAACTCCTTTGTGATGGGTGTGTTCAATTTAAAGAGTTTAACTTTTCTTTTCATAAAGCAGTTAGGAAACACTCTGTTTGTAAAGTCTGCAAGTGGATATTTTGACCTATTTGAGGCCTTCGTTGGAAACGGGTTTTTTTCCTGTAAGGCTAGATAGAAGAATTCCCAGTAACTTCCTTGTGTTGTGTACATTCAACTCACAGTGTTGAACGTTCCCTTAGACAGAGCAGATTTGAAACACTCTTTTTGTGCAATTGGCAAGTGGAGATTTCAAGCGCTTTAAGGTCAATGGCAGAAAAGGAAATATCTTCATTTCAAAACTAGACAGAATCATTCCCACAAACTGCGTTGTGATGTGTTCGTTCAACTCACAGGGTTTAACCTTTCTTTTCACAGAGCAGTTAGGAAACACTCTGTTTGTAAAGTCTGCACGTGGATATTTTGACCTCTTTGAGGCCTTCGTTGGAAACGGGTTTTTTCATATAAGGCTAGACAGAAGAATTCTCAGAATCTTCCTTGTGTTGTGTGTATTCAACTCACAGAGTTGAACGATCCTTTACACAGAGCAGACTTGTAACACTCTTTTTGTGGAATTTGCAAGTGGAGATTTCAGCCGCTTTGAGGTCAATGGTAGAAAAGGAAATCTCTTCGTATAAAAACTAGACAGAATGATTCTCAGAAACTCCTTTGTGATGTGTGCGTTCAACTCACAGAGTTCAACCTTTCTTTTCATAGAGCAGTTGGAAAACACTCTGTTTGTAAAGTCTGCAAGTGGATATTCAAACTTTCTTTGAGGCCTTCGTTGGAAGCGGGATATCTTCATATTCTGCTAGACAGAAGAATTCCCAGTAACTTCCTTGTGTTGTGTGTGTTCAACTCACAGAGTTGAACTTTGATTTACACAGAGCAGATTTGAAACACTCTTTTTGTGGAATTTGCAAGTGGAGATTTCAAGCGCTTTGAGGCCAAAGGCAGAAAAGGAAATATCTTCGTATAAAAAGTAGACAGAATCATTCTCAGAAACTGCTCTGCGATGTGTGCGTTCAACTCTCAGAGTTTAACTTTTCTTTTCATTCAGCAGTTTGGAAACACTCTGTTTGTAAAGTCTGCACGTGGATATTTTGACCACTTAGAGGCCTTCGTTGGAAACGGGTTTTTTTCCTGTAAGGCTAGACAGAAGAATTCCCAGTAACTTCCTTGTGTTGTGTGCATTCAACTCACAGAGTTGAACGTTCCCTTAGACAGAGCAGATTTGAAACACTCTATTTCTGCAATTTGCAAGTGTAGTTTTCAAGCTCTTTAAGGTCAACGGCAGAAAAGGAAATATCTTCGTTTCAAAACTAGACAGAATCATTCCCACAAACTGCGTTGTGATGTGTTCGTTCAACTCACAGAGTTTAACCTTTCTGTTCATAGAGCAGTTAGGAAACACTCTGTTTCTAAAGTCTGTAAGTGGATATTCTGACATCTTGTGGCCTTCGTTGGAAACGGGATTTCTTCATATTCTGCTAGACAGAAGAATTCTCAGTAACTTTCCTTGTGTTGTGTGTTTTCAACTCACAGAGTTCAACCATCCTTTACACAGAGTAGACTTGAAACACTCTTTTTGTGGAATTGGCAGGGTGGAGATTTCAGCCGCTTTGAGGTCAATGGTAGAAAAGTAAATATCTTCGTATAAAAACTAGACAGAATGATTCTCAGAAACTCCTTTGTGATGTGTGCGTTCAACTCACAGAGTTTAACCTTTCTTTTCATAGAGCAGTTAGGAAACACTCTGCTTGTAAAGTCTGCATGTGGATATTCAGCCCTCTTTGAGGCCTTCGTTGGAAACGGGTTTTTTTCATATAAGGCTAGACAGAAGAATTCCCAGTAACTTCCTTGTGTTGTGTGTGTTCAACTCACAGAGTTGAACTTTCATTTACACAGAGCAGATTTGAAACACTCTTTTTGTGGAATTTGCAAGTGGAGATTTCAAGCGCTTTGAGGCCAAAGGCAGAAAAGGAAATATCTTCGTATAAAAACTAGACAGAATCATTCTCAGAAACTGCTGCGTGATGTGTGCGTTCAACTCTCAGCAGTTTAACTTTTCTTTTCATTCAGCGGTTTGGAAACACTCTGTTTGTAAAGTCTGCACGTGGATATTTTGACCACTTAGAGACCTTCGTTGGAAACGGGTTTTTTTCATGTAAGGCTAGACAGAAGAATTCCCAGTAACTTCCTTGTGTTGTGTACATTCAACTCACAGAGTTGAACGTTCCCTTAGACAGAGCAGATTTGAAACACTCTTTTTGTGCAATTGGCAAGTGGAGATTTCAAGCGCTTTAAGGTCAATTGCAGAAAAGGAAATATCTTCGTTTCAAAACTAGACAGAATGATTCTCAGAAACTCCTTTGTGATGTGTGCGTTCAACTCACAGAGTTTAACCTTTCTTTTCATAGATCAGTTAGGAAACACTCTGTTTGTAAAGTCTGCAAGTGAATATTCAGACCTCTTTGAGGTCTTCGTTGGAAACGGGATTTCTTCATATTCTGCTAGACAGAAGAATTCTCAGTAACTTCCTTGTGTTGTGTGTATTCAACTCACAGAGTTGAACGATCCTTTACACAGAGCAGACTTGAAACACTCTTTTTGTGGAATTTGCAAGTGGAGATTTCAGCCGCTTTGAGGTCAATGGTAGAAAAGGAAACTATCTTCATATAAAGACTAGACAGAATGATTCTCAGAAAATCTTTTGTGATGTGTGCGTTCAACTCACAGAGTTTAACTATTCTTCTCATAGAGCAGTTAGGAAACACTCTGTTTGTAAAGTCTGCAAGTGGATATTCAGACCTCTTTGAGGCCTTCGTTGGAAACGGGATTTCTTCATATTATGCTAGACAGAAGAATTCTCAGTAACTTCCTTGTGTTGTGTGTATTCAACTCACAGAGTTGAACTTTCATTTACACAGAGCAGATTTGAAACACTCTTTTTGAGGAATTTGCAAATGGAGAATTCAAGCGTTTTGAGGCCAAAGGCAGAAAAGGAAATATCTTCGTATAAAAACTAGACAGAATCATTCTCAGAAACTGCTCTGCGATGTGTGCATTCAACTCTCAGAGTTTAATTTTTCTTTTCATTCAGCAGTTTGGAAACACTCTCTTTGTAAAGTCTGCACGTGGATATTTTGACCACTTAGAGGCCTTCGTTGGAAACGGGTTTTATTCCTGTAAGTCTAGACAGAAGAATTCCCAGTAACTTCCTTGTGTTGTGTACATTCAACTCACAGAGTTGAACGTTCCCTTAGACAGAGCAGATTTGAAACACTCTTTTTGTGCAATTGGCAAGTGGAGATTTCAAGCGCTTTAAGGTCAATGGCAGAAAAGGAAATATCTTCGTTTCAAAACTAGACAGAATGATTCTCAGAAACTCCTTTGTGATGTGTGCGTTCAACTCACAGAGTTTAACCTTTCTTTTCATAGAGCAGTTGGGAAACACTCTGTTTGTAAAGTCTGCAAGTGGATATTCAGACCTCTTTGACGCCTTCGTTGGAAACGGGATTTCTTCATATTCTGCTAGACAGAAGAATTCTCAGTAACTTTCCTTGTGTTGTGTGTATTCAACTCACAGAGTTGAACGATCCTTTACACAGAGCAGACTTGAAACACTCTTTTTGCGGAATTTGCAAGTGGAGATTTCAGCCGCTTTGAGGTCAATGGTAGAATAGGAAATATCTTCCTATAGAAACTAGACAGAGTGATTCTCAGAAACTCCTTTGTGATGTCTGCGTTCAACTCACAGAGTTTAACCTTTCTTTTCATAGAGCAGTTAGGAAACACTCTGTTTGTAAAGTCTGCAAGTGGATATTCAGACCTCCTTGAGGCCTTCGTTGGAAACGGGATTTCTTCATATTCTGCTATACAGAGGAATTCTCAGTAACTTCCTTGTGTTGTGTGTATTCAACTGACAGAGTTAAACTTTCATTTAGAGAGAGCAGATTTGAAACACTGTTTTTGTGGAATTTGCAAGTGGAGATTTCAAGCGCTTTGGGGCCAAAGGCAGAAAAGGAAATATCTTCGTATAAAAACTAGACAGAATCATTCTCAGAAACTGCTCTGCGATGTGTGCGTTCAACTCTCAGAGTTTAACTTTTCTTTTCATTCAGCAGTTTGGAAACACTCTGTTTGTAACGTCTGCACGTGAATAATTTGACCACTTAGAGGCCTTCGTTGGAAACGGGTTTTTTTCATGTAAGGCTAGACAGAAGAATTCTCAGTAACTTCCTTGTGTTGTGTGTATTCAACTCACAGAGTTGAACGATCCTTTACACAGAGCAGACTTGTAACACGCTTTTTGTGGAATTTGCAAGTGGAGATTTCAGCCGCTTTGAAGTCAAATGTAGAAAAGGAAATATCTTCCTATAAAAACTAGACAGAATCATTCCCACAAACTGCGTTGTGATGTGTTCGTTCAACTCACAGAGTTTAACCTTTCTTTTCATAGAGCAGTTAGGAAACAGTCTGTTTGTCAATTCTGTAAGTGGATATTCTGACATCTTGTGGCCTTCGTTGGAAACGGGATTTCTTCATATTCTGCTAGACAGAAGAATTCTCAGTAACTTCCGCGTGTTGTGTGTATTCAACTCACAGAGTTGAACGATCCTTTACACAGAGCAGACTTGTAACACTCTATTTGGGGAATTTGCAAGTGGAGATTTCAGCCGCTTTGAAGTCAAAGGTAGAAAAGGAAATATCTTCCTATAAAAACTAGACAGAATGATTCTCAGAAACTCCTTTGTGATGTGTGCGTTCAACTCACAGAGTTTAACCTTTCTTTTCATAGAGCAGTTAGGAAACACTCTGTTTGTAAAGTCTGCAAATGGATATTCAGACCTCTCTGAGGCCTTCGTTGGAAACGGGCTTTTTCATATAAGGCTAGACAGAAGAATTCTCAGTAACTTCCTTGTGTTGTGTGTATTCAACTGACAGAGTTGAACTTTCATTTAGAGAGAGCAGATTTGAAACACTGTTTTTGTGGAATTTGCAAGTGGAGATTTCAAGCGCTTTGGGGCCAAGGGCAGAAAAGGAAATATCTTCGTATAAAAACAAGACAGAATCATTCTCAGAAACTGCTGCGTGATGTGTGCGTTCAACTCTCAGAGTTTAACTTTTCTTTTCATTCAGCGGTTTGGAAACACTCTGTTTGTAAAGTCTGCACGTGGACATTTTGACCACTTAGAGTCCTTCGTTGGAAACGGGTTTTTTTCATGTAAGGCTAGACAGAAGAATTCCCAGAAACTTCCTTGTGTTGTGTGCATTCAACTCACAGAGTTGAACGTTCCCTTAGACAGAGCAGATTTGAAACACTCTATTTGTGCAATTTGCAAGTGTAGATTTCAAGCGCTTTAAGGTCAATGGCAGAAAAGGAAATATCTTCGTTTCAAAACTAGACAGAATCATTCCCACAAACTGCGTTGTGATGTGTTCGTTCAACTCACAGAGTTTAACCTTTCTTTTCATAGAGCAGTTAGGAAACAGTCTGTTTGTCAATTCTGTAAGTGGATATTCTGACATCTTGTGGCCTTCGTTGGAAACGGGATTTCTTCATATTCTGCTAGACAGAATAATTCTCAGTAACTTCCTTGTGTTGTGTGTATTCAACTCACAGAGTTGAACGATCCTTTACATAGAGCAGACTTGAAACACTCTTTTTGTGGAATTTGCAAGTGGAGATTTCAGCCGCTTTGAGGTCAATAGTAGAAAAGGAAATATCTTCGTAGAAAAACTAGACAGAATGATTCTCAGAAACTCCTTTGTGATGTGTGCGTTCAACTCACAGTAGTTTAACTTTTCTTTTCATAGAGCAGTTAGGAAACACTCTGTTTGTAAAGTCTGCAAGTGGATATTCAGACCTCTTTGAGGCCTTCGTTGGAAACGGGATTTCTTCATATTATGCTAGACAGAAGAATTCCCAGTAACTTCCTTGTGTTGTGTGTGTTCAACTCACAGAGTTGAACTTTCATTTACACAGAGCAGATTTGAAACACTCTTTTTGTGGAATTTGCAAGTGGAGATTTCAAGCGCTTTGAGGCCAAAGGCAGAAAAGGAAATATCTTCGTATAAAAACTAGACAGAATCATTTTCAGAAACTGCTCTGCGATGTGTGCGTTCAACTCTCAGAGTTTGACTTTTCTTTTCATTCAGCAGTTTGGAAACACTCTGTTTGTAAAGTCTGCACGTGGATAATTTGACCACTTAGAGGCCTTCGTGGGAAACGGGTTTTTTTCATGTAAGGCTAGACAGAAGAATTCCCAGTAACTTCCTTGTGTTGTGTGCATTCAACTCACAGAGTTGAACGTTCCCTTAGACAGAGCAGATTTGAAACACTCTATTTGTGCAATTTGCAAGTGTAGATTTCAAGCGCTTTAAGGTCAACGGCAGAAAAGGAAATATCTTCGTTTCAAAACTAGACAGAATCATTCCCACGAACTACGTTGTGATGTGTTCGTTCAACTCACAGAGTTTAACCTTTCTTTTCATAGAGCAGTTAGGAAACAGTCTGTTTGTAAATTCTGTAAGTGGATATTCTGACATCTTGTGGCCTTCGTTGGAAACGGGATTTCTTCATATTCTGCTAGACAGAAGAATTCTCAGTAACTTCCTTGTGTTGTGTGTATTCAACTCACAGAGTTGAACGATCCTTTACACAGAGCAGACTTGAAACACTCTTTGTGTGGAATTTGCAAGTGGAGATTTCAGCCGCTTTGAGTTCAATGGTAGAATAGGAAATATCTTCCTATAGAAACTAGACAGAATGATTCTCAGAAACTCCTTTGTGATGTGTGCGTTCAACTCACAGAGTTTAACCTTTCTTTTCATAGAGCAGTTAGGAAACACTCTGTTTGTAAAGTCTGCAAGTGGATATTCAGACCTCCTTGAGGCCTTCTTTGGAAACGGGATTTCTTCATATTATGCTAGACAGAAGAATTCTCAGTAACTTCCTTGTGTTGTGTGTATTCAACTCACAGAGTTGAACGATCCTTTACACAGAGCATACTTGAAACACTCTTCTTGTGGAATTTGCAAGTGGAGATTTCAGCCGCTTTGAGGTCAACTGTAGAATAGGAAATATCTTCCTATAGAAACTAGACAGAAATGATTCTCAGAAACTCTTTTGTGATGTGTGCGTTCAACTCACAGAGTTTAACCTTTCTGTTCATAGAGCAGTTAGGAAACACTCTGTTTGTAAAGTCTGCAAGTGGATATTCAGACCTCCTTGGGGCCTTCGTTGGAAACGGGATTTCTTCATATTCTGCTAGACAGAAGAATTCCCAGTAACTTCCTTGTGTTGTGTACATTCAACTCACAGAGTTGAACGTTCCCTTAGACAGAGCAGATTTGAAACACTCTTTTTGTGCAATTGGCAAATGGAGATTTCAAGCGCTTTAAGGTCAATGGCAGAAAAGGAAATATCTTCGTTTCAAAACTAGACAGAATCATTCCCACAAACTGCGTTGTGATGTGTTCGTTCAACTCACAGAGTTTAACCTTTCTTTTCATAGAGCAGTTAGGAAACAGTCTGTTTGAAAATTCTGTAAGTGGATATTCTGACATCTTGTGGCCTTCGTTGGAAACGGGATTTCTTCATATTCTGCTAGACAGAAGAATTCTCAGTACCTTCCTTGTGTTGTGTGTATTCAACTCACAGAGTTGAACGATCCTTTACACAGAGCAGACTTGAAACACTCTTTTTGTGAAATTTGCAACTGGAGATTTAAGCCGCTTTGTGGTCAATGGTATAATAGGAAATATCTTCCTATAGAAACTAGACAGAATGATTCTGAGAAACTCCTTTGTGATGTGTGCGTTCAACTCACAGAGTTTAACCTTTCTTTTCATAGAGCAGTTAGGAAACACTCTGTTTGTAAAGTCTGCAAGTGGATATTCAGACCTCCTTGAGGCCTTCGTTGGAAACGGGATTTCTTCATATTATGCTAGACAGAAGAATTCTCAGTAACTTCCTTGTGTTTTGTGTATTCAACTCACAGAGTTGAACGATCCTTTACACAGAGCAGACTTGAAACACTCTTTTTGTGGAATTTGCAAGTGGAGATTTCAGCCGCTTTGAGTTCAATGGTAGAATAGGAAATATCTTCCTATGGAAACTAGACAGAATCATTCTCAGAAACTGCTGCGTGATGTGTGCGTTCAACTCTCAGAGTTTAACTTTTCTTTGCATTCAGCGGTTTGGAAACACTCTGTTTGTAAAGTCTGCACGTGGATATTTTGACCACTTAGAGGCCTTCGTTGGAAACGGGTTTTTTTCATGTAAGGCTAGACAGAAGAATTCCCAGTAACTTCCTTGTGTTGTGTGCATTCAACTCACAGAGTTGAACGTTCCCTTAGACAGAGCAGATTTGAAACACTCTATTTGTGCAATTTGCAAGTGTAGATTTCAAGCGCATTAAGGTCAATGGCAGAAAAGGAAATATCTTCGTTTCAAAATTAGACAGAATCATTCCCACAAACTGCGTTGTGATGTGTTCGTTCAACTCACAGAGTTTAACCTTTCTGTTCATAGAGCAGTTAGGAAACACTCTGTTTGTAAAGTCTGTAAGTAGATATTCTGACATCTTGTGGCCTTCGTTGGAAACGGGATTTCTTCATATTCTGCTAGACAGAAGAATTCTCAGTAACTTCCTTGTGTTGTGTGTATTCAACTCACAGAGTTGAACGATCCTTTACACAGAGCAGACTTGAAACACTCTTTTTGTGGAATTTGCAAGTGGAGATTTCAGCCGCTTTGAGGTCAATGGTAGAAAAGGAAACTATCTTCATATAAAGATTAGACAGAATGATTCTCAGAAACTCCTTTGTGATGTGTGCGTTCAACTCACAGAGTTTAACCTTTCTTTTCATAGAGCAGTTGGGAAACACTCTGTTTGTAAAGTCTGCAAGTGGATATTCAGACATCCTTGAGGCTTTCGTTGGAAACGGGATTTCTTCATATTCTGCTAGAAAGAAGAATTCTCAGTAACTTCCTTGTGTTGTGTGTATTCAACTCACAGAGTTGAACGATCCTTTACACAGAGCAGACTTGAAACACTCTTCTTGCGGAATTTGCAAGTGGAGATTTCAGCCGCTTTGAGGTCAATGGTAGAATAGGAAATATCTTCCTATAGAAACTAGACAGAATCATTCTCAGAAACTGCTCTGCGATGTGTGCGTTCAACTCTCAGAGTTTAACTTTTCTTTTCATTCAGCAGTTTGGAAACACTCTGTTTGTAAAGTCTGCACGTGGATATTTTGACCACTTAGAGGCCTTCGTTGGAAATGGGTTTTTTTCCTGTAAGGCTAGACAGAAGAATTCTCAGCAACTTCCTTGTGTTGTGTGTATTCAACTCACAGAGTTGAACGATCCTTTGAGCAGACTTGAGAAACTCTTTTTGTGGAATTTGCAAGTGGAGATTTCAGCCGGTTTGAGGTCAATGGTAGAAAAGGAAATATCTTCGAATAAAAACTAGACAGAATGATTCTCAGAAACTCCTTTATGATGTGTGCGTTCAACTCTCAGAGTTTAACCTTCCTTTTCATAAAGCAGTTAGGAAACACTCTGTTTGTAAAGTCTGCAAGTGGATAATCAGACCTCTTTGAGGCCTTCGTTGGAAACGGGATTTTTTCATATTCTGCTAGACAGAAGAATTCTCAGTAACTTCCTCGTGTTGTGTGTATTCAACTCACAGAGTTGAACGATCCTTTACACAGAGCAGACTTGAAACACTCTTTTTGTGGAATTTGCAAATGGAGATTTCAGCCGCTTTGAGGTCAGTGGTTGAAAAGGAAATATCTTCATATAAAAATTAGACAGAATGATTCTCAGAAACTTCTTTGTGATGTGTGCGTTCAACTCACAGAGTTTAACCTTTCTTTTCATAGAGCAGTTATGAAACACTCTGTTTGTAAACTCTGCAAGTGGATATTCAGACCTCTTTGAGGCCTTCGTTGGAAACGGGATTTCTTCATACTGTGCTAGACAGAAGAATTCCCAGTAACTTCCTTGTGATGTGTGTGTTCAACTCACAGAGTTCAACTTTCATTTACACAGAGCAGATTTGAAACACTCTTTTTGTGGAATTTGCAAGTGGAGATTTCAAGCGCTTTGAGGCCAAAGGCAGAAAAGGAAATATCTTCGTATAAAAACTACACAGAATGATTCTCAGAAACTCCTTTGTGATGTGTGCGTTCAACTCACAGAGTTTAACCTTTCTTTTCATAGAGCAGTTAGGAAACACTCTGTTTGTAAAGTCTGCAAGTGATATTCAGACCTCTTTGAGGCCTTCGTTGGAAACGGGTTTTTTTCATATAAGGCTAGACAGAAGAATTCCCAGTAACTTCCTTGTGTTGTGTACATTCAACTCACAGAGTTGAACCGTTCCCTTAGACAGAGCAGATTTGAAACACTCTTTTTGTGCAATTGGCAAGTGGAGATTTCAAGCGCTTTGAGGTCAATGGCAGAAAAGGAAATATCTTCGTTTCAAAACTAGACAGAATGATTCTCAGAAACTTCTTTGTGATGTGTGCGTTCAACTCACACAGTTTAACCTTTCTTTTCATAGAGCAGTTAGGAAACACTCTGTTTGTAAACTCTGCAAGTGGATATTCAGACCTCTTTGAGGCCTTCGTTGGAAACGGGATTTCTCCATACTGTGCTAGACAGAAGAATTCTCAGTAACTTCCTTGTGTTGTGTGTATTCAACTCACAGAGTTGAACGATCCTTTACACAGAGCGGACTTGAAACACTCGTTTTGTGGAATTTGCAAGTGGAGATTTCAGCCGCGTTGAGGTCAATGGTAGAAAAGGAAATATCTTCGTATAAAAACTAGACAGAATGATTCTGAAAACTCCTTTGTGATGTGTGCGTTCAACTCACACAGTTTAACCTTTCTTTTCATAGAGCAGTTAGGAAACACTCTGTTTGTAAAGTCTGCAAGTGGATATTCAGACCTCCTTGAGGCCTTCGTTGGAAACGGGATTTCTTCATATTATGCTAGACAGAAGAATTCTCAGTAACTTCCTTGTGTTGTGTGTATTAAACTGACAGAGTTGAACTTTCATTTAGAGAGAGCAGATTTGAAACACTGTTTTTGTGGAATTTGCAAGTGGAGATTTCAAGCGCTTTGGGGCCAAAGGCAGAAAAGGAAATATCTTCGTATAAAAACTAGACAGAATCATTCTCAGAAACTGCTCTGCGATGTGTGCGTTCAACTCTCAGAGTTTAACTTTTCTTTTCATTCAGCAGTTTGGAAACATTCTGTTTGTAAAGTCTGCACGTGGATATTTTGACCACTTAGAGGCCTTCGTTGGAAACGGGTTTTTTTCCTGTAAGGCTAGACAGAAGAATTCCCAGTAACTTCCTTGTGTTGTGTACATTCAACTCACAGAGTTGAACGTTCCCTTAGACAGAACAGATTTGAAACACTCTTTTTGTGCAATTGGCAAATGGAGATTTCAAGCGCTTTGAGATCAATGGTAGAAAAGGAAATATCTTCGTTTCAAAACTAGACAGAATCATTCCCACAAACTGCGTTGTGATGTGTTCGTTCAACCTACAGTGTTTAACCTTTCTTTTCATAGAGCAGTTAGGAAACAGTCTGTTTGTAAATTCTGTAAGTGGATATTCTGACATCTTGTGGCCTTGGTTGGAAACGGGATTTCTTCATATTCTGCTAGACAGAAGAATTCTCAGAATCTTCCTTGTGTTGTGTGTATTCAACTCACAGAGTTGAACGATGGTTTACACAGAGCAGATTTGAAACACTCTTTTTGTGGAATTTGCAAGTGGAGATTTCAGCCGCTTTGAGGTCAATGGTAGAAAAGGAAATATCTTCGTATAAAAACTAGACAGAATGATTCTCAGAAACTTCATTGTGTTGTGTGCGTTCAACTCACAGAGTTTAACCTTTCTTTTCATAGAGCAGTTAGGAAACACTCTGTTTGTAAACTCTGCAAGTGGATATTCAGAGCTCTTTGAGGCCTTCGTTGGAAACGGGATTTCTTCATACTGTGCTAGACAGAAGAATTCCCAGTAACTTCCTTGTGTTGTGTGTGTTCAACTCACAGAGTTGAACTTTGATTTACACAGAGCAGATTTGAAACACTCTTTTTGTGGAATTTGCAAGTGGAGATTTCAAGCGCTTTGAGGCCAAAGGCAGAAAAGGAAATATCTTCGTATAAAAACTAGACAGAATCATTCTCAGACACTGCTCTGCGATGTGTGCGTTCAACTCTCAGAGTTTAACTTTTCTTTTCATTCAGCAGTTTGGAAACACTCTGTTTGTAAAGTCTGCACGTGGATATTTTGACCACTTAGAGGCCTTCGTTGGAAACGGGTTTTTTTCCTGTAAGGCTAGACAGAAGAATTCCCAGTAACTTCCTTGTGTTGTGTACATTCAACTCACAGAGTTGAACGTTCCCTTAGACAGAGCAGATTTGAAACACTCTTTTTGTGCAATTGGCAAATGGAGATTTCAAGCGCTTTAAGGTCAATGGCAGAAAAGGAAATATCTTCGTTTCAAAACTAGACAGAACGATTCTCAGAAATTCCTTTGTGATGTGTGCGTTCAACTCACAGAGTTTAACCTTTCTTTTCATAGAGCAGTTAGGAAACACTCTGTTTGAAAAGTCTGCAAGTGGATATTCAGACCTCTTTGAGGCCTTCGTTGGAAACGGGATTTCTTCATATTCTGCTAGACAGAAGAATTCTCAGTAACTTCCTTGTGTTGTGTGTATTCAACTCACAGAGTTGAACGATCGTTTACACAGAGCAGACTTGAAACACTCTTTTTGTGGAATTTGCAAGTGGAGATTTCAGCCGCTTTGAGGTCAATAGTAGAAAAGGAAATATCTTCGGAGAAAAACTAGACAGAATGATTCTCAGAAACTCCTTTGTGATGTGTGTGTTCAACTCACAGAGTTTAACCTTTCTTTTCATAGAGCAGTTAGGAAACACTCTGTTTGTAAAGTCTGCAAGTGGATATTCAGACCTCTTTGAGGCCTTCGTTGGAAACGGGTTTTTTTCATATAAGGCTAGACAGAAGAATTCCCAGTAACTTCCTTGTGTTGTGTGTGTTCAACTCACAGAGTTGAACTTTCATTTACACAGAGCAGATTTGAAACACTCTTTTTGTGGAATTTGCAAGTGGAGATTTCAAGCGCTTTGAGGCCAAAGGCAGAAAAGGAAATATACTTCGTATAAAAACTAGACAGAATCATTCTCAGAAACTGCTCTGCGATGTGTGCGTTCAACTCTCAGAAGTTTAACTTTTCTTTTCATTCAGCAGTTTGGAAACACTCTGTTTGTAAAGTCTGCACGTGGATAACTTGACCACTTAGAGGCCTTCGTTGGAAACGGGTTTTTTTCATGTAAGGCTAGACAGAAGAATTCCCAGTAACTTCCTTGCGTTGTGTACATTCAACTCACAGAGTTGAACGTTCCCTTAGACAGAGCAGATTTGAAACACTCTTTTTGTGCAATTGGCAAGTGGAGATTTCAAGCGCTTTAAGGTCAATGGCAGAAAAGGAAATATCTTCGTTTCAAAACTAGACAGAATGATTCTCAGAAACTCCTTTGTGATGTGTGCGTTCAACTCACAGAGTTTAACTTTTCTTTTCATAGAGCAGTAAGGAAACACTCTGTTTGTAAAGTCTGCAAGTGGATATTCAGACCTCTTTGAGGCCTTCGTTGGAAACGGGATTTCTTCATATTATGCTAGACAGAATAATTCTCAGTAACTTCCTTGTGTTGTGTGTATTCAACTCACAGAGTTGAACGATCCTTTACAGAGAGCAGACTTGAAACACTCTTTTTGTGGAATTTGCAAGTGGAGATTTCAGCCGCTTTGAGGTCAATGGTAGAAAAGGAAATATCTTCGTATAAAGACTAGACAGAATGATTCTCAGAAACTCCTTTGTGATGTGTGCGTTCAACTCACAGAGTTTAACCTTTCTTTTCATAGAGCAGTTAGGAAACACTCTGTTTGTAAAGTCTGCAAGTGGATATTCAGACCTCCTTGAGGTCTTCGTTGGAAACGGGATTTCTTCATATTCTGCTAGACAGAAGAATTCTCAGTAACTTCCTTGTGTTGTGTGTATTCAACTGACAGAGTTGAACTTTCATTTACAGAGAGCAGATTTGAAACACTGTTTTTGTGGAATTTGCAAGTGGAGATTTCAAGCGCTTTGGGGCCAAAGGCAGAAAAGGAAATATCTTCGTGTAAAAACTAGACAGAATCATTCTCAGAAACTGCTGCGTGATGTGTGCTTTCAACTCTCAGAGTTTAACTTTTCTTTTCATTCAGCGGTTTGGAAACACTCTGTTTGTAAAGTCTGCACGTGGATATTTTGACCACTTAGAGGCCTACGTTGGAAACGGGTTTTTTTCATGTAAGGCTAGACAGAAGAATTCCCAGTAACTTCCTTGTGTTGTGTGCATTCAACTCACAGAGTTGAACGTTCCCTTAGACAGAGCAGATTTGAAACACTCTATTTGTGCAATTTGCAAGTGTAGATTTCAAGCGCTTTAAGGTCAATGGCAGAAAAGGAAATATCTTCGTTTCAAAACTAGACAGAATCATTCCCACAAACTGCGTTGTGATATGTTCGTTCAACTCACAGAGTTTAACCTTTCTGTTCATAGAGCAGTTAGGAAACACTCTGTTTGTAAAGTCTGTAAGTGGATATTCTGACATCTTGTGGCCTTCGTTGGAAACGGGATTTCTTCATATTCTGCTAGACAGAAGAATTCTCAGTAACTTCCTTGTGTTGTGTGTATTCAACTCACAGAGTTGAACGATCCTTTACACAGAGCGGACTTGAAACACTCTTTTTGTGAAATTTGCAAGTGGAGATTTCAGCCGCGTTGAGGTCAATGGTAGAAAAGGAAATATCTTCGTATAAAAACTAGACAGAATGATTCTCATAAACTCCTTTGTGATGTGTGCGTTCAACTCACAGAGTTTAACCTTTCTTTTCATAGAGCAGTTAGGAGACACTCTGTTTGTAAAGTCTGCAAGTGGATATTCAGACCTCTTTGAGGCCTTCGTTGGAAAAGGGATTTCTTCATATTATGCTAGACAGAAGAATTCTCAGTAACTTCCTTGTGTTGTGTGTATTCAACTGACAGAGTTGAACTTTCATTTAGAGAGAGCAGATTTGAAACACTGTTTTTGTGGAATTTGCAAGTGGAGATTTCAAGCGCTTTGGGGCCAAAGGCAGAAAAGGAAATATCTTCGTATAAAAACTAGACAGAATCATTCTCAGAAACCGCTCTGTGATGTGTGCGTTCAAGTCTCAGAGTTTAACTTTTCTTTTCATTCAGCAGTTTGGAAACACTCTGTTTGTAAAGTCTGCACGTGGATATTTTGACAACTTAGAGGCCTTCGTTGGAAACGGGTTTTTTTTCACGTAAGGCTAGACAGAAGAATTCCCAGTAACTTCCTTGTGTTGTGTACATTCAACTCACAGAGTTGAACGTTCCCTTAGACAGAGCAGATTTGAAACACTCTTTTTGTGCAATTGGCAAATGGAGATTTCAAGCGCTTTAAGGTCAATGGCAGAAAAGGAAATATCTTCGTTTCAAAACTAGACAGAATCATTCCCACAAACTGCGTTGTGATGTGTTCGGTCAACTCACAGAGTTTAACCTTTCTTTTCATAGAGCAGTTAGGAAACAGTCTGTTTGTAAATTCTGTAAGTGGATATTCTGACATCTTGTGGCCTTCGTTGGAAACGGGATTTCTTCATATTCTGCTAGACAGAAGAATTCTCAGTAACTTCCTTGTGTTGTGTGTATTCAACTCACAGAGTTGAACGATCCTTTACACTGAGCAGACTTGAAACACTCTTTTTGTGGAATTTGCAAGTGGAGATTTCAGCCGCTTTGAGGTCAATGGTAGAAAAGGAAATATCTTCGTATAAAGACTAGACAGAATGATTCTCAGAAACTCCTTTGTGATGTGTGCGTTCAACTCACAGAGTTTAACTTTTCTTTTCATAGAGCAGTTAGGAAACACTCTGTTTGTAAAGTCTGCAAGTGGATATTCAGACCTCTTTGAGGCCTTCGTTGGAAACGGGATTTCTTCATATTATGCTAGACAGAATAATTCTCAGTAACTTCCTTGTGTTGTGTGTATTCCACTCACAGAGTTGAACGATCCTTTACGGAGAGCAGACTTGAAACACTCTTTTTGTGGAATTTGCAAGTGGAGATTTCAGCCGCTTTGAGGTCAATGGTAGAATAGGAAATATCTTCCTATGGAAACTAGACAGAATCATTCTCAGAAACTGCTCTGCGATGTGTGCGTTCAACTCTCAGAGTTTAACTTTTCTTTTCATTCAGCAGTTTGGAAACACTCTGTTTGTAAAGTCTGCACGTGGATATTTTGACCACTTAGAGGCCTTCGTTGGAAACGGGTTTTTTTCCTGTAAGGCTAGACAGAAGAATTCCCAGTAACTTCCTTGTGTTGGGTGCATTCAACTCACAGAGTTGAACGTTCCCTTAGACAGAGCAGATTTGAAACACTCTATTTGTGCAATTTGCAAGTGTAGATTTCAAGCGCTTTAAGGTCAATGGCAGAAAAGGAAATATCTTCGTTTCAAAACTAGACAGAATCGTTCCCACAAACTGCGTTGTGATGTGTTCGTTCAACTCACAGAGTTTAACCTTTCTGTTCATAGAGCAGTTAGGAAACACTCTGTTTGTAAAGTCTGTAAGTGGATATTCTGACATCTTGTGGCCTTCGTTGGAAACGGGATTTCTTCATATTCTGCTAGACAGAAGAATTCTCAGTAACTTCCTTGTGTTGTGTGTATTCAACTCACAGAGTTGAATGATCCTTTACACAGAACAGTCTTGAAACACTCTTTTTGTGGAATTTGCAAGTGGAGATTTCAGCCGCTTTGAGGTCAATGGTAGAATAGGAAATATCTTCCTATAGAAAATAGACAGAATGATTCTCAGAAACTCCTTTGTGATGTGTGCGTTCAACTCACACAGTTTAACCTTTCTTTTCATAGAGCAGTTAGGAAACACTCTGTTTGTAAAGTCTGCAAGTGGATATTCAGACCTCTTTGAGGCCTTCGTTGGAAACGGGATTTTTTCATATTATGCTAGACAGAAGAATTCTCAGTAACTTCCTTGTGTTGTGTGTATTCAACTGACAGAGTTGAACTTTCATTTAGACCGAGCAGATTTGAAACACTCTTTTTGTGGAATTTGCAAGTGGAGATTTCAAGCGCTTTGAGGCCAAAGGCAGAAAAGGAAATATCTTCGTATAAAAACTAGACAGAATCATTCTCAGAAACTGCTGCGTGATGTGTGCGTTCAACTCTCAGAGTTTAACTTTTCTTTTCATTCAGCGGTTTGGAAACACTCTGTTTGTAAAGTCTGCACGTGGACATTTTGACCCCTTAGAGGCCTTCGTTGGAAACGGGTTTTTTTCATGTAAGGCTAGACAGAAGAATTCCCAGTAACTTCCTTGTGTTGTGTGCATTCAACTCACAGAGTTGAACGTTCCCTTAGACAGAGCAGATTTGAAACACTCTATTTGTGCAATTTGCAAGTGTAGATTTCAAGCGCTTTAAGGTCAACGGCAGAAAAGGAAATATCTTCGTTTCAAAACTAGACAGAATGATTCTCAGAAACTCCTTTGTGATGTGTGCGTTCAACTCACAGAGTTTAACCTTTCTTTTCATAGAGTAGTTAGGAAACACTCTGTTTGTGAAGTCTGCCAGTGGATATTCAGACCTCTTTGAGGCCTTCGTTGGAAACGGGGTTTCTTCATATTATGCTAGACAGAAGAATTCTCAATAACTTCCTTGTGTTGTGTGCATTCAACTCACAGAGTTGAATGATCCTTTACACAGAGCAGATTAGAAACACTCTTTTTGTGGAATTTGCAAGTGGAGATTTCAGCCGCTTTGAGGTCAATGGTAGAAAAGGAAATATCTTCGTATAAAAACTAGACAGAATGATTCTCAGAAACTCCTTTGTGATGTGTGCGTTCAACTCACAGAGTTTAACCTTTCTTTTCATAGAGCAGTTAGGAAACACTCTGTTTGTAAAGTCTGCAAGTGGATATTCAGACCTCTTAGAGGCCTTCGTTGGAAACGGGATTTCTTCATACTCTAGACAGAAGAATTCCCAGTAACTTCCTTGTGTTGTGTGTGTTCAACTCACAGAGTTGAACTTTCATTTACACAGAGGAGATTTGAAACACTCTTTTTGTGGAATTTGCAAATGGAGATTTCAAGCGCTTTGAGGCCAAAGGCAGAAAAGGAAATATCTTCGTATAAAAACTAGACAGAATCATTCTCAGAAACTGCTCTGCGATGTGTGCGTTCAACTCTCAGAGTTTAACTTTTCTTTTCATTCAGCAGTTTGGAAACACTCTGTTTGTAAAGTCTGCACGTGGATATTTTGACCACTTAGAGGCCTTCGTTGGAAACGGGTTTTTTTCCTGTAAGGCTAGACAGAAGAATTCCCAGTAACTTCCTTGTGTTGTGTGCATTCAACTCACAGAGTTGAACGTTCCCTTAGACAGAGCAGATTTGAAACACTCTATTTGTGCAATTTGCAAGTGTAGTTTTCAAGCTCTTTAAGGTCAACGGCAGAAAAGGAAATATCTTGGTTTCAAAACTAGACAGAATCATTCCCACAAACTGCGTTGTGATGTGTTCATTCAACTCACAGAGCTTAACCTTTCTGTTCATAGAGCAGTTAGGAAACACTCTGTTTGTAAAGTCTGTAAGTGGATATTCTGACATCTTGTGGCCTTCGTTGGAAACGGGATTTCTTCATATTCTGCTAGACAGAAGAATTCTCATTAACTTCCTTGTGTTGTGTGTATTCAACTCACAGAGTTGAACGATCCTTTACACAGAGCAGACTTGAAACATTCTTTTTGTGGAATTTGCAAGTGGAGATTTCAGCCGCTTTGAGGTCAATGGTAGAATAGGAAATATCTTCCTATAGAAACTAGACAGAATGATTCTCAGAAAATCTTTTGTGATGTGTGCGTTCAACTCACAGAGTTTAACTTTTCTTCTCATAGAGCAGTTAGGAAACACTCTGTTTATAAAGTCTGCAAGTGGATATTCAGACCTCTTTGAGGCCTTCGTTGGAAACGGGATTTCTTCATATTCTGCTAGACAGAAGAATTCCCAGTAACTTCCTTGTGTTGTGTGTGTTCAACTCACAGAGTTGAACTTTGATTTACAGAGCAGATTTGAAACACTCTTTTTGTGGAATGTGCAAGTGGAGATTTCAAGCGCTGTGAGGCCAAAGGCAGAAAAGGATATATCTTCGTATAAAAACTAGACAGAATCATTCTCAGAAACTGCTCTGCGATGTGTGCGTTCAACTCTCAGAGTTTAACTTTTCTTTTCATTCAGCAGTTTGGAAACACTCTGTTTGTAAAGTCTGCACGTGGATATTTTGACCACTTAGAGGCCTTCGTTGGAAACGGGTTTTTTTCCTGTAAGGCTAGACAGAAGAATTCCCAGTAACTTCCTTGTGTTGTGTGCATTCAACTCACAGAGTTGAACGTTCCCTTAGACAGAGCAGATTTGAAACACTCTATTTGTGCAATTTGCAAGTGTAGATTTCAAGCGCTTTAAGGTGAATGGCAGAAAAGGAAATATCTTCGTTTCAAAACTAGACAGAATGATTCTCAGAAACTCCTTTGTGATGTGTGCGTTCAACTCACAGAGTTTAACCTTTCTTTTCATAGAGCAGTTAGGAAACACTCTGTTTGTAAAGTCTGGAAGTGGATATTCAGACATCCTTGAGGCTTTCGTTGGAAACGGGATTTCTTCATATTCTGCTAGAAAGAAGAATTCTCAGTAACTTCCTTGTGTTGTGTGTATTCAACTCACAGAGTTGAACGATCCTTTACACAGAGCAGACTTGAAACACTCTTTTTGTGGAATTTGCAAGTGGAGATTTCAGCCGCTTTGAGTTCAATGGTAGAATAGGAAATATCTTCCTATAGAAACTAGACAGAATGATTCTCATAAACTCCTTTGTGATGTGTGCGTTCAACTCACAGAGTTTAACCTTTCTTTTCATAGAGCAGTTAGGAAACACTCTGTTTGTAAAGTCTGCAAGTGGATATTCAGACCTCTTTGAGGCCTTCGTTGGAAACGGGATTTCTTCATATTATGCTAGACAGAAGAATTCTCAGTAACTTCCTTGTGTTGTGTGTATTCAACTGACAGAGTTGAAGTTTCATTAAGAGAGAGCAGATTTGAAACACTGTTTTTGTGGAATTTGCAAGTGGAGATTTCAAGCGCTTTGGGGCCAAAGGCAGAAAAGGAAATATCTTCGTATAAAAACTAGACAGAATCATTCTCAGAAACTGCTGCGTGATGTGTGCGTTCAACTCTCAGAGTTTAACTTTTCCTTTTCATTCAGCGGTTTGGAAACACTCTGTTTGTAAAGTCTGCACGTGGATATTTTGACCACTTAGAGGCCTTCGTTGGAAACGGGTTTTTTTCATGTAAGGCTAGACAGAAGAATTCCCAGTAACTTCCTTGTGTTGTGTACATTCAACTCACAGAGTTGAACGTTCCCTTAGACAGAGCAGATTTGAAACACTCTTTTTGTGCAATTGGCAAATGGAGATTTCAAGCGCTTTAAGTTCAATGGCAGAAAAGGAAATATCTTCGTTTCAAAACTAGACAGAATCATTCCCACAAACTGCGTTGTGATGTGTTCGTTCAACTCACAGAGTTTAACCTTTCTTTTCATAGAGCACTTAGGAAACAGTCTGTTTGTAAATTCTGTAAGTGGATATTCTGACATCTTGTGGCCTTCGTTGGAAACGGGATTTCTTCATATTCTGCTAGACAGAATAATTCTCAGTAACTTCCTTGTGTTCTGTGTATTCAACTTACAGAGTTGAACGATCCTTTACAGAGAGCAGACTTGAAACACTCTTTTTGTGGAATTTGCAAGTGGAGATTTCAGCCGCTTTGAGGTCAATGGTAGAAAAGGAAATATCTTCGTATAAAGACTAGACAGAATGATTCTCAGAAACTCCTTTGTGATGTGTGCGTTCAACTCACAGAGTTCAACTTTTCTTTTCATAGAGCAGTTAGGAAACACTCTGTTTGTAAAGTCTGCAAGTGGATATTCAGACCTCTTTGAGGCCTTCGTTGGAAACGGGATTTCTTCATATTCTGCAAGACAGAAGAATTCTCAGTAACTTCCTTGTGTTCTGTGTATTCAACTCACAGAGTTGAACGATCCTTTACACAGAGCAGACTTGAAACACTCTTTTTGTGGAATTTGCAAGTGGAGATTTCAGCCGCTTTGAGGTCAATGGTAGAAAAGGAAATATCTTCGTATAAAGACTAGACAGAATCATTCTCAGAAACTGCTCTGCGATGTGTGCGTTCAACTCTCAGAGTTTAACTTTTCTTTTCATTCAGCAGTTTGGAAACACTCTGTTTGTACAGTCTGCACGTGGATAATTTGACCACTTAGAGGCCTTCGTTGGAAACGGGTTTTTTTCATGTAAGGCTAGACAGAAGAATTCTCAGTAACTTCCTTGTGTTGTGTGTATTCAACTCACAGAGTTGAACGATCCTTTACACAGAGCAGACTTGTAACACTCTTTTTGTGGAATTTGCAAGTGGAGATTTCAGCCGCTTTGAAGTCAAATGTAGAAAAGGAAATATCTTCCTATAAACACTAGACAGAATCATTCCCACAAACTGCGTTGTGATGTGTTCGTTCAACTCACAGAGTTTAACCTTTCTTTTCATAGAGCAGTTAGGAAACAGTCTGTTTGTCAATTCTGTAAGTGGATATTCTGACATCTTGTGGCCTTCGTTGGAAACGGGATTTCTTCATATTCTGCTAGACAGAAGAATTCTCAGAAACTTCCTTGTGTTGTGTGTATTCAACTCACAGAGTTGAACGATCGTTTACACAGAGCAGACTTGAGACACTCTTTTTGTGGAATTTGCAAGTGGAGATTTCAGCCGCTTTGAGGTCAATGGTAGAAAAGGAAATATCTTCATATAAAAACTAGACAGAATGATTCTCAGAATCTTCTTTGTGATGTGTGCGTTCAACTCACAGAGTTTAACCTTTCTTTTCATAGAGCAGTTAGGAAACACTCTGTTTGTAAATTCTGCAAGTGGATATTCAGACCTCATTGAGGCCTTCGTTGGAAACGGGATTTCTTCATACTATGCTAGACAGAAGAATTCTCAGTAACTTCCTTGTGTTGTGTGTATTCAACTGACAGAGTTGAACTTTCATTTAGAGAGAGCAGATTTGAAACACTGTTTTTGTGGAATTTGCAAGTGGAGATTTCAAGCGCTTTGGGGCCAAAGGCAGAAAAGGAAATATCTTCGTATAAAAACTAGACAGAATCATTCTCAGAAACTGCTCTGCGATGTGTGCGTTCAACTCTCAGAGTTTAACTTTTCTTTTCATTCAGCAGTTTGGAAACACTCTGTTTGTAAAGTCTGCACGTGTATATTTTGACCACTTAGAGGCCTTCGTTGGAAACGGGTTTTTTTCCTGTAAGGCTAGACAGAAGAATTCCCAGTAACTTCCTTGTGTTGTGTACATTCAACTCACAGAGTTGAACGTTCCCTTAGACAGAGCAGATTTGAAACACTCTTTTTGTGCAATTGGCAAATGGAGATTTCAAGCGCTTTAAGGTCAATGGCAGAAATGGAAATATCTTCGTTTCAAAACTAGACAGAATCATTCCCACAAACTGCGTAGTGATGTGTTCGTTCAACTCACAGAGTTTAACCTTTCTTTTCATAGAGCAGTTAGGAAACAGTCTGTTTGTCAATTCTGTAAGTGGATATTCTGACATCTTGTGGCCTTCGTTGGAAACGGGATTTCTTCATATTCTGCTAGACAGAAGAATTCCCAGTAACTTCCTTTTGTTGTGTACATTCAACTCACAGAGTTGAACGTTCCCTTAGACAGAGCAGACTTGTAACACTCTTTTTGTGGAATTTGCAAGTGGAGATTTCAGCCGCTTTGAAGTCAAAGGTAGAAAAGGAAATATCTTCCTATAAAAACTAGACAGAATGATTCTCAGAAACTCCTTTGTGATGTGTGCGTTCAACTCACAGAGTTTAACCTTTCTTTTCATAGAGCAGTTAGGAAACACTCTGTTTGTAAAGTCTGCAAGTGGATATTCAGACCTCTTTGAGGCCTTCGTTGGAAACGGGTTTTTTTCATATAAGGCTAGACAGAAGAATTCCCAGTAACTTCCTTGTGTTGTGTGTGTTCAACTCACAGAGTTGAACTTTCATTTACCCAGAACAGATTTGAAACACTCTTTTTGTGGAATTTGCAAGTGGAGATTTCAAGCACTTTGAGGCCAAAGGCAGAAAAGGAAATATCTTCGTTTCAAAACTAGACAGAATCATTCTCAGAAACTGCTGCGTGATGTGTGCGTTCAACTCTCAGAGTTTAACTTTTCTTTTCATTCAGTGGTTTGGAAACACTCTGTTTGTAAAGTCTGCACGTGGATATTTTGACCACTTAGAGGCCTTCGTTGGAAACGGGTTTTTTTCATGTAAGGCTAGACAGAAGAATTCCCAGTAACTTCCTTGTGTTGTGTACATTCAACTCACAGAGTTGAACGTTCCCTTAGACAGAGCAGATTTGAAACACTCTTTTTGTGCAATTGGCAAGTGGAGATTTCAAGCGCTTTAAGGTCAATGGCAGAAAAGGAAATATCTTCGTTTCAAAACTAGACAGAATGATTCTCAGAAACTCCTTTGTGATGTGTGCGTTCAACTCACAGAGTTCAACCTTTCTTTTCATAGAGCAGTTGGGAAACACTCTGTTTGTAAAGTCTGTAAGTGGATATTCAGACTTCTTTGAGGCCTTCGTTGGAAGCGGGGTTTCTTCATATTCTGCTAGACAGAAGAATTCTCAGAAACTTCCTTGTGTTGTGTGTTTTCAACTCACAGAGTTGAACGATCCTTTACACAGAGCAGACTTGAAACACTCCTTTTGTGGAATTTGCAAGTGGAGATTTCAGCCGCTTTGAGGTCAATGGTAGAATAGGAAATATCTTCCTATAGAAAGTAGACAGAATGATTCTCAGAAACTCCTTTGTGATGTGTGCGTTCAACTCACAGAGTTCAACCTTTCTTTTCATAGAACAGTTGGGAAACACTCTGTTTGTAAAGTCTGCAAGTGGATATTCAGACATCCTTGAGGCTTTCGTTGGAAACGGGATTTCTTCATATTCTGCTAGAAAGAAGAATTCTCAGTAACTTCCTTGTGTTGTGTGTATTCAACTGACAGAGTTGAACTTTCATTTAGAGAGAGCAGATTTGAAACACTGTTTTTGTGGTATTTGCAAGTGGAGATTTCAAGCGCTTTGGGGCCAAAGGCAGAAAAGGAAATATCTTCGTATAAAACTAGACAGAATCATTCTCAGAAACTGCTCTGCGATGTGTGCGTTCAGCTCTCAGAGTTTAACTTTTCTTTTCATTCAGCAGTTTGGAAACACTCTGTTTGTAAAGTCTGCACGTGGATATTTTGACCACTTAGAGGCCTTCGATGGAAATGGGTTTTTGTCATGTAAGGCTAGACAGAAGAATTCCCAGTAACTTCCTTGTGTTGTGTACATTCAACTCACAGAGTTGAACGTTCCCTTAGACAGAGCAGATTTGAAACACTCTTTTTGTGCAATTGGCAAGTGGAGATTTCAAGCGCTTAAGGTCAATGGCAGAAAAGGAAATATCTTCGTTTCAAAACTAGACAGAATCATTCCCACAAACTCCGTTGTGATGTGTTCGTTCAACTCACAGAGTTTAACCTTTCTTTTCATAGAGCAGTTAGGAAACAGTCTGTTTGTCAATTCTGTAAGTGGATATTCTGACATCTTGTGGCCTTCGTTGGAAACGGGATTTCTTCACATTCTGCTAGACAGAAGAATTCTCAGAAACTTCCTTGTGTTGTGTGTTTTCAAGTCACAGAGTTGAACGATCCTTTACACAGAGCAGACTTGAAACACTCTTTTTGTGGAATTTGCCAGTGGAGATTTCAGCCGCTTTGAGGTCAATGGTAGAAAAGGAAATATCTTCGTATAAAAAGTAGACAGAATGATTCTCAGAAACTCCTTTGTGATGTGGGCGTTCAACTCACAGAGTTTAACCTTTCTTTTCATAGAGCAGTTAGGAAACACTCTGTTTGTAAAGTCTCCACGAGGATACTTGGACTTCTTTGAGGCCTTCGTTGGAAACGGGTTTTTTTCATGTAAGGCTGGACAGAAGAATTCTCAGTAACTTCCTTGTGTTGTGTGTATTCAACTGACAGAGTTGAACTTTCATTTAGAGAGAGCAGATTTCAAACACTGTTTTTTTGGAATTTGCAAGTGGAGATTTCAAGCGCTTTGGGGTCAAAGGCAGAAAAGGAAATATCTTCGTATAAAAACTAGACAGAATCATTCTCAGAAACCGCTCTGTGATGTGTGCGTTCAACTCTCAGAGTTTAACTTTTCTTTTCATTCAGCAGTTTGGAAACACTCTGTTTGTAAAGTCTCCACGTGGATATTTTGACCACTTAGAAGCCTTCGTTTGAAACGGGTTTTTTTTTCATGTAAGGCTAGACAGAAGAATTCCCAGTAACTTCCTTGTGTTGTGTACATTCAACTCACAGAGTTGAACGTTACCTTAGACAGAGCAGATTTGAAACACTCTTTTTGTGCAATTGGCAAATGGAGATTTCAAGCGCTTTAAGGTCAATGGCAGAAAAGGAAATATCTTCGTTTCAAAACTAGACAGAATGATTCTCAGAAACTCCTCTGTGATGTGTGCGTTCAACTCTCAGAGTTTAACTTTTCTTTTCATTCAGCAGTTTGGAAACACTCTGTTTGTAAAGTCTGCACGTGGATATTTTGACCACTTAGAGGCCTTCGTTGGAAAAGGGATTTCTTCATATGATGCTAGACAGAAGAATTCTCAGTAACTTCCTTGTGTTGTGTGTATTCAACTCACAGAGTTGAACGGATCCTTTACACAGAGCAGACTTGAAACACTCTTTTTGTGGAATTTGCAAGTGGAGATTTCAGCCGCTTTGAGGTCAATGGTAGAATAGGAAATATCTTCCTATAGAAACTAGACAGAATGATTCTCAGAAACTCCTTTGTGATGTGTGTGTTCAACTCACAGAGTTTAACCTTTCTTTTCATAGAGCAGTTAGGAAACGCTCTGTTTGTAAAGTCTGCAAGTGGATATTCAGACCTCGTTGAGACCTTCGTTGGAAACGGGATTTCTTCATATTCTGCTAGACAGAAGAATCCTCAGTAACTTCCTTGTGTTGTGTTTATTCAACTCACAGAGTTGAATGATCCTTTACACAGAGCAGACTTGAAACACTCTTTTTGTGGAATTTGCAAGTGGAGATTTCAGCCGCTTTGTGGTCAATGGTAGAAAAGGAAATATCTTCGTATAAAGACTGGACAGAAATGATTCTCAGAAACTTCTTTGTGATGTGTGCGTTCAACTCACAGAGTTTAACCTTTCTTTTCATAGAGCAGTTAGGAAACACTCTGTTTGTAAACTCTGCAAGTCGATATTCAGACCTCTTTGAGGCCTTCGTTGGAAACGGGATTTCTTCATACTATGCTAGACAGAAGAATTCCCAGTAACTTCCTTGTGTTGTGTGCATTCAACTCACAGAGTTGAACGTTCCCTTAGACAGAGCAGATTTGAAACACTCTATTTGTGCAATTTGCAATTGTAGTTTTCAAGCTCTTTAAGGTCAACGGCAGAAAAGGAAATATCTTCGTTTCAAAACTAGACAGAATGATTCTCATAAACTCCTTTGTGATGTGTGCGTTCAACTCACAGAGTTTAACCTTTCTTTTCATTGAGCAGTTAGGAAACACTCTGTTTGTAAAGTCTGCAAGTGGATATTCAGACCTCCTTGAGGCCTTCATTGGAAACGGGATTTCTTCATATTCTGCTAGACAGAAGAATTCTCAGTAACTTCCTTGTGTTGTGTGTATTCAACTCACAGAGTTGAACGATCCTTTACACAGAGCAGACTTGAAACACTCTTTTTGTGGAATTTGCAATTGGAGATTTCAGCCGCTTTGAGGTCAATAGTAGAAAAGGTAATATCTTCGTAGAAAAACTAGACAGAATGATTCTCAGAAACTCCTTTGTGATGTGTGTGTTCAACTCACAGAGTTTAACCTTTCTTTTCATAGAGCAGTTAGTAAACACTCTGTTTATAAAGTCTGCAAGTGGATATTCAGACCCCTTTGAGGCCTTCGTTGGAAACGGGATTTCTTCATATTATGCTAGACAGAAGAATTCCCAGTAACTTCCTTGTGTTGTGTGTGTTCAACTCACAGAGTTGAACTTTCATTTACACAGAGCAGATTTGAAACACTCTTTTTGTGGAATTTACAAATGGAGGTTTCAAGCGCTTTGAGGCCAAAGGCAGAAAAGGAAATATCTTCGTATAAAAACTAGACAGAATCATTCTCAGAAACTGCTCTGCGATGTGTGCGTTCAACTCTCAGAGTTTAACTTTTCTTTTCATTCAGCAGTTTGGAAACACTCTGTTTGTAAAGTCTGCACGTGGATAACTTGACCACTTAGAGGCCTTCGTTGGAAACGGGTTTTTTTCCTGTAAGGCTAGACAGAAGAATTCTCAGTAACTTCCTTGTCTTGTGTGTATTCAACTCACAGAGTTGAACGATCCTTTACACAGAGCAGACTTGTAACACTCTTTTTGTGGAATTTGCAAGTGGAGATTTCAGCCGCTTTGAAGTCAAAGGTAGAAAAGGAAATATCTTCCTATAAAAACTAGACAGAATCATTCTAAGAAACTGCTCTGTGATGTGTGTGTTCAACTCTCAGAGTTTAACTTTTCTTTTCCTTCAGCAGTTTGGAAACACTCTGTTTGTAAAGTCTGCACGTGGATAATTTGACCACTTAGAGGCCTTCGTTGGAAACGGGTTTTTTCATGTAAGGCTAGACAGAAGAATTCTCAGTAACTTCCTTGTGTTGTGTGTATTCAACTCACAGAGTTGACCGATCCTTTACACAGAGCAGACTTGTAACACTCTTTTTTTGTGGAATTTGCAAGTGGAGATTTCAGCCGCTTTGAAGTCAATGGTAAAAAAGGAAATATCTTCGTTTCAAAACTAGACAGAATGATTCTCAGAAACTCCTTTGTGATGTGTGCGTTCAACTCAAAGAGTTTAACCTTTCTTTTCATAGAGCAGTTAGGAAACACTCTGTTTGTAAAGTCTGCAAGTGGATATTCAGACCTCTTTGAGGCCTTCTTTGGAAACGGGTTTTTTTCATATAAGGCTAGACAGAAGAATTCCCAGTAACTTCCTTGTGTTGTGTGTGTTCAACTCACAGAGTTGAACTTTCATTTACACAGAGCAGATTTGAAACACTCTTTTTGTGGAATTTGCAAGTGGAGATTTCAAGCGCTTTGAGGCCAAAGGCAGAAAAGGAAATATCTTCGTTTCAAAACTAGACAGAATCATTCTCAGAAACTGCTGCGTGATGTGTGCGTTCAACTCTCAGAGTTTAACTTTTCTTTTCATTCAGCGGTTTGGAAACACTCTGTTTGTAAAGTCTGCACGTGGACATTTTGACCACTTAGAGGCCTTCGTTGGAAACGGGTTTTTTTCATGTGAGGCTAGACAGAAGAATTCCCAGTAACTTCCTTGTGTTGTGTGCATTCAACTCACAGAGTTGAACGTTCCCTTAGACAGAGCAGATTTGAAACACTCTATTTGTGCAATTTGCAAGTGTAGATTTCAAGCGCTTTAAGGTCAATGGCAGAAAAGGAAATATCTTCGTTTCAAAACTAGACAGAATGATTCTCAGTAAACTCCTTAGTGATGTGTGCGTTCAACTCACAGAGTTTAACCTTTCTGTTCATAGAGCAGTTAGGAAACACTCTGTTTGTAAAGTATGCAAGTGGATATACAGACCTCCTTGAGGCCTTCGTTGGAAACGGGATTTCTTCATATTCTGCTAGACAGAAGAATTCTCAGTAACTTCCTTGTGTTGTGTGTATTCAACTCACAGAGTTGAACGATCCTTTACACAGAGCAGACTTGAAACACTCTTTTTGTGGAATTTGCAAGTGGAGATTTCAGCCGCTTTGAGGTCAATAGTAGAAAAGGAAATATCTTCGTAGAAAAACTAGACAGAATGATTCTCAGAAACTCCTTTGTGATGTGTGCGTTCAACTCACAGAGTTTAACCTTTCTTTTCATAGAGCAGTTAGGAAACACTCTGTTTGTAAAGTCTGCAAGTGGATATTCAGACCTCCTTGAGGCCTTGGTTGGAAACGGGATTTCTTCATATTATGCTAGACAGAAGAATTCCCAGTAACTTCCTTGTGTTGTGTGTGTTCAACTTACAGAGTTGAACTTTCATTTACACAGAGCAGATTTGAAACACTCTTTTTGTGGAATTTGCAAGTGGAGATTTCAAGCGCTTTGAGGCCAAAGGCAGAAAAGGAAATATCTTCGTATAAAAACTAGACAGAATCATTCTCAGAAACTGCTCTGCGATGTGTGCGTTCAACTCTCAGTGTTTAACTTTTCTTTTCATTCAGCAGTTTGGAAACACTCTGTTTGTAAAGTCTGCACGTGGATATTTTGACCACTTAGAGGCCTTCGTTGGAAACGGGTTCTTTTCCTGTAAGGCTAGACAGAAGAATTCCCAGTAACTTCCTTGTGTTGTGTACATTCAACTCACAGAGTTGAACGTTCCCTTAGACAGAGCAGATTTGAAACACTCTTTTTGTGCAATTGGCAAGTGGAGATATCAAGCGCTTTAAGGTCAATGGCAGAAAAGGAAATATCTTCGTTTCAAAACTAGACAGAATCATTCCCACAAACTGCGTTGTGATGTGTTCGTTCATCTCACAGAGTTTAACCTTTCTTTTCATAGAGCAGTTAGGAAACACTCTGTTTGTAAATTCTGTAAGTGGATATTCTGACATCTTGTGGCCTTCGTTGGAAACGGGATTTCTTCATATTCTGCTAGACAGAAGAATTCTCAGTAACTTCCTTCTGTTGTGTGTATTCAACTCACAGAGTTGAACGATCCTTTACACAGAGCAGACCTGAAACACTCTTTTTGTGGAATTTGCAAGTGGAGATTTCAGCCGCTTTGAGGTCAATAGTAGAAAAGGAAATATCTTCGTAGAAAAACTAGGCAGAATGATTCTCAGATACTCCTTTGTGATGTGTGCGTTCAACTCACAGAGTTTAACCTTTCTTTTCATGGAGCAGTTAGGAAACACTCTGTTTGTAAAGTCTGCAAGGGGATATTCAGACCTCTTTGAGGCTTTCGTTGGAAACGGGATTTCTTCATATTCTGCTAGACAGA